>NC_000001.11:182275496-182578526 GCF_000001405.40 Homo sapiens | reverse complement strand
TTATTTTGGCAGATACTCAGTACATTCTTTTCTCTGCATCCTCATCAACATCTGTTACTTTTTGACTTTTTAATAGTAGCCCCTAGTATAAGATGATATCTCATTGGTTTTAATTTGCATTTCTCTGATGATTAGTGATGTTAAGCATTTTTTCATATGCTTTTTGGCAATTTGTACGTCTTCTTTTGAGAAATGTCTATTCTTGTCATTTGCCCACTTTTTAATGGTGTTATTATTTTTTATTGTTAAGTTGTTTGAGTTCCTTGTAAATTCTGGATATCAATCCTCTGTTGGATGCATAGTTTGCAAATATTTTTTTTCCCATGCTGCAGGTTGTTTGTTCACTCTGTTTATTTCTTTTGCTGCGCAGAAGTTTTTAGTTTAATTAAACCCCATCTGTTTCTTTATTTTCATTGCTTGTGCTTTTGGGGTCTTAGTCATGAATTCTTTGCCTAGACCAATGTCCAGAAGAGTTTTTCCTAGGTTTTCTTTTAGTATTTTTATAGTTTCAGGTCTTACATTTAAGTCTTTAATCCATCTTGAGTTGATTTTTGTATACACTGAGAGAGAGAGGTCTAGTTTTAATCTTCTACATATGGCAGTCTAATTTTCCCAGCACCACTTACTGAATAGGGTGTCTTTTTCCCAGTGTATGTTTTTGCCGACTTTGTCTAAGATCAGTTGGTTGTAGATATGTGGCTTTATTTGTGGCTTCTGTATTCTGTTCCATTGATCTATGTGTCTATTTTTATACCAGTACTGTGCTGTTTTGGTTATCTTAGCCTTGCACAATAATTGGAGGTATATCATAATGTGATGCCTCCAACTTTGTTTTTTTTTCCTTAAGATGCCTGTGGCTATTTGGGCTCTTTTTTGGTTTCATGTGAATTTTAGGATTTTTTCTCTAATTCTGTGAAAAATGATGTTGGTATTTTGATAGGGATTGCATTGAATCTGTAGATTGCTTTGGGCGGGGTGATCACTTTAACAATATTAGTTATTCCTTTTGGAAATATACCTAAAAAAACAAAAACAAACAAACAAAACCGTTCACTTTGGCCATGGTTGCCAGGCCCAGTTTCAGTCTGAATAGCCCTTTTAAAGAAAGACATGTAATCAAGTACGAATTTGAAAGGGTGGCCACAGGATAAAAATATTGTATAGTATAATGAACGACTTTCCTAGTATAGTAGTCAAAGATTTTTTAACCATATTTTAATATATTTAATTTCTTATGAAAACAATTTACTTGGAAAATACAGACACACATTTGAACATACTTATAATCTCACATCCAGACACAATTATATATATAGTTTTAATTTTAAAATTTTTTTAATTTTTTTGCCAGGTGTGGCGGCTCACACCTGTAATCCCAGCACTTTGGGGGCCAAGGTGGGTGGATCACGAGGTCAGGAGTTTGAGACCAGCCTGGCCAACATGGTGAAACCCTGTCTCTACTAAAAATACAAAAAAAAAAAAATTAGCTGGGCATAGTGGCGGGTGCCTGTAATCCCAGCTACTCGGGAGGCTGAGGCAGGAGAATCGCTTGAACCCGGGAGGCGGAGGTTGCAGTGAGCCAAGATCGCACCACTGTACTCCAGCCCTGGTGACAGAGTGAGACTCCGTCTTGAAAAAAAAAAAATTATTTTTTTGAGATGGAGTCTTGCTCTGTTACTGAGACCGGAGTGCAGTGGTGCGATCTCAGCTCTCTGCAACCTCCACCTCCCAGGTTCAAGTGACTCTCCTGCCTCAGTCTCCCAAGTAGCTGGGATTACAGGCAGCGCCACCACGCCTGGCTAATTTTTTAGCAGAAACTTTTAGTAGAAACGAGGTTTCACTGTGTTGGCCAGGCTGGTCTCAATCTCCTGACCTCAGGTGATCCGCCCATTTCGGCCTCTGAAAGTGCTGGGACTACAGATGTGAGCCACCCCACCCAGCCCAGACACAATTATAGTTAGCATTTTGGTATACAGCATTTACTTCCATTTTTAAATTATTTTGCTTTATTAATTAGTTGGTAATTATAGAATATATGAATATATTCAAATTTATATTTTGCCTTTTGGTATGAATATTTCATCAGGATTTATTTTGTGTTGCTACCACATTTTTGTGTTATTTTTTGTTTTTTTAGATTAATGAATGTGTTATGAAAAAAATGAATAAGTTTTATGAAAAAAGAGGCAATTTCTACCAGAACACTGTGGGTGATCTGCTAAAGTTCATCCGGAATTTGGGAGAACACATTGATGAAGAAAAGCATAAAAAGTAAGTATTGTTTTCATTCCTACAAATTATATGTGAAATGAGAACAATTTAAAAAATCCAATTCTAAGTTTATATCTACGATGGAAAAAAGAAAATTTATTTTGATGAAAGAAAAGTAATTCCTTCCCTCTGTGTGTAAAAGGGCTATCACTGTTGCCTTACAATTAATGAGGGACATGTCCAGCAGGCTTTCATCTTCCTTGTCATTTTTTTGTTGGATAAATGGTAAAACAAATTGAACAGGAGCTAGTGACTCCCTTCTGTGAAGTAACACAGGAGACTGGACAGCTAGATAAAGTGAAGGTAGAGTTATATACGTCTAAAAATAGCCCACATTAGTTAGATCAGCTTTTGCTGACAAAGATGTTAGTTGCAAACTCACAAAAAAGCCTTGCAGTTCAGGGCTCTTCTGGATTTTGGAATTGTAGGTAGAGGATTGTGGCATTGCACTATTTCCATTTTATGAAAGAACAATCTAAAGTTCAGAAAGATTGTGGCCAAAGGTTGCACAATTAGTTGAAGAGTCAGGGGAGGAGTCTTGCTCTGTCAGATTCCAAAGTCCTTATTCATTCTGCAATAGAAATCAAGCGAGCAAAGAGATCTTCAGGGCCATATGCTGTGAAGCGGGGAAGAATAATTTGGGGCAAGCATGCTGAACAATTTGTGTTTTATTTCAGGATGAAATTAAAAATTGGAGACCCTTCCCTGTATTTTCAGAAGACATTTCCAGATCTGGTGATCTATGTCTACACAAAACTACAGAACACAGAATATAGAAAGCATTTCCCCCAAACCCACAGTCCAAACAAGCCTCAGTGTGATGGAGCTGGTGGGGCCAGTGGGTTGGCCAGCCCTGGGTGCTGATGGACTGATTTGCTGGAGTTCAGGGAACTACTTATTAGCTGTAGAGTCCTTGGCAAATCACAACATTCTGGGCCTTTTAACTCACCAGGTTGCTTGTGAGGGATGAGTTGCATAGCTGATATGTCAGTCCCTGGCATCGTGTATTCCATATGTCTATAACAAAAGCAATATATACCCAGACTACACTAGTCCATAAGCTTTACCCACTAACTGGGAGGACATTCTGCTAAGATTCCTTTTGTCAATTGCACCAAAAGAATGAGTGCCTTGACCCCTAATGCTGCATATGTTACAATTCTCTCACTTAATTTTCCCAATGATCTTGCAAAACAGGGATTATCATCCCCATTTAAGAACTGAGGAACCTGAGACTCAGAGAGTGTGAGCTACTGGCCCAAGATTATTCAATTTATACCTAGCACTTTATAAATTTATGTGGTGTTATTGGTACCTCTCATTTGGGCACCTTAAAACTTAACTATCCTTCCAGGGCTCTTCCAGATGAGGCCCAAAACATATATAGGGGTTCCAGGAATCTCATTCATTCATTCAGTATTTATTGAGCATCTAGTATAAGTCTGGGCACTGGATGCATGAATTCCACTCCTTCCAGAACCAACTGCATTGGTTTTCCATGACCTTAAGGCAGTAGTTCTCAACTGGGGGGCAATTTTGCACTGAAGAGAGCATTTGGCAGAGTCTGAAGAAGTTTTTGGTGTCACAGCTTTGTGGGGAGCATGCTATGGCATTTAGTGGGTAAAGACCAGGGATGCTGCCAAACCTGCCTTGCACAGGACAGCCCCTGCAACAAAGAATTATCCAGACAAAAATATCAATGGTGCTGAGGTTGAGAAAACCTGACTTAAGGGGCTGGGATGCTTTTGAACTAGCTTAAGGCCCAGGACTGTGGAGTGTGTGGACCACCCCACAGAGGAGGGACTCAGATTTATTTACTCTTGCTGGATCTGTAGTGATGGAGTTCCTTCTGGTGTCAGCCCCACAGGAGGCTCCCAGGCCTCCCTCACTTCCCATACCCAGTCTAGGAGCTCCTTCTGGCTCCCAAGCACCCAGAGCTTTCCTCCGCCTTTTAGTTTTGGTTCCTCCACTGGAATGTAGGCTCCTCACGGGCGATGGCTGTCTTTTCTTGACTTTGTATCTTCACTGCCAAGCAAAAAGTCTGCCAAGTGGGAATGTTTAATAAATATTCATTGAATAATGAATGAACCATCTTCGTACATGAATAATAATACTGTCTTACGTTTTTCTGGTGCTTTATAATGTATACATTACATCTGAGTATTTTATTTTATTTAATTTTCAAAACAATCCTTTAAGGTCAACATTGTTATCCCTATTTTGCTGATGAGGAAACTAAGGTTAGAAACATTTTGATTTCCTCTAGGACGTATAGCTAGGAAGTGTTACTATCTTGATTTGAACAAATTTTCTGGTGCTAAGTCTGATGTTCTTTCCATGAATCATTGTGGTGGTTGAGATGGAGCTTTGTAATGGGAATAAAACAGTACCTTAGGTTCTTTCTGAAAAGGAGGTATCTAGCAATGGATAAATAGATACCACTGAATGAAATTAAATGTTGATTAGGAACAAATTTAAGGCTTAAAAAATACTTTATGAGCAGCAAGATTGCTTTAACTTTTAAAATGAAGCTTTGGTTCTCTGATTTGTAATGAGCACCTGGACATGTCAATTAAAATGCCCATTTGTGAAGCTTACTCAATAAAACTTTAAATTGTCTTATTTAGTCTGATTTTCTTTAAGTGACATTTCCACTTTAAGGAGTGGGTGATATCTACAATAGAAAATATTCACTAAGTAATTCCTGGATAAGTTTTAAGAAAGGTCATCCTGCTGTCTGAAAATGGGAAAAGGAGTTATTTTTGACTTTCTAGTAATTCTGGAATAATGTGGGCCTAGTATGTAGTGAGAGAAGGGAGGAAATGATCATTTTTCCGTCTGCTTGAATTCTCTGAGAGTTTCTGTTGACATTCTGCAAACATTTCTCATTCAGTTGTCATCGTCACAAACATTTCATTGAGCATGTGGTTCATATCAGGTCCTGTATTAGGCAGGCTGATTCTGTACTCTTGCTCAGGGGTAAAAGCTCTATCCCTGTGTGCTTTACTCAGCAGTTGGTGGCATTTACCTGTCTCTCCAATAAGCCTGGGAGGGCAGAGATCATATCCCATTTCCTCACTTGGTGCCTGGTGTGTTATAAGTGTGTAGTGTATTTAAGTTATAAGATACTCCTTGAATTCACTGGTTGAGAAGAACCTTTAACATTTGATTTTTGGTGGGTCTTTGCTGGAGCTGCAGCCTGGGAGAGAGGTAAGTCTTGGAGCCGACCCCTGGGCAGCTCTTCCGTTCTCTACCCCACAAGCTTTAGGACACAGTGGGCTTTCAAGATGATTTGGGTAAAGAACAGCACAACCTTCCTCTGGAGGAGACCCTGGGAAATTCAGCTTTCCTTTTTCCTTTCTGTGGAGATTTTCTCTTAGGCTTGCCTAAGTGCCTAGTACAGTGCCTGGCATGTACTATGCACCCAGTTTTACTTGTTGCTGTTCTTAATTACTGCTATATAGTGAATTGTGTCCCTCCCAAGTTCATACATTGAAGCCCTAACCCCCCAATGTGTTAGTATTTGAAGATGGGGGTCTTTGAGAGGTAATTAGTGTTGGATGAGGTCATGAGGATAGGGCCCTCATGTTGGGATTAATGACCTCATAAGAAGACAGAAAGAGCTCTCCTTTCTCACTGCCTTATGAGCACACAGAAAGAAAGTGTCCATCTGCAAGCCACAATGAGAGTCTTCACCAGGACCCCAAGAGACAAAAGTGACTAAGACAATCACCATAGGCTTGCAGCAAATGTTTATGCTCCTCTGGTCTTCTCCTATCACATGAACAGATTTTTTTTTTTTTTTTTTTTGAGATGGAGTCTCGCTCTGTCGCCCAGGCTGGAGTGCAGTGGTGCAATCTCAGCTTACTGCAAGCTCCACCTCCCAGGTTCACACCATTCTCCTGCCTCAGCCTCCCCAGCAGCTGGGACTACAGGCACCTGCCACCAAGCCTGGCTAATTTTTTTGTATTTTTAGTAGAGACAGGGTTTTACCATGTTAGCCAGGATGGTCTCGATCTCCTGACCTCGTGATCCACCTGCCTCGGCCTCCCAAAGTGCTGGGATTACAGGCATGAGCCTCAGCACCCGGCCATATTTTTTTTTTTAAAAGGAATGTTTTTTCATCACTTCCACAGTGTTTTTCATTTGTGTAAACTTTTCATTGCTTTATGGCCTATTTGCTTAGACTAAGACCAAAAGATGGGCCAGGCATGGTGGCTTACATCTGTAGTCCCTGCATTTTGGGAGGCTGAGGTAGGCAGACCACTTGAGATCAGGAGTTCAAGAAAAGCCTGGGCAACAAGGTGAAACCCTGTCTCTACTAAAAATGAAAAAAAAAAAAAAATTAGCCAGATCTGGCGGCATGTGCCTGTGGTCCCAGCTACTTGGGAGGCTGAGATGAGAGGATAGCTTGAGCCTGGGAGGCAGAGGTTGCAGTGCGCAGAGATCAGGCCACTGCACTCCAGCCGGGGCAACAGAGCCAGACTCTGTCTCAAAAACAAACAAACAAAAGAGCCTGCCAAGACCAGCTCGGTCGGGGAGACCCTAACCCCATGGCGCTAGAGGAATTAAAGACACACACACAGAAATATAGAGGTGTGGAGTGGGAAATCAGGGGTCTCACAGCCTGCAGAGCTGAGAGCCCTGAACAGAGATTTACCCATGTATTTATGAACACAAGCCAGTGATAAGCATTGTTTCTATAGATTATGGATTAACTAAAAGTATTCCTTATGGGAAATAAAGGGATGGGCTGAAATAAAGGAATGGGCTCTGGCTAGTTATCTGCAGCAGGAGCATGTCCTTAAGGCACAGATCGCTCATGATATTGTTTGTGATTTAAGAACGCCTTTAAGCAGTTTTCCACCCTGGGTGGGCCAGGTATTCCTTGCCCTCATTCCAGTAAACCCAAAACCTTCCAGTGCGGGCATCATGGCCACCATGAACATGTCACAGTGCTGCAGAGATTTTGTTTATGGCCAATTTGGGGGCCAGTTTATGGCCAGATTTTGGGGGGCCTGTTCCCAACAAGACCCAAAGATGGTACTAACAAGAGGAGAGAAGTGGGTGGGGAAAAAGCAAAGTAATTGGATTTTTTGAGGCTGTAGAACACCATCAACAGGAGTCTATGTTGATAATATTTATATTTAATATTATTTATTAATAATATTTATTCAAAAATAATAACATAACATTACTATGTTAGCCACTAATATTGGCCTATAAAAATTTAACCCACGAATCTTGAAGTGATTTGATGTCCACAGCAGGAGTGAACCCAAAGCAATGAGAGACATAAACACAGAGAATTTCACTTTCTGCTCACTGAACATTCTTCTTGAGAATCAAGTCTTTTAAAAAATACATTTTGTGAAACTGAATAATTAGCGAAGACTTTGTTTAGCTCTTTTAACAGGGACCAAATGACTGTGACTCAGACAAGGTAGAAGATTATGTGTCTTTCATGTTAATGCCTCAGCTGTTCAGCAGACCAGGAAGTAGGAAGTTACGCTCCATAAGTCAGTGAACAAATAAGACCAAAATCCCTGTCCTCATGAGGTGGGAGCAGGGTGGGGAAGAAAACCAACATCCATAAGGACAGAGTATACTAGAGGGTAATAGTAAGCAGGAAGAAAGTTAAGCAAGGTAAGAGTTGGTAGTTAGGGAAAGTAGATTAAATTTAAAGACGGGGGTCAGGTGGACCGCATCAAGAGGGAGCCTACCAAGTGAAACTGCAAGGAAGCAAAAGAGCAAGCTGTGGAGGTATCTGAGGGAAAGCAAACAGAGGGGACGGATAGTCAGTTCAGAGGCCCTGGGGCCTGTTCATACCTGAGCTGTTTGAGGAGCACAAAAGCATGGTTGCCATACAGAGTGAGCAAAGACCAGCAAGAAGAAGGGAAGACAGAGGGGTCAGGGAACCAGGGAGGGAGGGCCCCAAAGCACATGGAAGGGTTTGGGTTTTTACTGAGATGGGAAGCCCTCAGTGGACTGTGGGCAGAGGAGTGGCATGATGTAGCTTAACACTTAAAAGAATCACTCTGGGTCCTCTGTGAACAGAAAGCAGAGGGCAAGAGTAAAAACAGGAAGATCAGTTAGGAGACTATTAAATAGTTTGTGCAAAGACTTTAGTAGCCGATGCTGGGTGACGGCAGTGAGGTTGACTTCAAGTGGGCAGGCAGACTGGGGATGTATTTTGAAGGTAGAGCCAACAGGATTTACTGACAGAGTGAGATATGGTGTGAGAGAGACGAGTCCAGGACAATTGTCAGCATTTTGGCCTTGAGTGACTGGAGGAGTAGGGCTGCTATTAAATGGAGGTGGAAAGGCTTCCAGAGGAGCAGGTTTAGAGGGAAGACCAAGAGTTTCATTTGGGACATGACAAAAGTGATATTTCTAATAGACGTTTAAGTGGAGATGTCATATAGGGTTAGATGTGTGGATCAGGAGTTCAGGGAGATTGGCTGGGGAGAAATTCGTGAGTCATCTAATGATAGTATTAAAGGCCTTGCAATGAGAAATGATTATTGAATGAGTGTAGGAAGAAAATAACAGGGAGAAAGAGGAAGAGAGGTCAAATAGTTACTTCCATCACTTCTGCCTACATTCCTTTGGGCGGAATTCAGCTACATGTCTTTACCCAGCTGCAAGGGAGGTTGGGGAATGAAGTTTCTGCTTGGGTAACCAGGGGCGCAGCTAAAATGTAGGGGGTTCTATTACTAAAAATATGAAGAGGAGAAGGGAAATAAGAAGAGGAACAGTTAGCAGTGGCTTCCAATTTGGTGTTTTTATGATGCATCTAATGAAAAAAGGGAACAGAAGACAGAGAAAAAAGTGACAACAATAGGAAGAACAAGAAGATGGGACTGGGGAGAGAAAGTTGAGGGAAAGGAGGGAGGGGGGAAATATGAAGGCGGGAATGCAGAGGAGTATGAGTATATGAGGAAAAGAGAAGAGGTGAAGTAGGATAGAAAGAGGAGAAAAAAGTTTAGGGAGGCGTAGAGGAGGGAGGAAAAAGGGGATGGAGAAGTGTGACAAAAAATAAAAAGACAAGAGATTAAAGTGGAAGCAAAGAGAAGGGGTAGCAAATACATTCTAGAAAGGGGGCAACATAGTGAAACCCCACCTAAAAAAAATAGCTGTGGTGGTGTGAGCCTGAGACTACAGTGAGCCATGATCATGTCATTGAGCTCTGGCCTGGGCAACAGAGTGGGACCCTGTCTCAACAAACAAACAAACAAGCAAACAAATAAAAATCGAAAGGAGAAATTTGCCTTACAGGCATCTGCCAGTTACCCACATCTGAGTGGAAATTGAGGCTTATGTTTTACCAGTTTTTATACTTGAATTAATCTCACTGATATGCAGTAAGTACTGGCTGTGTGCTGGGCCCTGAACACATAGAGCTGAGGGAGCTTTTTTTCACTTCCCGTAAAGAACAGAACAGCAAAATAGCACCTGTAGGGTGTTACTTTTTAAAAAATCTTGGGTAAATGATGTGGGTTGAAAAAGACCAGAAGCAAAAAAAGTTGAACTTTAAGACATAAGGCAATTTAAAAATGAGTAATCAAATGTATTATAAGTTTAATAGTTGTGTCCTGTGAGAAACCCAATTATGTTATAATTCATATTATTTGATAAATAATACAATGAAAGTATCATAAATACTCACACTCTTTTTACTGTAACAAGCTATTTTAATTTTTTGTATTTTATCTTGAACTCATTTACATGCATATGAGAGTTTCACATAATTGACACCCTAGTGTATTAGTTCATTCTGATGCTGCATTTTTACTTAGATAAAATTACTTATATTACAAATATAGCATCATATTGATTTATAGTAATTATTTAAATGAATATCTAATACTCTATCAGGTTAAAGTATCCAAGATTGTTTACACATTTTCCTTTGGCTGATTTATAGTTTGCTTCCATTTTTAATATGACTAATACTCCAAAGATCTATGTCACACATATAATTTATTCCTTAAAAAATATATATAGTTATTTTCTTCCTTCTAAATATTACTGTAAAAATGTATACATAATTATTACTTGAAATATGTGAAATACCTGGGTGGGTATGTTTAATTTTAGTTCATTGTGGGAAAGTTAATTTTAGAAAAGAAGAAAGAATAAAATAAATAGCACTTTGTAATCTTGACACAGAGTAATCAGTGTTAAACTTCTGATATAGATACATATTTTTTTGAGACGGAGTTTCACTCTGTCGCCCAGGCTGGAGTGCAGTGGCGCAAACTCGGCTCACTGCAACTTCCGCCTCCCGGGTTCAAGCAATTCTCCTGCCTCAGTCTCCCAACTTCTGGTATTTTTAATATGCATATACATTATATTATTATGTTCATAACAATATGGATTCACATATCTGCATACTATTAGTCATAACTTGAGTCATAGCATAATGCAGCTTTTGTATCTGCATTGACTTCCATTCTGGATATTTTCTCACATTATTAAATACTTGTCTGCAACATGCACCATGATTTATCTAACTGCATCCCTCTTACTGGACAGTTAGCATTTTTATTTACTGCAATTAACAACAGTAAAATTAATTTGAGATCAGCCTTTGCACACATCTCTGATTAATTCCTTAGAGTTAAATATTTAGAACTTGAATAACTGGTTTAAAAGTTTTCATATTTTTATGAGTTTGAAATATATTAGCATATTGTATTCTAGAAGGGCTGCATCAACTTACAATTTTCTTTTGTCTATATGAGAATGTCTGTTTTCCCTCACACTTAACAAGAGGCAGTCTCTTTATTTAAAAAACAAACGAACAAAAAATAGCTCTATCAGTTTCATAGGTAAGAAATTAACTCTCCTGCTTTATTTTGGATTTTTTTGACTACTTCTGAAGCCAAACATTTACACCCTCTATTGGTAGATAATGATTTGTGTGACTGCCCGTGTTCTTTCTCCATTACAAAAAATTTGAAGTGTTCATTTTTTGTCATTTTTAAAGAGCTCTTTATATATCGAAATTATTCACTTTGTCAAGTATCTTCTATGTAGTCCTCTTTTTAAATTGTACTTTTAATTTTGTTTATGAGAAACTTTGAAGAATAGAAACTTTAGATCATTAAGTAGTACAATACATTAGTATTTTTCTTTCAGCTTTTTGCCTTTGTGTTATGCTTAGAAAGTCATTCCCTTTCCAAGATTATTTGCCTTCACTTTGAATTTTTTAAATTTGTTCTACCTTTTCAATTTAACTGAAATGCTTTTGGCATGTGGCCTTGCATCATTTTAAATTGTATGTATGGGTGGAGGGTGGCCAAGAATTTCTATGAACATTTATTAATATTAGCTATGAAAAAGTGATTTGATATTAAAAAATGGGTTTTTATTCAACTGTTAGCAAATTAAGCTGTTATCCAAAGGAAGACTTACCTGTAATGCTAATTTTAGTCTTAAGAATCTATAAGTCTCAATTTTACTATGTTAAATGGGAAGACATCCTATGTTCATGGATTGAAAGACTTAGTACTGTTAAGATGACAATACACTCTAAGTTGAACTCCAGAGTCAATGCAATCTTGATCAAATCCAGCTGACATTTGTTTATTTACCTATTTACTTATTTAGCAGAAATTAAGCTGATCCTAAAATATGGAAATACAACAGCCCCAACTTAGCCAAAACAATCTGGAAAAAGAAAAAAACAGAACAAATTGGAGGACTCTCACTTCCTGATGTCAAAACCTATTACAAAGCCACAATAATTAAATAGTGTGGTACTGGCATAGGAACAGACATGTAGATTAATGAAATAAAACTGAGAGTTCAGATATAAACCTTTACGTTGGTCATAAGCTGATTCTTTGCCAGGAGTATGGAAGACAATTCTATGGGGGAAAGAATAGTCTTTTCCACAAATGGAGGTGGGATAACTGGATATACACATGCAAAAGAATGAAATCGATACCCCTCCTCACACCATACACAAAAATTAACTCAAAATGAATAATACACTTAAATATAGGAGCTAAAACTATAAAACCTTCAGAAGAAAACATAGGAGTAAATTTTTGTGGTTTTTGGTTAAGCAATGGTTTTTTAGATATAAGACCAAATGTACAACTTACAAAAGAAAAAATAAGAAAATTGACTATATCAAGGCTTGAAAGTTTATGCTGCAAATAACGCTAAGAAAGTGTAAAAACAACCTACAGAATGGGAGAAAATATTTGCAAATCACATATCTGATAAGAAACTTGTATCTAGAATATATAAAAAGCATTTACAACTTAAAAATGAAAAACTAAAAATAATCCAACTTAGAAATGGGCAAGGGATTTGAACAGACATTTGTCTAAAGAAGATGCACAAACAACCAGTATGCATACATAAAGACGTTCAACATCATTAGCCGTTAAGGAAATGCAAATGAAAACTACAATGAGGTTTCACATCGCACTCACTAGGATGGTTAAAATAAAAAAGACAGACAATGACAAGTTTTGGTAAGGTTGTGGAGAAATTGAAACACATACATTCCTGGTGGAAATGTGAAACTGTGCTTTGGAAATCATTCTGATAGTTTCTCAAAGTGTTAAACAGACTTACCATATGACTCATCAGTTCTACCCCTAGATAGACACACAAAGAAAATAAAAACATAAATCCTCACAAAAACTTATTCATGAATGTTTACAGCAGCACTATTCATAGTAGGCAGAAAGTGAAAAACAACTCAAATGTTCATAAACTGATAAATGGATGAATAAAGTGGTATATCCATATAATGGAGTATTATTCAGTGATAAGAAGGAATGAGTATTTGTTATGACTTGGATGAATCTTGAAAACATTGTGTTAAGTGAAAGAAGCCAGTTAACAAAAGACTAAATGTTGTGTGACTCCATTTATGTGAAATGTCTAGAAAAGGCAAACCTATAGAGACAGAAAGTAGTTTGGTGGTAGCACAGAGCTGGGGAGCATAGTGAGGAGAAATGGGGAGTGATGGCCAGTGGGTATGGGGTTTCATTTGGGGGCAACAAAAATGTTTTAGGATTAGATTGTATTGACTGTAAAAACCTGTGAATTCAGTTAAAAACTATAGCGTATACAACCTAAAGGAGTGAATTGTATGGTGAATTGTATCGTACTTCAAAAAAGTTGTTAAATTTTTTAAAAATATATTTTTTAATTTTAGAGACAAGATCTCCCTCTGTTGCCCAGGCTGGAGTGCAGTGGTGGGATCAAAGCTCATTGGAGCCTCAAAGTCCTGGGCTGAAGTGATCCTCCCACCTCAGCCTCTTGAGTAGCTATGACTACAGGTGAGTGCCCCGACACCCAGCTAAAAAATCTTTTAAAAGATGCAAATAATGTGAAATTGCTGACATATTTTAGATCATGGAGTACCTACCTGCTACAACATTCTTTCTTTTTCTTTTTTTAAATAAAGGTTGGGGAAAGATGATGTCATAGAAAAACCTTTAAATTTGACAGTCATGCTATAATAATCCAAGTAAAATGCCACAGAGATTGGGTTAAATTGAGAGACTATGTAGGTGTGAGAAAAATTTACAAACATATTTCTTTGGGAGAAAGATATCACTATGTTTATTTTTAAGAAGTTGGTAAAGCACATTTGCTGTCACGTTCCTGGAGATAATCCCAGAGTCACTGCAGACTAAAGAGATTGAGGCAAACTGGCACTGTTCTTGAAGCCACAGAAATGTTGAGTTATCATCAGGAAGACAACTAAAGAAAAGTCTAAAGCTGTCTATGTCACTAATTCCTAGCATAAACACACAGAAATCATTGAGAATGGCAGGGCCAGGAGCAGAACAACAAATGCCACATGGATAACACTTTTTTAAATAAGACCTACAGAACTGTAGCCAGTCCAGAGAAGGCTGACTGAACTGACCAAAGACAAAGTCCTCTGTGCCCATTCTGATTGCCTGTCTCTCGTTTTTCAGCAATAAAGCGTATGTGATACAAATCAGTAGTTCTGAATTCTGGCTGCAAGTTAGAATCACTTGGGCTCGACCCTAGACCAATTAAATCAGAACGTTGCGTGGGGCTTAGGCTCCAGCATTAAAAAATCTCGCAGGAACTTCCAGTTTCTCATCTGGTCTGTTAGGAGCTTAGAAGTCATCACTCCATCTTAACAACAAGTAAATAGTGAAGTTACTGACAGATTTGAAAACAGTTACATACACTGTAGGATAAGAAGACACACAAAGGTGTTGCTGTTTGCACAGTAGATTGTTTCTGCCAAATTTGTGGTCTTATATATGAATGCGTGCAGAATGGATTTATGAATACCCAAAGCAACATAGAAGCATGGCATAGAAGATGAGAAAATTTAATAGGAAGTACTCATGTCCATTTATATCAAATCATAGAAGAATTTCAAAATAAGTAGCGCCATATAGAAAATGAATGTGAACACATTCTCCAAGGAGAGACACACCCTAAAAGAAAAAAAAAACAGCTATTCAAGATGCAAGACTTCAAAATATCATGATCATAAAAGTCGGTCCACTCTTATGGACTACTTCCGAGCAATTGCCCATAATATGTAATATACCTTTATATATGTTGAATTTTTTTAGTTTTTATGTTTTGTTTTGTTTTGTTCCCCTACTATTTTAAATTGTCACCATTTTTTTGACAATTTGTTATGTATTCCATCTTTGCATCATTTCCAATACTGGGGGTATAAATTGCGTAAAGGCTTTTAGAGAGTTCTAATTTGTTTTATGCATTTTTTGCAAATTTGACTCCTTCGTTGACTTTGTCCATGTATGTAAAAACATTGAAACTTTCTCAGTAAATGAAGAGATGGTCCTTTTTGTACACCTGCTTTTATGACAGATAACATTTCTCAAGATCTCAGCTCTTTGGGCAACTGCGTATGTGGTAGCAGTGGCCTAGTGTGGTTTTTGACTGATCTTGTCAAAATACTTAGGTTGTGTGTCATAATATTTCAGATGACTGCAGTTATAAAGCTGGGTGCACACAATTACGAAGCATAGTGATATGAATTATATATTTTGTTTTTGACTTGCTTCCTTATGACTATGGTTTGTCTGCTCATACTGTTACGTTTGTGTGGCTGTCATTAGCATAGCTGAGTATTTACACTTACCAAAATGTTATCATTGTCTATTTTATCATGTCAAGTGGCTTATGAAGAGTTCTGCTGTGTTTTCATGTCTTCCAAATACATCCCCTTTTAAAATGTAAATAAATATTTTAAAAGAATTTTTAAAATTATTTTTTCCAGAATTGTGTTTTCAGGATTTTGAGCTTTCAGGCTTGTGATTTGTTGAATTTTAGACTTTAGGGATAGTGAAATCTTTCAGGATTTCAGCCTTCAAGATTATAGCGTTTGGGATTGTGTCTTTCATGATTATGGCCCAACCCCCTGGCAAAGAGGTCTGATTTCCCAATTCTGTCCTTGGGTGCAGCTACCAGGTGCCCTATCCTCAGAGCCCAGGGTTGGTCCTGGAGCCCCTGTGTAACTAGCTCTGGGTACTGCATTTTCCCTCACAACCTCCCTGGAGCCCCTGTGTAACTAGCTCTGGGTACTGCACTTTCCCTCACAACCTCCCTGCACTCTCCTCTGCCTTTGTAAGTTGTCCCTTTACCAAACCATCTCAGATTACCCTAATTAGAGAGTGCCATCTCTCTTCTGCTGGGACCTTTCCTATGTTCTCCTGGGGCCTCTATCCTTCCTCACTATCCATGGCACCACACCAGTCCCTGGTCCCTAGTTCGCAGCATATGAATGGGTTTAATTTCCAAATTTCTATGACAGATGGTAGCTGGAAGCAGAATCATCATATCTCACAGAAACAATACCATCATTGGCACTGAATTTGTCAGATGAGGCCATCAGTGCCCATTTAGACCAAGTGTAATTGATGTTTTACACCCAGCCATCCTCTCCCCTCCTGAAGGTGCCCAGAGGACTTGTGGTTCCCCTTCCCTCCCTGCTTTCTGTAGCCCTCTGGATTCTTCTTGCTCCTCCCTTCACCTGCAGGGACTCAGCACTCATAGCTCACTTTCACCCTCAGAAAGTCCAGGATGGGGCCTCAGGAGGCAGGACTGGAGAAGAGTAATTCCCCCACCAAAGCAGATGCTCCTCTCATCCCTGCTGGGACCCTGCCCCAACCCCAGTCCCAGCCCCAGTATTGTGTGTTCAAATTCCCAGGCCCATCCCATTTTGGTTGGAGGTGGGGAACAGGGGGTGTTGCTAGATCAAACATAGGCTGTTCAGTTAAATTTGAATTTTAAGTAAGCAACAGATAACTTTTTTAGTATCAGTTAAATATGTCCCATGCAATATTTGGGCATACTTAAGCTAAAAAAGTACTCATTGCTTATCTGAAATTCATATTTAACCCGGTGCCTGTATTTTTATCTGCTAAGTCTGGCAGTCCTACATCTCTTCAATCTTTTTTTTTTGTTCCACTGTTCTCATTTCCACCTACCCAAACCCATATTTCGGCACAAATACAATTCTTGAAAAAAAATGACTCATGTAGACTCTCTGATTTTCCTCTGACATTTAAGTAAATTGTTGAGTCTTTGTGTACAGAATCTCCACGGGACACCAGGAAGCGCCACATATTTTGAAGCCACTGACAAGATGTGTAGTGCTGGCATCTTCCTGCCTGCATTACTTTGCCTATAGAATGAGGCTTACAATTCCTAGCCCTGCTGTCACATAGTGAGTGTGCAATAAAGGCTCACTAATATTTTAAAAGTACGTATCTGTCAGGAACTCAGGGTGTGCATGTAGAGGGCATGGAAAGAAGTCTCATTACTCCCTATTAATAATAAACATATAACACACAGATATCTTCCAAAGGACTATGTATGTGTTAGGAATTAAACGGATCTTGTGGGGTTTTGTTGTTTTTTGTTTTGTTTTGTTTTGAGACAGGGTCTCACTCTGTCGCCCAGGCTGGAGGGCAGTGGTGCGATCTTGGTTCATGGCAGCTTCGACCTCCCAGGCTCAGGTGATTCTCCCACCTCAGCCTCCCATGTAGCTGGGACTTGTGATGCCCTTTTCATTCTGCCCCCAAGGACCATGTAACTTTTTGGAGGAAATACATTCAGAGTTTTCCCAGGAATAAATTATTCACTATACCACTCCTGACCAACCACTTCCTTCATGTCCTGGAAAGTTTAGGGAAAAGATAGAAGGAGGGAAAGCAACTAAAGTCCCCCACCCTCCATCTGTTCCTGGCCTTATGCTGTGCTCTTGGACTACATTATATGCAGTCAGTCCTCAAACAACCCTATGAGGTAGACATCATCAGCTGCATTTCACATATAGTGTTGGGAGTCAGCGAGGGTAAGTAATTTGCTGATGATCACAAAGTTGCTAGGAGCAGAGATGGGATTTAAACAAGACTGTCTCATGGAAAACCATGAGCTCTGACGGAGGGTGCAGGGCCTTCTGGTCTGGACTCTGTTTGCTGGGGGAGGGCCCACGTGTTAAAGTCACTGGGTGGGACTAGCTGGCTTGTGATCTTCATCTGGGAAAAGAAGTATTGTATCCACGAATCATTTGGATTGGAAATGACCTTGGGAGCCCTCTTGGGAGCAACTTATCATTTTCCCTGTGCTCTTTTACTTATGAAGAGGATGGCAGGCCCACAGATTGTGAATGTGGACATCCTTTATTCTGGCTAATGACCTGCAGCCCTGGAGGTGTATGGGTGAGGGCTGGCACCCTGAGGTCCTGCACATACGGGCCACCTCCTCCTCCGGATGACACTTGGATCAGTTGGAGGCTCTCAAAATGAGGGATAGATGTATTTTCATACGTGTGTATAAAGAGGGGAGACTTCATGTCACTCTCTGACATGTATCAGAAAGGCTTCTATATAGATGACAGCAGGTCTCAGTCACTCTTGCTGTTTCTGCTTTCCTCTGCTTCTTTCCATCACCCTTTAGTCTGAATGGGCTGTATGAGATTCCTAAAAAACAAAGAGTTCTTAAAGCATCAAGATTTATTGGAATACAGAAAAATTCATGAAGACAATAGCATTTGCTATTTCTTCTTTATGGTGGTCGTCACAACTGTAATTGATAGTTGAACTGATTTTCTGTTAATAGCACAGTCTGACTATAAGGTCAGTGAAAGCATGAACTTCACATTCTGTTTTCTCCACTGCGTTTCCAGCACCCAGCACAATTCATTTAGTCATGCATTCAATATGTATTTATGAGGCAACTATTATCTGCATGTCACTGTGCTAGGTAAGGTGAAAAATAGTTCTTGGTCTATTCTAGGTACAAATAAAAATAGGACTTGGTCTCTGCCCTACAAAAGCATGTAGTCTAGTAGGTGAGACACATACATGAATAAGTATCTCAAGGAGAGGAAAAAATGTGTCTCAGAAACTAAGAGGAGAGAGTAAGAGGAGAAAGGGGAATCAGGAGGTATCACAGTGTGATGTCTGTGTGATGGAGAAGAAAGGGAAGGGCCCTTTAGGCAATCACCAAGTTGCTGGAGAATGGTGTGTATGAGATAGAGAGAGGAAAAAGATAAACCTGGAAACCTGAACTGAGGCCATATTAGCAATGGCCTTGTATGTCCCACAAAGGAGTGAGACTTTTCCAACCAGGTGAAGGAGGGGAATAAAAGCTTTCACGCTGAGGAAATGAGCAGGTCAGATTTGTTCTCAGTGTGTGGGATGAAGCAGAGTGTGTTGGGTGTGTGTGGAGAGGGGAATGTGGTGACTTCACAGGGCCAGTGATGGGGACAAGGGCCCGACAAAAGCAGTGCCAGTGGGATAGAGAGGAAGGTCTGGATAGCAGCGACATGTCCAAGGCAGAGTGGCAGAACTTCCCTTTCCTGCATGTAAAATATGGGAGGGGAGGCAGAGGAATGAGTTGAGGATGATTCTGAGTTTTCTAGCTTGGAAGATGGGGTTGATTGGAGAAAAGAAATAAAGGGGCCAAAACTGATTTGGGATACATTAAATTTGTGCTGTGGATCCTGTTAGAATGGATTAAATTTGCAGTGGATCCTATTAGAGGAGAAGCTAGGGGCTAGGGATCTCAAGCAAATGGGAGAGTGCGTTGTAAGAAGGTAAGTTCAACAGGAGAGCCACAGGGAGCACTGATATTTAAGGAAGAAGCAGAAGAAATGTGAAGAAGAATCAGAAAGAATAGTCAGAGCTATGACAAGAGAAAGAAAAAAATGGTGTTCCCAAGTCTCTAGGAGGCAATAATCGCATCAGAGGCCCAGATTGTGCGTTCATACATTCTTCTCTAAGGAAGGTGGTCTAGGACCATGGTCGGTAGAATTTCTGGTGACCACCCTAGGATATCCATGCTCTAAACTCTAGAATCTGTGAATGTGTGACCTTACATAGCAAAAGGAATTTGGTGGGTGGAATTAAGGCTAAGGACCTTAAAACAGAGACATTATTCTGGATTGTCTGGGTGGGCCCTTAAAAGGGAGTTGGGAGGCAGAAGAGGGAACCAGAGAGATGTGATGATAGAAGAAGAGGCAGGAGAAATTCAAAGAACGGGCAGGACTTGACCCACCATTGCTGGATTTAAAGACAGAGGAAGAAGGCCATGAGCCAAGGAATGCAGGTGGCTTCTCAGAAACTGGGAACGGCTCTCAGCTGACAGCCAGGAAGGAAGTGAGACCTCCATCCTGTACCTACAATGACTGAATTCTGCCAATAACCTGAATGAACCAGGAAACAGATCCTCCCCAACAGCCTCCAGAGGGGAACACAGCCTTCCTGACACCCTGATGTTAGCTTGAGTCCCAGGTCAGACTTCTGACCTACAGACTTGTAAAATAATAATTTGTGTTGTTTTAAGCCACTAAGTTTCTGGTAACTTGTTATGGTAGCAAAAGGAAACTAACACAGGAACTGAAGTAGGCCAGGTTCCTTACCTGGTCCCTCTTTCTTGGCCTTTTCCTTAGACGGCAGTGGCCCCTGGATCTAGTGTTGGGACGCCTTTTCCTCCCCTCCCATATTTTTTATTCAAACTAGACCCAAGACCCAAATCTAATTTCAAGGGCAAAGAAAAATATTAAAGCAAGGAATGCAATTTGTTGGGCTGTGGGTCAGTCTTGTCCCTAACTAAGTTTTGTTTTAACTGTAATGTTACAGACATTTTTAATTTCTCACTTTTTTCCTTCCTTCCCTCCTTCCTTCCTTCCTTCCTTCCTTCTTTTTATTCCTAAGTAGAAGCTCTGGCAACACCAGGTTGGCTGGCTTGAGCGGACTGTCTCTGACCCCTTTGGGACACGTTCTCCAGTTCACCACAGTCTCTACCACTCCTTCTTATCTCTCATGGACTGCGTTACTCATTTATACACCCTGCCTGTATTCTACAGGTGACTGACTTAGTGACACTAGACTAACTGGCATTAGAACATGTTAGATCTGGGATCTTTGAAGGGAGCATGTAAGAAACCGAAAGAAGCAATCAACAAAACTTAACAAAAGAGAAGATTTTTTTTTCCAACTCAGGGAAGACCTAATAAGTATCATTAATCCTTTTAAATAACATGTTTGTGTGTTTGCATACCTACACATGAGTATAACCATGGTGAATGTGGAGAGAAAGATAATTAAGAAATAGGAAGATGGGGCAAAGATCTAAGTTCAAATAGATCAGGAAAAGTACCTTTCTTTTCCTTAAGTGTGGCCCATCTATTGCCAACATGCAGGTTCACCCATGTCCCACTCCAATGTGAGTGTATTTCAGTATGTGACCACGAGTTAGTATTTTGCTAGATCCTTGTCAGTCACCTTGTTGCTGGCCTAACATCCTCTCTAGTTTCATGCCTGGGGCTTGTGACTTGTTCTTTTTTGATGAAATGCTTCCCTGTTACCTCAATTCCACTAACTGAGCTCTTCTTTATTCCTTACCTGGGGTCTTGCCTTAGTTTTTGCCTGATTTTTAGGAACTGGGATTCTGTTTCATGCCCACTCTTCATTCTATTAATTGCAGTCCTGTTCTAAAGCTCTAGCCCTGATAGGGAAGGGAAGACTCATGCCCTTTTGTCTAGGCCTTCCTGTCTTGCTGGGCCTTCTCCCAGGGGCCCAAGGGGCTCTCCACACCTGGCCTTTTTTCAGCCTCCTCTAGAGTCATGTCTGCCCACAGTCTTCCTGGATCTCCTGCAATCACAGCCCCACCAGGTGACCTCAGAGTCTCAGGTGTTCATGAGTTCTGCTCCAACATCACCTTTTTCATCCTTGTGAAAAGTCTGGGAAATAAAAAACTTCGGCACAGCAGGAAGCTTTGGCCAGAAATTTGAAAGTATTCTCCAAAAAGCTTTCCAGTCCTTTCCTATTCTGTAACCCACAGAGATGACAAGCCAACCTGTCCTCAGTTACCTCAGGTGGAGGGCTTGTTCAGGAAATTCTGACTCATTTTACTTCTGATTTTTTTTTTCTCAAAGGAGAGAAAATAGGCCTATTCATTTAAAATTATGACAATAGTTTAGGGCTTTAGGTCAAAAACCTTAAAGTTTTTTTATCCACTAGTTGGCAAATGAACAGAACTCTCGGGAAGAACTATTCCTTTTGTGCATGAAAAGTTACATAAAAGGTTGGCATAGAACAAGAACAGGACAAAAAATCAGAAATGGTGTGTTCTAGTCCAGATGCTGCCATTTACTGCCCAGTAATCTTAGGAGAGTCACTTACCTTCTCTGTGAGTCAGATTCTTTAACTGTTTAAAAATAAATGAATTCTGACATGGTTGCCCACAGGGTTGTTGTGAGGACTTACTGAGACAATGGGTGTGAGTCATTGTCTAAATGAGAGATCCTACCATTAAAAGACACCATCTGTCCTTGCTGATAATTATAGCACCTTGCTCCTGATTGCCTTCAGTGATCTTTACATCCATTTGTCATGGGATTCTTTAACAACCTGAGCCAGGATTTGCACACAGCCAGGAAGATGTGGAGCAAGACCTAGAGCCCAGGTCTCCTGACCCAACTCACTGTAGTGGAAAGATGCGCTTCCTCTCATGCTCTGCCCAAGTCTTACCCATTGCAGTCTGGTCCTGCCATATCTGGGCTGTCAACCCATTGCCCTTCTTGATCGTTTCTGGGGAAGATGGTACCAGGACCTTTCATTTTTGACCAGAAAAGTTTCTGTCAGTGTTAGGAGGCCTCTAAGAGATGATTTATCTCTGCTGGGGGTCTCGCTTGATTACTTCTCTTTTTTGATGTAGGATAATTTTTGTCTGAAGGGAGAGAAAACAGCCAGTTATCACAATTATGATGCAGTAATTGAGGTTGCATTCTCTGTTGGTTTGTCACTGTCATTTCCTTTAGGAATGGCAATAGCCAAAACTGAAACCTTCAGGCTTCAGAATAGGGCTTCTCACATTCTTAGTCTCACCTTCTTCCCCAAGGCCTTATAAACTCTGAAGCCATGCATTGCTTTTCCAGTGTAAAGAGCTTCAAAGTATCTGGTTTGTCTTCTGGGCACTGGGACGGGCAAATAATTCCTGGGCAGCTTCAAGTCCCTGTTGGAAGGACAAGTCTGGAAACAGGCCTGAGAAGTGACTTGGCTGGCAAGGACACCAAGCCTGTCATTCAGAGGCTGCTGTCTACCACCTTGGCCTTCAAATAACTCTTTGGCACTCCTCAGCTATGGTTTTCATGACCCCTGGGGATTCTCCCAGAGCCCTAACTTAGCATCAGTTTCACTTGGAAGCTTGTGCAGAAGTGAGTTAGGCTGAAGCAGATTTTAACAGACTCAAGTCCCTTCTGTTCTTATTGCCAATATCCTGCCAAGCAGAAGAACAGATCTTCTTTCTTTCCCACCTTATGCACCCTGCCCTGAGCAGCCTGGAATATTTAGGAAGCTGGCAATAAAAGATCATCTGAATAAAGAGAATGTAGGATACATATACACAATGTAATACTAAACAGTCATAAAAAGATAAAATCATGTCTTTTGCAGCAACATGGATGGAACTGGAGACCATTATCTTAAGTGAAATAACTCAGAAATGGAAAGTGAAGTATTGCATGTTCTCAGTTACACGTGAGAGCTAAATAATATGTACACCTGGACATTGACCGCGAAATAATAGACACTGGAGACTTGGAAGAGTGCGAGAGTGGGAGGTGGGTAAGGGTGAGAAATTACCTAATGGGCACAATGTATACTATTTGGATCATGACTACACTAAAACCCTAGACTTCACTACCTCCCAATATATCCATGTAACAAAACTGCACTTGTACTCCTTAAATCTATAAAAATGAAAAATAAAAATCAAAGATCATCTGGGACACTTCCACAGCAGTATTGTTCTACTGAAAAGTGGGTCAGAGACTCCAACTTCTTAAAAGTGCCTGTCCTAGTTGGAGGTGAGAAAGGACCCCCACAGAGAAACACCTCTTTAACTTCCCACCAGAGGCAGCAAGCTCAGTTTCTAGGTTCTGCATGCCAAGGAGAGGCAGGGTATGAGGCTAGTCTCTGGAAAGTTTATACCATCTCCTATTGCATGCTTGGACATAGCAGCTCTGGACTGAAGAAGAGGATTTCCAGCTCATGCCTACCCCTGGACGGGATGCAGCTGCATGGCAGATACCACGAGTCTTGGCTGAGTAAGTTTGCTTGATGAAGCTAAAGAGAAATACAGAGAAAAATTGCATCAGGACTCATGACATAGACGCAGTCACTGAAAGGCCTCCACCCTGGAGGACCATGCTGGGTGGGCTTCCACGGACACCTCCAATGTAGGGGTTGGAAAGTGAAGGTAAAGCAGGCCTGTTCCAGGGATATTCAGGAGACCTTGTTTCTATGCTGCAATTTGTGTGTTTGTGTGTGTCCCAGGAAACCTTTCATCTGGACACGAAGGCCATGATGTCAATCACATAGACTTAGGGAAGTAAAATAGGAGATCAGGGCAGATGAACACTAGAATCACAAGACTTTAGGGCTGTTTGGAGCCTATGGATCACAGGCAATGTTCCATAGTGGCCTCCCCCATGAAGCAATGAGGAAACACGTACAAATGGGCAGGTCAGGTATGCTGGCATTTCATGCCTGTGAGAAGCAGAAAAGCAGTATTTCCAATTTCTTCCCCTAATAGAAGCTGGCAGTTGGGATAGAAAGGGAAGGTTTGTTAGGAGAGACTATGTGGAAACAAAGGCAGGGTTAGAGTGTGGGAGTGGGGTTGACTCCTTGAGACTGAAGATGGGGAAGAAAAAGAATATAATATGGCCTCAGTATGCGAGGTTAGAACTGCAGGTTTTGTGACAGGGAAGAGATTCATAGCAGGAGCCTCCAGGAAGCAGGAGGTATGAAATGGTGTGTTCAAATCAGCAGTTGGTCTCAGTGTGAGGGGGAAGTAACAATTAGGACACTGTGATAGTCTCTTAATAAACATCATACGTCATGCCTGGAAATGAGAAGAGGAGTCAGCAGAGATATAGAGAAGCTTAAGGTACCTGCCTTCCCGGGGTTACAAAAACCAAGAAGACAGGATTATTTAGATGAGAGTTGCTCACAGAGCCATGGAAGGAGGTCAGGAGACTAAATTTTCACCTCCTCTCTGCCACTCACAAGCTATGTGATCTTCAGCAAGTTACTTCACATTTTGGGGGTCTCAGTCTCCTTATTGTCAATAAGGGGATTGGCCAAGCTGGTTTTAAAGTCCCCCTCTGATTGAGTAGCAAACTATCAGTGGGGATCCAATTCCAACTCACAATTTTGAACTGAACTTATTGCTTCCCGTTGAGGCTGCAACCACTCAATACCTCTGAGCAAGGTGAACCTTAAGATGGCATTGTCTCCTGGGGAAGGACAAAAACAAGCATTAAAAACACCTGCGACAACTCCTACTGAAATAAATCTCTCTAAGTAAGCAATAAAGCTCTTGTTTAACACACTTAGATTACAAAATGTTAATGATAAAACATTATCTAAATCTAAATCTTTGCATGTGAGATGCTATGGTTTGAATGTTGCCTCCAAAACTCATGTTGAAATTTAATTGCCACAGAGATGGTATTAAGAGGCAAGACCTTTAAAAGGTGATGAGGCTAGCCAGGCACAGTGGCTCATGCCTGTAATCCCAGCAGTTTAGGAGGTCGAGGCAAGTGGATCACCTGAGGTCAGGAGTTTGAGACCAGCCTGACCAACGTGGCAAAACCTCATCTCTATTAAAAATATAAAATTAGCTGGGCATGGTGGTGTTCACCTGTAATTCCAGCTACTTGAGAGGCTGAGGCAGGAGAATTGCTTGAACCCAGGAGGCGGAGGGTGTGGTGAGCCAAGATCATGCCATTGCACTCCATTGCCAGCCTGGGCAGCAAGAGCAAAACTCCATCTTGAAAAAAAGGAAAGGTGATGAAGCTATGAGGGGTCTGCCCTCATGAATGGATTGTTGCCATTATCATGGGAGTGGGTTTGTTATAAAGGTGAGTTCAGCTGTCTCTTATTCTCTCTCACACTCTCTTGCCCTTCTGCCTTCCACCATGGGGTGATGCAGCGTAAAGCCCTTTGCCAGATGTTAGTGTCATGCTCTTGGACTTCCCCGTCCCCTGAATCATGAGCCAAATACATTCCTTTCTTTATGAATTACCCAATATGAGGTATTTTGTTTTAGTAACACAAAATGGGCTGAGACATGAGATCAGGGATGTGAGGCTGAGAGAGGGGAGCACCATGCTCAAGGTCTCACAGCTTGTATATTATGACTCTCTGATGCTGTTCCCAGATTCACAGACCTGTTTTCTTTGGTTTTCAGAACTTTCCCCTGAAAGACACCCAGCCTTGTCCTCACCAGCCACTGCTCTGTTCACCAACCTCTTCCTTGTTAAAATTCCCTTTTGCACAGGGTGCGGTGGCTTACACCTGTAATCCCAGCACTTTGGGACACTGAGGGGGGTGGATCACAAGGTCAGGAGATCGAGACCATCCTGGCTAACATGGTGAAACCCCCGTCTCTACTAAAAATACGAAAAATTAGCTGGGCGCAGTGGCAGGTGCCTGTAGTCCCAGCTACCCGGGAGGCTGAGGCAGGAGAATGGCGTGAACCCAGGAGGTGGAGCTTGCAGTGAGCCGAGATTGCGCCCCTGCACTCCAGCCTGGGCCACAGAGCGAGACTGCCTCTCAAAAAAAAAAAAAATTCCCTTTTGCTCAAGTACCAATCACAGCTGTATGACAGAGATACATTCTGAGAAATGTGTCATTACGTGATTTTGTGGTTGTGTGAATATCATAGAATGTACTTACACAAACCAAATGGCAGAGCCCACTACACACTCAGGCTTTATGGAAGAACCTATTGCTTCTAGGCTACAAACCTATACAGCATGCTACTGTACTGAATGCTGTTGCAATTGTGACACCATGGTATCTGTGCATCTAAACATATCTAAACATAGAAAAAGCACAGTAAAAATACAGTGTTATAATTGTATGAGACTACCATTGTATATATGGTTTATTATTGACTGAAACATCATTATGTGGTGCATGGCTGTATGTGTGTGTATATATATATATGTATGCATATTTACTTATTTTTTACGAATTTTTACATAAGTAAATATGTGTATGCTTTTATATATCTGTTTTACATATATATGTCTGCTTTCATAAAAATTATATATGTATAAAACACATTTATCACATTAAAACTATATATATGCAGTTTTTAATGTTGTCACTTAACGCTATAAAATAAATGCTTTCTTAATGGGAGGGTTTAATGGAGATAGAGCAGGGGGCTTCTTAAGCAGCAGAAAAGCAGATCATCCTCTCCATGTACCCTCAGCATAGACTGTGACCGGCATGCACAGAGGCGTCCTGGAGTTATTGCTAGGGAGAGGTACCCTCTGCTAGCACTGCTAGTGACAGGTAATTCATGCTTTACCCTGAGTGCTCTGTCTCCCTGAGGGCCAAGTAAATGAGCTGTCCCGGCTCCAGCAAACACCCTCAAGGAAGTCTTGAATTTGGCCCCTTGGGCCCTTGCTTTCTCTTCACAAGTCTTGGTTGCTGGAGAATGGGGCTGTGAGTCGTGGTGGAGCTTACCTCCACTCGAGAAAGGATACTTGTCCGTAGATTTAGGAGGGCTTTTTCTGTCCTTGAACTTCTTCCCCCTATACTGTAAGTAAGAGCGGGTTGCCTTCCAGAAACAAAACCTGTGGGAAGAATGGCTTCTGGTCATAGGAGGGAACCCCCAGTGGAGGGGGCTGGAGCACCGAGCACAGGGGAAACAGGGCCGGGCCAGTCCTCAGAGAATGTGGGTGTCCAACAGAGAAGAGGAAAGCATCCTGGCCTTGGGGTTCTACCTGCCAGTGGCCTTTGTTCTGAGGCCTCCTCTTTGTCCAGACCTGGCTCCAGCGCGGGCCTGGCATGGGCAGTTTGTTGGGGCTTCTTTCTGGAACCATCAGTGAATGGAGCCTGTAAAGGGCCTACTATCCTGAGGCCTGGGGTGAGGTTAACCCCTGGGGTGCACCCCAGCATCAGACTCTGACATCCCTATCTAACCCCACCTGGTATGGCCAGAGTGTCTGAAGGGCTTTTGCTCAGGTCCTAATCCTAGTTTCCACCCTGCCACTTACTGACAGCCTTGACCACCTCACTCTATTCCCAGCGGGCCCTTCCCTGGAATAGACCTGGTTTCTCTTGTGAACTCAGATTTATGTACTCTTTATGACCTTTATGTTCTCTAGAAGCCTGTGCAATATTCCCCATCATCTCTTCCTTCCTGGCCCCAAGCCCCTTGTTATCCCTACCTTCAACCAGTCCTTGGATTGGATCCCTTGGAGGTCAATCTTGGCTAAGACTGAATTTATTTTCTATGGCACTTTGGATCTGGTGGTTTTGCCTGCTGCCCTCCTCCCCTCTCCTTGAGGGACAGTCTGTTCTATCTCAATAGGCTTTTCCCATTTCACTTGCTGAACTGGGTCTCCTTCCCCAGTGGACCTCCCAGTATGCCGCACATGCATTATTTATGGTGATGAGAGACCAAGAGACCTGGTTTCTAATGCTGGTTTTACCACTTACCAAGTGATTCTAGGCAAGTCCCTCAACCACTCTGAACCTCAGTCTCCTCATCTGTAAAACAGGGATAATAATACTCCTCCCCACCCACTGTGTAGGGTTGTGGAGAGGTTCGTTTAAGATAATATATGTAAACACAGTTTGCATAACATAAATTTCTTTGTAAGTATGTAGGAAAGTAAGTAAAGAAACTGCAGGAGGAACAGGAATCCAAAGAATCCCTAAAGCATGTCTCATTTTTCTAAGCACATGGGAGACAGCTAAACACTGGCTCATTCAAGAGAAGCATATATTTCCCAGAGGTTCCCAATCCCTCCAAAAGTCTCTGGGTGAATATCTACTTAGTCCTTGCTAGGAGAACTAGAGTTAAGTTCTAGACAACATTTGATGTTCAAAAGGTTAAATTGCTTGTCTTGAACTTAGATTTTTGTACTTCTCTTGGTTCTGTATTAAATAGTTTATTATCTCAAGGATTTTAAAATAAAGGTGAGAGATTGGTAAGCAATTTCACACTTCTATTTTAATAAAGTAACTTTTTTTTTTGGTGGAAGATGGGAACTTCTAAGAGTCCAAGTCACATGATAATCTAAGTGTCCTGATTAGCTTTGTCTGGGAACATTTCAGCCAGGTGTCCTCTGGTCACTACCACCCAAGGCACTGCCATTCACCATGTGGAAGATATGAGCTGGAACTCTGGCAGACCACAGGAATAAATAACCAGCTGGGAAGGCTCAGGCCAAATCTCCACAGGACAGGTTAGAAACAAGTGGGCCACAGATTGCATTTGGCCACAAAATATCTGCATATATTTTGCTTGTTTCATTTTTGGTTTTTGGCCTTCACAGTTTCTTCACCATGTTTTAGTTTTGTTAGTTGCCATATTTGCCACTTTAACCTTGGGAGAGATGAAATACACATTTCAATGTCTAGCTCCTCTTGATAATTGGAGTATCTAGCAACTGTGCTCCCTCAGTGGTAATTCTGGGGATTTGGGCATAACAGAGCAAAACACTTCTGGCTTACTTTCTTCATGTAGCTTCTTAAGCACAAGCAGTTGTGTTAGTCTTGACAGAATTTCTCCCCAAGGGGCTGTGGTTCACTCTTACCTTCTTGTGAGAAACCCAGGCCTAAGAAAACCTCACATTCTTGCTCCAAGCAAGCATAGAAAGAGGAGGGGTGGGAAACCAGGCGTTTGGCTCTCAGTCTTACTCTGCCTTCCATCTGTGGATTCAGTGTTTGGTGTTCTGTGTGAGGGATGGAGTGAGGTGAATAGGATTTTGAAAACACCATCTTAGTTCCCCCTAGAAACTGGAAACTACGAAACAGAGTGCTAGAGGAAGGCAGAAAACTCTCTCCAAACTAAGTGTGTTTTCCTGACCTAACAGTCACTGAATAAGGAGAAACAGTTACCTTTTCCAGAAGTACATAACAACGGGGAAGACAGACATGATAGCCCCATGGAAGACGCTCCGATCTAGGTAGCCCTCTGTGATGGCAGCAAGGATGGCATCCTTCTGGAACTCAGGGACATTCACCTACCCACAGAGTGGGAGCCTGTCACTGGCAGAGGCTCCACGGGAAGGCAGAAAACCTCTCCTGGCCCCCAGAACCCCATGACCACCCCCTCTCCAAAAGGCATACGGTTTTCATGGAGTTGCTAGGTAAAGGATATGTAGTTAGCCAGGACTTATGAGGTGCCTGACAATTAGCTTTCTAATTGTCCTTGTGGGGGAAATGCTTCTTGGTGAAAGGCCAGAGTGGAGTGGGAGTCTTTCTTACCCTCAGCTTTGGAGGGATGTCAGAATTCAGGAAGAGTTTTTGGATAATGTTCATTTTGGACCGCATTAGGATCACATCATTCTCATTATATGCCCGGTTGACCTGCAGCATGTGGGCTGAACTGACCAGATCATTAAATCTAAAAAAGAAATGTGAAGTAGGAAATCAGGAGGAGAAGATGAAAACAGTGACTAACAAGGCACCCAGCCTAGACTCATTTCTGGCCCAAAAAACGCAAGGCCAGTTCTAGGCCAGGTTGTGACTTTATTCATTCAGTCATAATTCATCCATTGGCAAATACTGAGCACTTATCACAGGTCAGATAACATGTTAAGTGCCCCTTCAAGTGAATGTCTTCACCACAAACCCCCTTGTTTATCCCACCTTCCCTCCTTTACCCATTCTGGCCCTACAGCATTGCACCTCTAATGACTTCAAGGCCTAAGGACTATCTTGCTCTTCCCTCTCCTGTGCTGACCTGAGGCAAGCCCTGAGATGCAGGCAGGTCCCACTCCTGTAGAGCACTTTAGGCAATGAGAGGAGGTTTGGACTTAATTCCAGTGGTAATGGGAAGCCAGTAGAACATTTTTTTTTTGAGATGGAGTCTCACTCTGTATCCCAGGCTGGAGTGCAGTGGTGTGATCTCGGCTCACTGCAAGCTTGGCCTCCCGGGTTCATGCCATTCTCCTGCCTCAGCCTCCTGAGTAGCTGGGACTACAGGCGTCTGCCACCACACCTGGCTAATTTTTTGTATTTTTAGTAGAGACGGGATTTCACCATGTTACCCAGGATGGTCTCGATCTCTTGACCTCGTGATCCACCCACCTCGGCCTCCCAAAGTGCTGGGACTACAGGCATGAGCCACCGCACCCTGCTGCCAGTGGAACATTTTAGGCAGGAGAATAATCTAGTCTGGTTTATGTTTTTAATAGGCTACGCTGGTTGCTATACAGAGAATAGTTTGTAGAGGTCAAGCAAGGAAGAAGACGCAATGTGGTGGGAATCGGAGCAGCAGCAGGTGAGGCTATTCACTCTGACTAGTATCTCCCTCTGCTCCTCCATTACCTCCCCCACATCCTTTATTATCTGACTAACCTCTACTCTTCCTTCAAAATTTAGCTTAGATTACCCAAGAATTTTGGGTCTCCCAAGAAACCATACCTGAGGACTTACTGTTGTCTAAATACACTTCCTATGCCTGATTCTCCCATAGCACCTATCATCCTGAGACACTTCCTAACTTTTGTTTGTGTCTTTTCTGCCATCCTCATTAGTTTGTGGGATCTTAGAAATAGAGAGCACGTCATAGTTGTTTTTTGTATATCCAATGTCAAAACCGGTGTTCAGTAAAGAGTGAGCAATCAACAAGCATCTGTGGAAATGAGCTAAATCCATCACTGGGGTGAGTAGAAGATCTCTTAACCAAACTCTTCTAACTGATGCATGAATTATCAGGTGTCTACATTTTTGAAAAACACACTGACTGATGCCCATGACATGCTGACTGCATAGATTAGTGGTACACCTTTAGTACATTCTCATCTTTCTCAAACTAGCAGAAGTGAATGTGTACCAGGAGGTGTGTTGCTTCCCAAGTATCTTTCCCTATTGTAAAGATAATTAGTAACTATAATTGCTATAATTAGTAACTTGTGAAAACTGATAAAATATGAACATTAAAGAAAAGTTATTATTTCTATGAAAACAAGTTAGAATGTTTTGGAAATTCTAATGAAGGCAAGTAGCTTTTTAAAAAAGTGTTGTTGGCTGGGTGCAGTGGCTCACACCTGTAATTCCAGGACTTTGAGAGGCTGAGGCAGGCGATCATGATGTCAGGAGATCGAGACCATCCTGGCCAACATGGTGAAACCACATCCCTACTAAAAATACAAAAATTAGCTGGGCGTGGTGGCATGTGCCTGTAGTCCCAGCTACTTGGGAGGCTGAGGCAAGAGAATCGCTTGAACCCAGGAGGTGGAGGTTTAAGTGAGCCAAGATGGTGCCACACTCCAGCCTGGCGACAGAGTGAGACTCCGTCTCATGAAAACAAAAACAAAATACTGTTGAGTTAGGTGTGGCCAGGCAGTTTAAAACATAAAAAAAAAAAAGGTATACAAAGCCAGAAGGATTAAATTGCTTCACAGTAATCTTTAAATTCTGTTCCACTTTAAAGAAATAAAAATTGAAATCAGTAGACAGACACTTTAGGTTCCAAAATGTTAGCATAGAAGCAAGTTGGCTTCATTCTCCCATATGGAAACTCAAAACAAACAAATAGTACTGAGATTTTTACCAGCACTATCTCAGAACTCAAATATAATGAGACAGAGGAGAAAAAAGTAAAAAGAATGAAAAGTAATGAAGACACCTACAAGATATAGAAAATTACTTCAAAAGAGCAAATCTAAAAATTATTGGTGTTCAAGAGGGAGTTGAGCAAGAGCAAGGAAAAGAAAACTTATTCAAAATAATAACAGAAAACATTCTAAAACTTGACAAAGACATACATGTTTAGGTACAGGAAGGCCAGAGAACATTAAATAAATTTGACCCAAATAAGACTACCCCAAGTATTATAGTAATCAACTCTTAAAGGTCGAGGACAGAGAGAGAATCCTAAAAGCAGAAAAAGAAGAAAATAACATATAAAGAAGCTCCAATTCACCTGGCAACAGACTTCTCAATGGAAACCATAAAGGCCAGGAAAATTTGAGAAAAAATTCTCAAAGTGCAAAAAAACCAAACCAAAACAAAACAAAAAACCCACCATCCAAGAGTACTGTATCTAGCAAAGCTATCCTTCAACTGTGAAGGAGAGAGAGCCTTTCCTAGACAAACAAAAGCTGAGAGAATTCATGACCAACAGACATGTCTTACAAGAAATGCTAAAGAGAGTTCTTTATTCTGAAAGAAAATGACACTAACACGCAAGAAGGAAGCCTTTGAAGGTATAAAACTCATTGGTAAAAGTGAGTGCACAGACCAATCTAGAATATTCTAATATAGTAATTGTGGTGTGCAATTCACTCATAACTCTAGTATGAAGCCTAAAAGACAAATTTGTCAGAAGGAACAATAGCTAAAGCAATCTGATAAGAGATAAGCAATATAAAATATGCAAATTGAGAAAAAATGTCCAAATATTGAGAGGATGGAAAGTGTAGAGATTCATTTTAGTTTTTTCTTTGTTTCTATTCTTTTCTTTGTGATGTAAGATAAGCTGCCATCTCTTTAAAATAATTTGTTATATCCACAAAATATTTTGGTAAGCCTCATAGTAAACACAATGCAGAAACCTATAATAGTTACACTAAAAATAAAAAGCAATGAATTAAAATACAGTACCAGAGAAAATTACTTAATCACAAAGGAAGACAGTAAGAAAGGAAGAGAGGAGTTCAAAAACAACCAGAAAACAAGCAACAAAATAGCAGTAGTAAGTTCTTACTTATTAATAAGAATGTTGACTGCAAATAGACTCAATTCTCTAATTAAAAGACATATAGTGGCTGAATGGATAAAGAAACAAGACCCAACTACATGCTACCTACAAGAAACCCACTTCAGCTATAAAAACACACATAGACTAAAAGTGAAGGGATGGAAAAAGATATTCTATGTGAGTAGAAACCAAAAAAAGAGCTGGGATAGCTATAGTTATATCAGATAAAATAGGCTACAAGTTGAAGACTCTAAAAAGAGACATAGTTATTATATAATGACAAAGGGGTCAATTCAGTAAGAGGATATAACAATTATAAATATCGATGCATCCAACATGAGAGCACCCAAGTATATAAAGCAAACATTAAAAGATCTAAAGGGAGAAAAAGGTTGCAATACAATAATAGCAGGAATTTCAATACCCCACTCTTAGTAATGGACAGATCATCCAGATAGAAAATCAACAACAACAAAAAATTGCAGTTAAACTACACACCACACCAAATAGGCCTAACTGACATTTACAGAACATTTCACCCAACTGCTACAGAATATACAATCTTTTCATCAGCACATGGAACATTCTTCAAAACAGACCACAAAACAAGTCTCAACAAATTTCCAAAAGTAGAAATAAAATCAAGAATCCTATCTGACCATGATGGAAAAAAACTAGAAATCAATACCAAGCAGAACCTTGGAAACTGTTTCCTACAGTATATGGAAATTAAAAAACATGCTCCTGAATGACCAATGGGTCAGTGAAGAAATAAAGGAGAAAATTTAAAAATTCCTTGAAACAAATGAAGATGGAAATACAACATTCCAAAATCTATGGGATACAACAAAAGCAGTACTAAGAGGAAAGTTTAGAAAATAAATACTTACATCAAAAAAGTAGAAAGACTTCAAATAAACAACCTAATGTTGCCCTCAAGGAACTAAAAAACAAGAACAAACCAAACCCAAATTAGTAGAAAGAATAAAATATTAATAATACCAGAGCAGAAATAAATGAAATTAAGACTAAAAATACAGAAGATTAATGAAACAAAAAGTTAGTTTTCTAAAAATATAAACAAAATCATTAAGCCTTTAGCTAGACTGATAAAGGCAGAGAGAAGACCCAAATAAATAAAATCAGAAACAAAAAAGAGACATAGTCATCAGAGATTATGATGTACAACTATACACCAACAAATTGGAAATCCTAGAAGAAATGAATAAATTCTTGGACGCATAAAAACTACCAGGTTGAATCATGAGGACATAGAAAACTCAAATGAACAGATAATGAGTAACAAGATTGAAGCCATAATAAGTTTCCCGTCAAAGAAAATGCCAGGACCTGATGGCATTAATTCTACCAAAAATTTAAATAAAAACTAATATTACTTCTGCTCAAACTCTTAAAAAATTTAAAAGGGAGAATACTAAAAACTCATTCTACAAGGCCAACATTGACCCAATACCAAAACTAGAGAAGGATGCAGCAAAAAAAGAAAACTACAGGCCAATATCACTGATGAACACAGATGCAAAAAGCCTCAACAAAATACCAGCAAACCAAATTCAACAACACATTGAAAAGATCATTCACCGTGATCTAATGGGATTCATCCCAGGAATACAAGGGTGATTCAACATACGCAAATCAATAAACATGATATATCACATTAACAGAATCAAGAATAAGAGTCATATGATCATTTCAATAGATGATGAAGCATTCAATAAAATTCAACATCTCTTTATGGTAAAAACCATCAACAAATTGGGTATGGAAGAAATATACCTCAAAATAATAAATGCAAATATAGGATAAACCCACAGCTAACATCATATAGAATGGGGAAAAATTGAAAGTTTTTCCTCTAAGATCTGGAAGAAGTCAAGGATGCCCACTCTCACTACTCTTATTCAATATAGTAGTGGAAGTTCTAGCCAGAACAATTAGGCAAGAGAAAGAAATAAAGGGCATTCAAACTGGAAAGGAAGAAGTCAAATTAGCCTTGTTCACAGCTGACATAATCTTATCTTTAGAAAAACCTAAAGACTTCACCAACAGCCTATTAGAACTCAGACATTCAGTAAAGTTGCAGAATAAAAAATCAACATGTGAAAATCAGAAGCATTTATAAACACCAACAATGAACAATCTGAAAAAGAAATCAAGAAAGCAATCTCACTGACAATAGCTACAAAAAGCATAAAATACCTAGGAATTAACTTAAACAAAGAACTGAAAAATATATACAAGGAAAATACTGATGAAAAAATTGAAGAAGACACACACAATTGAAGTATATTCCATGCTCATGGATTGGAAAACATAATATTATTAAAATGTCTACACTAACCAAAGAAATTTATAGATTCAGTGCAATCCCTATCAAAATACCAATGGCATTCTTCACAGAAATAGAAAAAAAAATCCTAAAATTTACACGGAACCACAAAAGACCCTGAATAGTCAAAGCAATCCTGACCAAAAAGAACAAAGCTGGAGGCATCACTCTAGCTGACCTCAAAAGATACTACAAAGCTATAGTAACGAAATCAGCATGGTGCTGGCATAAAAACAGACACATAGACCTGTGGAACAGAATAGACAATTCAGATATAAATCCATGCCTTTGCAGCCAACACACTTTTGACACAGGTGGCAAGAATGCGCAATGGGGGAAAGGACCGTCTCTTCAATAAATGGTGATAGGAAAACTGAATGTCCATATGCAGCAGAATGAAACCAGACACCTATCTCTCACCATATACAAAAATCAAATAAAAATGTACTAAAGGCTTAAATCTAAAACTCTGAAGCTACTGGAAGAAAACATTGGGGAAACATGGCAGGACATTGGTTTGGGCAAAGGTTTTTGTGTAAGAAGCATAGGGAGCCAAAGCAGAAACACACAAATGGATCACATCAAGCTAAAAAGCTTCTGCACAGCAAAGGAAACAATCAACAAAGTAAAGAGACAACCCTCAGAATGGGAGAAAATATTTGCAAACTATCCATCTGACAAGAGATTAATAACCAGAATATATAAGGAGCTCAAACATCTCAATAACAAAAAACCCAAATAATCTGATTTTTTAAAGTGCAAAAGATCTGAATAGACATTTCTCAAAGGAAGATATACAAATGCCCAACAGGTATATGAAAAACTGCTAAGATCACAAATCATGAGAGAAATGCAAGTCAAAACCACAACGAGATATCATCTTACCCTAGTTAAAGTCGCTATTATCAAAAAGACAGGGAATAACAGATGCTGGTGAGCATGTGTAAAAAGGGGAAACCTTGTACCTGGTTGGTGGCAACGTAAATTAGTATAGCCACTGTGGAAAACAGTATGGAGCTTCCTCAAAAAGCTAAAAGTAGAACTACCATGTCATCCAGCAATCCTAATACTGGGTATATATCCAAAGGAAAGAAAATGAGTATGTTGAAGAGATATTTGCACTCCCATGTTTATTGTAGCACTATTCACAATAGCTGGAATATGGAATCAACCTAAGTGCCCATCAGTGGATGAATGGTTAAAGAAATGTGGTGTATACAGATACACAATAAAATAGTATTAAGCCACAGAAAAGAATGAAATCCTGTCATTTGCAGCAACATGGGTGGAGCTGTAGGTGATTATGTTAAGTGAAATAAGTCAAACACAGAAGGACAAATATCACATGTTTTCACTCATATGTGGGAGCTAAAAAAGTGGATCTCAGGTAGTTACCAGAAGCTGGGAAGGGTAGGGGGTGGGGTGATGAAGACAGTTTGATCAAGAGGTACAAATACACAGTTAGATAGAAGAAGTAAGACCTAGTGTGCAATGGCTCAGTAGGGTGTCTACAGTTAATAATCATCTATCGTACATTTCAAAATATCTAGAAGAGAGTAATTTGAATCTGTCTAGCATAAAGAAAAAATAAGGAAGATGATGGATATCCCGATTACTCTGATTGATCTTTACACATTATATGAGTATATGAAAATATCACATACATCTCCAAAATATGTAAATCTATTATGTATCAATTAAAAAATTAATAGACAGCTTTTGGGGTATAGTCTATACAAGAAAAATTTACAGACCTCCCATTGTGGATTGACTTTGGCTTTACATAAAAAATTTGACAGGTGAAACAAAATTGACAGGTGAATTAATATACACTAATATGTCTTAACTTAAAAATATCTGTTTAATGTCATACAGACACACACACAATTTGTATTATTATAATTCCTGGCTTTGACTAAAGAATATTGGTCTCATGGTGTTATATAATAGGACTTTTTCAAATTTGTAAATAATGGAGAAAAACATGCTCCCTTTTCTGGGACTAAGTAACTGCATTTTAACAGTGGAATTTCTGGAATACTGAAGAGCTTTTAGCACCCAAAGAAAAGAAAGGTGGAAATCAATTGAGTGGCAGCATTCAGTAAGATTTTCAGAAGGAGAGACTCTTACTGGACAGGTCTGAAATCACTGTATCTCTAACAGATCAAGCCAGTTTCTGCTGGGCAGTCCTAAGGATGAAAAGTCATTTTCAGGGCAGAAGAAGGAGAAGTGGAAAACTTACTTCTCCATTTCAGAAAAGAAATATAGATCATTGATCGCAAAGTTGACAGTGATAATCCTGTGGCCAAATATACGACGCTTTACAAGGGTTATTTCTCCATTCTCTTGGTCTGCACTCCGGACATTTGTGGAGGGTGGAGCTGAACGTCCCGATGTGTTGTGTGCTGTGGTGAAATCTGAGAGAGAAAGAAGAAGGAATTACAATTTTGTTTGATCAAGTCACTCTTACCCTCAACCTGGGCATAACAAAAAGAAGAAAGGAGACTGTGGATCCATCCTTTTGGCCTACTGAAATAGTCACTTACTGCCATTGGGCTCAACCTTTTACTTGGACTTGAAAAAGTCATCTACTCAGATAGTATGACAACACACATAAAACACAAGTCAACTGAGCACCGAAGGTGCTTATCTAATAGAAATAGAAGCACACCACAGTTACGCTAATCCCTAAGGTTTCTGCAGAGACTGAAAATGAAACACGAGATGTGACCTTCCAAATGGAGTGTGTAACACTGATGATGCTTACTCAAGTTTTATCAGGAAGTAATTTAGGAGCAAATGAGGAAAGCAGCACAAAGAAAAAGTCAAAATATCAAGAGTAAAGAAGTTTACTAAGGAAACTGAGGGTAGAAAGCTAGAGTACAGAAGAGACTAACGAGTAAAGGAGAGCACAAGAGCCACTAGAAGATTTGGATTGTGTGTCAGAAAAATAGAATGCTTCCTTTAGAAAGTTTCTTGACTAGATTATATGCAAAGACATCTATTCGTAGGGATTCAGGTCTGAGAAAAGAACAGGTATGGGCTGGATCTGACAAATGGACCCTAGTTAGTTATCTGGCTGGTTTCAGAAAAATGTCTAATCTGGCTCTAGAATTTACCATTCTGCCTGCAAATCCTTTATTCTGGAGTGCTGTTCAGGATTTATTGAAGTGGGTGTGGTGCTCCCTATGGTGTAGGTGGGTTTCCTTTTGGTTTAGTGTTGTATATAGAATGGGAGGGTAACTACAAGAGTCCATAAATACCTAGCACTTGTCATGTCTCAGACACTGTGCTTGACCCTAGGGTTACCATACTGAATAAGACGTAAGATCCCTTTCCTACTATCTTTCAATCTTTCTCTCTTAGACTTGAGTTTGAAGGGAAAAAAAGTCTAGATAACAGTGGAAATTGATATGATGGTTAGGGATTCTGGGAAAAGAGGGTGATAAATTCACCAAATAAACCTGGAAGCCATGGGATGCTTGTAAACTGGCTCTGGTGGTAGAGGGGGAGACCTAATTTGTATTATTCACTGATTTAGATAGTAAATATTCTCACTGTAATAGATTTTTGGCTACTGACATTTGTTGAGTAGCTCACAAAATTTCAGGATATTTAACAGCTGGCTCTTACCAATCAGTATGAGCAGCTCCAGCTCACTATTACCTGGGAATCATATTTGACTTCTTCCTCTTTCCACATCCAATTAGTCACCAAATGCTGTTGATTCTACTTTCTAAATATATTTCAAATGTATCTACTATTGGTCTTTCTTGCAGTGACATTTGTTTAAAGCATCATCATCTTTCATTTGTTCCAAAAGCCGCTTAAGTGTTCTCGGGGTCAGGACTAGGTCCCTGACCTGCTAAGGTGAGGGAGGTGCCTAGGACACAGTTTAAGGAAGCATTCACTATCAACATGTTACAAGTACGGGGTTGGCATCTGCATGAGCCTGACAGTCAGTGCCTCCTTAATTTTTGTGTGTTATATGCCTCCCTTGCCTTACCCTAGTTCCAGCCCTGACTGTGCTTCCTACACTTAATTTTGCTTTTGTGTAGTATATTCCCTACATTACAGTCAGGATGATCATTCTAACTTGGCTACAGTTACTAATCTGCTGAATTTTTTTTTTTTTTGAGAGGGAGTCTCACTCTGTTGTCCAGGCTGGAGTGCAGTGGCACGATCTCAGCTCATTGCAAGCTCCGCTTCCTGGGTTCAAGCAATTCTCCTTTCTCAGCCTCCTGAGTAGCTGGGATTACAGGCGTGTGCCACCACACCTGGCTAATTTTTGTACTGTTAGTAGAGACGGAGTGTCACCATATTGGTCAGGCTGGTCTCGAACACCTGACCTCTGGTGATACACCCACCTTGGCCTCCAAAGTACTGGGATTACAGGCTTGAGCCACCAGCCCCAGCCTGCTGAAACTTTTTTATCGGAACGTCCACTTTTGTCCAAGATAGAGTACCAAGAACTGGATTTATCCTCCCTTCCGAAACGATTTTTAAAAATCAGACAAAATATATTGAAACAGTTTTTAAGACACTGACTGTCAGAGAATTAAGGACAGTGATCACTGAGACTTGGGAAAAATGAGTGAGCCCTACTCTTGCCCCACTTTACCACCTTGAGGTAGGATCCATTCCACAGTCAGGGAGGGAAAACCCAGGTCAAGTTCAGTGGACTCTCTGAATTAAGGAGATGGACCTGAGAGTCCAGTGAGACCAATGTGGCTAGAGTTTACAAGACAGAGTTCAAAGAGGAGAGGGAGAACCTGGAAATCTGCAGAGGTTCCCTCAAGTACTCAGCAGAGTGCTGACCAGCTCAAGATATGAAGGAAGTACCCAAAGCTTGAGGGTAGGGGATCTGAAAGCATTAAAGAACGGTCCTTGGTGCTCACACAGAAGCAGAAATAGTGCCTGTTTCCACCGAGAGACTAGAAAAACTCATAATTTATGAGGAATCTAGTAGAATACCAAGGAAGGTTTTACCTCAGTAGTGGAGAATAGCCATACAAATAACATGGCTCTGGATTCACTTAACCAATCATAAAAAGAAGATCCAAAAGAATAAAACTGTTTTCGAGTAACTTAACTGTATCCCAGAACAAAGTTCAGGCATATTTTATAGGAAGACAAAAATATCCAACACCTAAAAAGATAAAATTTACAACGTCTGGAAACCTATTTTAAGGTTCTTATACTATGGGTTGAATATACTTTATCTGAAATACTTGGGACCAGAAGTGTTTCAGATTTTGGATTTTTGGAATATGTGCATATACACAATGAGACATTTTGGGGATGGGCCCCAAATCTAAACACGAAATTTATTTATGTTTGTATACTCCTTATACATATAGACTTAAGGTAATTTTATTTTTTTCCTTGGGGACACTGAATAAATTTTGTATTGTGCCCCTCCCTGCATTTTGACTGCAACCTGTTACGTGAGGTTAGGTGTGAAATTTTCTATTTGTGGTGTCATATCAGTACTCAGAAAGTTTTGGAATTTGGAGGATTTCAGATTTTGGATCTTCAAAAGACACTACTTAAAAAATCAAAAAGCAAGCCATCAACTGAGAGATATATTTTCAAAATATGTCCATCAAAAATATATCCAGATTATATAAAGAATTCTTATAACCCAATAAAGGCCAAGACAACAAAGTTTTTTAAAAATGGGCAAGAGATACGGACAGACACTTCACTAAAAAACGCACTGTATGTATGGCAAATTATATGGTTTGGCTGTGTCTTCACCCAAATCTCATCTTGAATTCCCATGTGTTGTGGGAGGAACCTGGTGGGAGATAATTGAATCATGGGGGCAGGTCTTTCCCGTGCTGTTCTCATGATAGTGAATAAGTCTCACGAGATCTGATGGTTTTAAAAAGGGGAGTTTCCCTACACAAGCTCCTCTCTGCCTGCCGCCATCCACGTAAGATGTGGCTTGCTCCTCCTAGCCTTCTGCCATGATTGTGAGGCCTCCCCAGCCACATGGAACTGTGAGTCCGTTAAAACCTCCTTTTCTTCCCTGTCTTGGGTATGTCTTTATTAGCAGTGTGAAAATGGACTAATATGTCAAGCAAGCACATGAACACATACTCAACATCATTAGTCATCAGACAAAATAAAAATTAAACTAAAACAAGATACTATTACATACCCTCTAGAATGGCTAAAATTAAAAAGACAGATAATACCAAAGGTTGGTGAGGATGGGGAACGGTTGAAACTTTCATACATCAGTGGTGAAAATGCAAAAATGGTACAATCACTTTGGAAAACAGCTTGGCAATTCCTTATAAAGTTTAACATATACTTACCACATAACCCAGCATTTCTACTTTCAGATATTTACCCAAAAGAAATAACATATGTCCATGCAAATACTTCTGCTTGAATATTCATAGCAGGGTAATTCATAACAGCCCCAAAGTGAAATCAACCCAATATGTAACAATTGGTGAATGAATAAACAAATTGTGCTATGGTATAATGGAATACTACCCAGCAATAAAAAGGAATGAGTTACTGATATATGCAATAGCATAGACGAATCTCAAAAGCATCATGCTATGTAAAAGAAGCTGGTCACAAAAGACTATTGCATGCATGCATTAAGACTACTGCTTGATTCCATTTATATGAAATTCTTTAAAAGATAAAACTGTAGTAATAGAAAGCAGGTCAGTTGTTGCCAGACCAGAGAGTAGTAGTGGAGCGGGGAGGGTGTTGATTAAAAAGACACATAAAGGAATTTCTTGTGATGAAGCAAGTATTCTATATCATGATGGCAGAGATACTTACATTCATCAAATTGCACAATTAAAATTAGTGAATTTTACTGTATAAAATTGTAGCTTAAAAACTGATTCTAAAAAGTAATTTAAAAATAAACGGGAAGAAAAGAAAACAAAGCAGCAAGAATGCATAACTCTTGAGGATTTTTGTTCAAAAGGGAAACAGACAAATGTGCCAGATAATTTGAGGGGAATGTAGAATCAGGGAGAAATTATTATTAATTTTTGGTTGAGAGGCACTATGCCATATTTGGTGCCGATTGAGTAATCCAGTAGAGAAAATAAAAATGATGCAGGAGAATAAGCAAAAATGGATGAATGCCCTTGAGTAGATGAGGGTCTGGATGCTTCCCTAGGAGAAAAGGACAGGCAGCCTACTCAGTGACCAGAGCCTGTGAATACAGAGGAGGCTGACCAAGTGATTCAGAGGAGGGAAGCTGTAAAACTCCTCTTTTGATTGCTTCTGTTTTCTCAGATACCAAACACACACACACTCTGGCTTAAGAAAATCAGTAAGATTAATGGAGTGGAAGTTCCAATGGGAATCAAAGTTTGTTTGAGGCAGGAAACTATAGAAAGAGTATGAAAACACATGTACATTTTAAAAGGCAATAGTAAAATAAATGCTTGTGTTCAAGATAGGGGTTGCATCTGTGATGGGTAAAGGGGGAGTTCTATTGAAGAGGGGCACCAGGTGTCATCTGAGTTATGCCATTTTCTATTTCTTGGCTTGGATGATGGGTATTCAGCTGCTCATATAGTCACTTATAAGTATGCTATATTTCAAATAAAAGAACTTAGACCAGTGGCAGGCTGAGTGTCACAAGCTCTTCCCTGCATCTAAGGGGAATTGGAAGTCAGGTAGACCTCCTATTAAATTGGATAAGTATAGTTCTTGGGTTCTCACATAATGTTGGGGAAGTGGAAAGTCAAAGAATGATGAAACAGGACTTCCTACCATTCTGGGGCATGAGGGCTTGAGCTGGTTTTATTTAAAAGAAGAAACAAAAGATCTAGAACTTTTTTTTTTTTTTGAGATGGAGTCTCGCTCTGTCACCCAGACTGGAGTGCAGTGGTGCAATCTCGGATCACTGCAACCTCTGCCTCCTGGGTTCAAGTGATTCTCTGGCCTCAGCCTCCCGAGTAGCTGGGATTACAGGTGCACACCACCACACTCAGCTAATTTTTGTATTTTAGTAGAGATGAAGTTTCACCATGTTGGTTAGGCTGGTCTCGAATTCCCGACCTCAAGTGATCCACCGGCCTCGGCCTACCAAACTACTGAGATTACAGGCGTAAGCCACCGTGCCCAGCCTGCTAGAACTATTATTGAAGCCAAAATATTTTATTGTGAAACAGTTCATAAAAGATAATACAAACTTTTTTCAAATTAAAATAAATGATATTAAAATACCAATAGAAAAATAGACAAAGGGCATAAACATTCAAGAAAGAATACAAATGGCCAATAAATAAAGATGCTCAACTCCTAAAGAAGTATAAATAAGAATAGACTATCTGGCACATTATTTTTCATTTACCAGGTTGGCAGTTTTTAAAATGTACAACACACTGTTGATGAGAATGCGAGGAACCAGACACTAGTTTATATGGTTGGCAAGAGTTTAAATTACTGCAATGAATGTTTTTGGAGGGCCAAAATTTAACTGTTTTTAACCATTTACCCATCATTCCCATTTTAAGGAACTTGTTTCATAGAAACACACAATTGCAAAATATGTATCTTTTGCAGCATTGTTTAAGTGAAAGTTGGAACAACCCAAATGTCATCAAGAGAGTCATGATTTGTCACCGCCTATCCTTCCAGTCTCATCTCAAGCATTTGCCCCATCTCATTAATCTCTAGTCCAACTGGCCTGATGGCAGTTTTTGAATTGCACAGTCCTCTTTCTTATTTTATGATTCTGTGCATACCTAGAAATCACTCTCCTCCCATCCCACCTACCTAACTTGGTCATTTCTGAAAACTCAACTTTATGTCATTTTCTAGGAGACATTTTCTCTGGCCCTCCTGCCTTGACTAATAGGATCTCCCTGCAATTATCGCCGGGATCACTCATCACAATTATATAATAATAGCAGTAACACTAGCTAACCCTCTTATAGCATGTGCTATTGCCAAGCATAGTTCTAATAACCCTGTGAAATAGAAACAATTCTCATTCCCATTCTATAGATGAGAAAATGGAGATACAAAGTAATTTTCCCAAGGTCCTTCAACTAGGAAGTGACAGATTCAAATCTAGGCACTCCGGCTCCAACATCTGTGGCTTGTATTTTCTGTTTGAAATCTGTAGGTGCCACAGGGCAGATCCTCTGCTGCAGGCTCACTACTGTTCACTACTGTATCTCCATCACCTGGCAAACTGCTTGCCTCATAGTAGATTCTCAAAACGTGTGTTAAATGAATGAATGAATGAGTGAAGCTGTTGAATTAATCCATATAATGGACATTTTATGGCAGTCAAAAACAAGGCAGATATATGTGTACTGACATAAAATGATGTCCAAGATACATTGTTGAACAAAAAAAAAAAAAAAAAGAAGCAAGTTACAAATCAAATATGTGGCATCAATTTTGTGGGAAAAGTAAATATTAAGATACATATACAGAAAAATAATTAGGAGGTAGGTTTACAAGCATTAACAATGTTATCTCTTGAGGGACTTTCACTTCTATACTATATATTTCTGCAATTTTTATTACCTCTTTATTAACAGCATGTATTAATTTATAAGCAGAAAAATTTTGAAAATAATTTTTAAAGAGCAAATTCAAAAACATAAGGAAATTATTTTGTAAAATGTGAGATTTTGCAGTACCTTAGGTTACTTATTCCCTACCCTTGCTGGCTCCTTAAGCAGAGGCCTCTGGTCTTGCATCCTCTCTAGGAAGGCCTGGGCCTGGCTTTGCACACAGGACCTGGGTTTTTTTGCTAGACTCCAGGCTGCCGCAGGCATGACACAAAGCAATAAGCTTCTTATGTGGGCTGACCCTCATGGCTAAAATATCAACAGGGAGTGGGGGTAAATACAGAAATGACTTACTTTCCTTGCTATTTTGCATTTCCTGGTGAAGATAGTCTTCAAATTCCTGGCGCTTACTAGGATTCAACATAAATCTGCGGTACTTGCAAAAACTCCTGATAAAGCTGATCATTCTCATCCAGCCTTTCTTCTGGGGAAAGAAAGAGGAGTATAACATGTTCATTAGTATGGTTGCTGTTCACCGAGAGTCTACTGTGTGCCAAAACTTGGTATTCACTACATTTAATCCTCACAACACCTCCGTAAAGGAATAATTTTTAGCTCCAATTTAAAGGTGAGGAAACTCAGGTTAGAGAGCTTGTACAATCTGCCCGAAATTAAGTAGCTGGTCAGTGAAAGATTCCAGCTTCAACAGACTGGAGCCATTTGCCCATGCTCCTTCTACCAAAGCCTTTCAACAGTGAAGATGTGAGATGCCGTGATTGGGAGAGGGAGCATGAGAGCTAAAAACTGGAAGAAAAGAGGACAGAAATAAAGAACTAAAGGCTCAGGCAAATTTGGAAACATTGAAGGAATAAGGAAATGAGCAAAACCATTTCTAAGCACTTAAAAAAGAAAATATAATTATTTGCACCCACTCATACACCTACACACACACACACATACACACACGAATTTCATAAGTTTCCTCATCTGTTTTTTATAGGTACCCAGGAACCACTGTACATTTTATTTGTCCTTCAAGAAATTGATACTTAGAGCCAGAAAGACTCTTGTTGATTAACTAGTTCAGTTGTCTCAGTCTACAGAGAGGGAAACAACATAAGCCTCGCTTTAGACAGAAAGCAGTGAAGTACAAAAAGCACTGAATTTAGGATAAAAAACTTTGAGTCTGGAGCTTAGCTTCTCAGAACCTAATTGTGTAATTTGGGTCAAGTTACTTAACCTATGTCTCAATGTCTCCATGTGTAAGATAGAAACAATAGCCTTCAGGGTTGCAGTGAGACTTATATGTAAACCCCAATGCAATGCTTGGCAAACAGTAGGCATTAAGTACATGTTGATTTCCTTTTATCTTGTTTTCTAGGAACAACTGGAAGCTCTGAAATTAAATCAAGTGCACTGGTTCTGGGTACAGTAATCTTTTTAGTAGTCTATATGACCATTCGTGGTGCCCTGACATGGAGTTTATTCATATATGGAGGAAATACAGAGGAGAAAAGGAAGAGTAACACATTTTCATCCCTGAGTATTGGATCAATGGACTTAGGTATTATTTTCCGAGATATCTTAGAATGATCTCTGGAGTCAGATCAAGCTGGGCTAAAATTTTTCTGATACTGACCAACTCTAAAACAAGTGAATCTCTAAGGGGGCATGTATTTTTTTGTTGTTGTTTTTCTCAAACCATAGAGACTTTCCTGAGTAACATTCCTGTCCCCTCTTTCTTCCTTTTTTCTGTTCTCCCATAGGAGAAAGAATGAGCTAGATAGTTTGAAAGAAGGAAATGGTGTTCTCAGCACTTTGCATTCTCTCTCTGGTTTGTTTGTCTGCAAGACACTTGCTACAAGCTCACCTTTTGTTATACAGTAAGAGGCTCACCCTGGTAAGTGGAGGTCTAAGTTGTTCCGTTAGACCAGTGACTGGGTTTGTAAGTTTAATTTGGGTGCAGAGGACCAGCAAAACCACTTTGCTTCATTGCCAATCCATGTCCTCTACACTAACTTTCAACTAGAAGAACTCCATGTGTCCAACCCCTGTACCTATTACTCAGTTGACTCTAATCACAGGTAGAGAAGAGAGGGACTTGCTTAAATTCCTAGTATAGTAATTTATCTGAGTCTCAGATTCTTCCTTTGCAAAATGGGGATTTAAAAACCTACCCCCAAGACGATGGTTTTCTTGTCTCTAATGTCTTGTTTCACTTTCTTCTTCACTAACCTGGGATTCCTGTAGGTAAGTTGACACTATCTTTGAGGGCTTCCTAGACGAAATTTGTACTTCACTTTGCACTTCCACCTCCTGATGGTGAGGTGGGAACAGGTCTTGATAATCTTTAAACCTGTCAGAAGGACATCAGTAATATCAAACAGGGCAAAAACCTGGCACATAAAAGATGACAGTCCAGGCAAACCTACCTCAGCTTCTGGAGGAACTCTCAGTGGTAATTGGGGAATAGTAAAATACTAAAAAATTCTCTTCTTACTCTATCAGACCTTTGTTAATGTCAACCTAACCTTCCTGATCAACACTGTATTGTTTCTTGTTAATGCAAACAAACAGAAATGTGTGTGTGTGTGTGTGTGTGTGTGTATGTGTGTGTGTCAGATAGATAGGTAGGAAAGTTCAAGATAAGTTTGAATTTTTATTTTGTAGAGAGGCTCTGGCAATGAGCTATGAAAATGGATTAGGAAACCCTTGATGCATATGGCTTTCAGAAGCCAAGGAGCAACTCCAGGAAGAATCCTTTCCTTAATTGAGTATACTCACCACTTTTCTTCTATAGATTTCATAACATGTCCCTGGAGCGTTAACAGTGTGCTTGTGGTGACATGACGCATGGAAGCGATTTCTTTGATAATAGGGGCATCACACTGCAGCATTTCTTCTAGAAAATGCAAGAGAGAAAAGAAGCTGTAATCCTCATCTACCATTTCTGAGATAGCTGGTGGTTTTTTGTTTTTTTTTTTTATCTTAGAGTCTCACAGCCCCCATTTTCAATCTGGCTAGACTCTGATCCCGCCATAGTTTGTTTGAAAATCTCCAAAGCATATTTGAAATGCTATGTACAAATGCATTTGTAAACTAAATACTTTCCTCATTTAGTTTCATTCAAATTTGCAGGATGAGTGCTTAAGGGGAAATACATTTTTAAAGGACTTATTTCTGCAGCTGGTTTGAAAAACTTGGATTTAGAGAGACAGCAGAAGGGTAAAGGATTATAGTTAAATTGCTGGGCAGACGGGGAATCCAAGATTCCAGATAAGTATTGTGAGGGCAGTTTGTTTCTCCAGTTGTTCAGAAACTGCTGTGTTCATTAATGAGACTTGAAAATAATCAAAGATAGGATCTGGACACTCTTCCTCTTCTAGCTCATTCAAAATATTGTACAGATCTCAACATCCTGAGATTCAACAAATAAATAATGCTTACAAATAAAGATTCATTAATTTGACCTATTTTTCTATATTTTCTATATTCATAAAAATTTATTTTCTTATCTTGGTTTACTACAAGCAAAAACCAAACACACAAAAATACCATCTGTGACAAAACAGGAGGCTCTATCTTCATTACTTTGCATTATTTGCAACTTCTGCTTTTGGCCAAGATTTTATTTACCATATTTACCCTCCCACCTTAGGAAACAAAATAAGACACAACTTATGAAACAAAGATTTTCAGGCATACAGTTCTCCTTCCCAGTACAACTCTCTTCACAATTCATGGGTGGTGGATATTCCACCTTTGCAGGCAGCTAACTCTTGGTTTTTGTATCTAACTTCAGGCTAGTTGGTTTAATGGTCAAATGACTTGAATTTGAATTCAAGTTCTACCAAGTGTACAAGCTAGTTAACCTCTCTGTGTTTCCTTTACTTCATTAGTAAAGTGGAGCTGCCTATCCCTATATTACAGGGATTAAATAAAATTCTATTTTTAGAATTAAATAAAATTAAATGAAAGGATACATGTGAAAGTATCTTAGACTTGGCTCCTTTCACTAGTGATATAGTTTGGCTCTGTGTCCCCACCTAAATCTCACCTTGAATTGTAATAATCCCCATGTGTCAAGGGCAGGACCAGGTGGAGATAATTGAATCACGGGAGTGGTTTACCCCATGCTGTTCTTGTGCTAGTGGGAGAGTTCTCATGAGATCTGATGGTTTTACAAGGGCTTCCCCCTTCGCTGGGCACTCATTATCTCTCTTGCCACCCTGTAGACAGGTGCCTTCCACCATGACTGAAAGTTTCCTGAGGCCTCCCCAGTCATGTGGAACTGTGCGTCAATTAAACCTCTTTTCTTCATAAATTACCCAGTCTCAGGTATTTCTTTACAGCAGTGTGAGAATGGACTAACACAGTAAATTGGTACTGGGAGTTGGGCTGTACCCTGTAAAGCCACAAGGGTGGAGCTGACCAAGGCTGTGGGAGCCCACCTGTTGTATCAGTGTGACCTAGATGTGAGACGTGAAGTCAAAGGAAATCATTTTGGAACTTTAAGGTTTAATGACTGCCCTACTGGATTCTGGACTTGCATGGGAATTGAGCTCCTTTCTTCGGGCCAATTTCTCCCTTTTGGAATGGGTGTATTAACCCAATGCCTGTATCTCTATTGTATCTAGGAAGTAACTAACTTGCTTTCGATTTTACAGGCTCACAGGTGGAAGGGACTTGCCTTATCTCAGATGAGACTTTGGACTTGGACTTAATGCTGGAATGAGTTAAGACTTTGGCGGAATGTTGGAAGGGCATGATTGTGTTTTGAAATGTGAGAACATGAGATTTGGGAGGGGCCGGAGTGGAGTGATGTGGTTTGGCTCTGTGTCCCCACCCAAATCTCACCTTGAATTGTAATAATCCCCATGTGTCACGGGCAGGACCAGGTGGAGATAATTGAATCATGGGGGTGGTTTCCCCCATGCTGTTCTCATGATAGTGAGTGAGTTCTCATGAGATCTGATGATTTTACAAGGGGCTTCCCCCTTCATTTGGCACTCATTCTCTCTCTTGCTGCTCCATGAAGAGGTGCCTTCTGCCATGATTATAAGTTTCCTGAGGCCTCCCCAGCCATGTGGAACTGTGAGTCAATCAATCCTCTTTTCTTTATAAATTACCCAGTCTTAGGCATTTCTTCACAGCAGTGTGAGAACGGATTAATACAACTCGTATTAAGACTTTGAATTTATTATTACTGTTCTCTGCTTTTGCCTACCCTCTTAATCTGTCTCAATATTGCCCCATGTGGCTGCTGCTCTGTACTGCTCTCTCTGGGGGCTCACATGAGGTAGGCTATTTCCCAGGCTATTCTCCTAAGACACTAAAGAGAGAGAGAAAACAGGATCAGAAGAGGATGCATACCAGGAGAGAGTTGGCCTTGGAAGAAAGTCTTGATTACATTTTCTATGAGAGACTTGCAAATCTTTTCATTGGTCTCTATACTGATCTTCTGTACAGCTGTGAGAAATTGCAATGGGATTTTAGCCTTCCGTTCCTTGAGGAACTCCCTGAAGAACTCCAAGTGCTGTGTATTTAAGAGGACTTCTGTCAAGTTTCTGGAAAACAAGAAAGCATCTTTGGTAGAGAGAAAGGAATGATGATTCTGGATTCTGTTTCAATTAGGAAATGGGGAAGTGCATTGACCAGGCTATAAGGCCTTTAGCCATATGTGAAAAGCATTGTGGATGGATTGGCTAAATCTGTCTATTTCTTTGGTGATTAACTTGAACTTTTATGTACCATTTCTAAGCTTGGTCCAATATCTTCCTTCCTAATGGAAGATGAAGGAAGGAAGATATTTTAATGAGGACAATTTTTTCAAGGGAATTCTCTTTTTACATTATGGGTTCAAAACGACTCCTAATTAGCAGTCATTTCTGTGAGGTGGAGCATGATTAGCAGTTTTTGATTAATGTTTCTAAATTTCCTTTGCTGATTTCTTCTTTCACTGCTCCTTGAATAAAGGTGCCCCTAATGTTTCATCTTTAATCCTCTATTCTTTTGCCTTATGGTTTTTCCTGGGTAATCTGTGCCTCCTCTGTGATTTCAATTTTTATTGATATGAGGAAGTGATTTTAAATTTTATTAATATAGCAAAACTATATCTCCAGTTCCCATGAACTCCACTTCTACATTTCAACTGCCCACGTCAAACCTCATCTTTATGTTATAGTTATTAGTTAAACCTCTTTACAAATACCCACATCTTGACCTACTTCTTCTTCCTTTATACACCTATTTCATTAAGTATAATGTTAGCCATAGATTTTTAATAGATGCCCTTTATCAGAATGAGATAGTTCCCTTCTATTCTAATTTTATTGAGAGTTTTAAAAATCACACATGTGTCTTAGATTTTGTAAAAGCCTTTTTTTCTACATCAATTGAGATAATCATGTGAATTTCTCCCCCCTTATTTTATTAACATGGTGTATTAACTGGTTTTTGCATTCCTTGTATTCCTAGGATAAATTCCACTTGGTAACCCAGGCTGAAGTGCAGTGACACGAACACAGCTCACTGAAGCCTTGACCTCCCAGGCTCAAGTGATCTCCCTGCTTAGCCCCCAAGTAGCTGTAACTACAGGTGTGCACCACCATGCCCTGCTAATAATGTTTGTGTTTTTTTTTTTAGAGACGGAGTTTCACCATGTTGCCCAGGCTTGTGTTAAACTCCTGAGCTCAAGCAATCTGCCTACCTCAGCTTCCCATAGTGCCGAGATTGTAGGCATGAGCCACCATGCCTGGCCACTGATCTTTTTTATATATTGCTGGATTTGATTTGCTAATATTGTATTGAAGGTTTTCATATCTAGAAACTAGAGGGAGTATTGGTCTATGGTTTTCTTTTCTTATGATGTCTTCAGTCTGGCTTTGGGATCAGGAAAATACTGGCCTCATAGAATAAGTTGGCAAGTGTTACTTCTTTCACTGTTTCCTCAAAGAGTTCATGGAATATTGACATTATTTATCCTTTAAATATTTCATAGAATTCTCCAGTGAAGCTGCCTGTGCCTGAGTGTTTCTATGTGAGAAAATTTTAATTACTAATTCAATTTTTTTCTTATTATAGATTTATTCACATTTTCTACTTTTCCTTGAAACATAGCTAGCTTACTTCAATAATTTGGGTATTTCTAGAAATTTATGTATTGCATCTAAGTTGCCTACTTTGTTTCTTGCATTTCCTTACAGTCTTATTAATTTTTGCAGGGCAGTGATTATATGCCCTCTTTAAATCCAGATTTTAATTATCTGTGTCATCTTTTTTCCCCGTGGTCAATATATCTTACAGTTTAACAATTTTATTAATCTCTACAAAAAACTAACTTATTTACCTGGATTTTCTTTGTTTTTCTCTTTATTTTATGTATCTACACACTAATAGTTATTATTTATTTTCTTTGATTTTACTTTAAATATGTAATCTCACTACCTTTGGTATCATTGTTTCTGATGTGAAATAAACTTTAATCTTGCTGTAGTTCCCTTGAATATATGTTCTTTTTCTCCTGCAGCACTCAAGATTTTTCTGTCTTTATATTTCAACAGTTTGATTGTGATGTGTCTATGTGTGGATCTCTATGATTCTTTTGTCAACTTAAATCTGTTATTGATTGCCTCTAGTAAATTTTTCATTTCAGTTATGTACTTTTCAACTCCAGATTTTTTCATTATATTTTATAATTTCTATCTCATTATTGATATTCTATATTTGGTTAATCATTATCATCATACCTTCCTTTAATTCTTTACACATGATTTTCTTTAGTTTGTTGAACCTATTGCTTGGAAGTCTTTAGTCTAACATCTGAATCACCCTAGAGAGAGTTTCTGTTGACTGCCTTTATTCTCCCTGTGGATGGACCATACTTTCCTGGGATTTTTGTTTGTGTGTGTGTCTTATAATTTTTTGTTTAAAGTTGAATTTGGGATAATATATTATCACAACCCTGGAGTCTGAATTTACACCCCATCCCTCATCCACCAAAGGTTGCTGCTGTTGATGGTTTTGTTTGCTTTTTATGTTTCGCTTTTTGTTAAATGACTTATCGGGCTAGTTCTGTAGAGTATATCTCCCCTAAAGTGTGTGGCTACTAAAGTGTCTGCTCAGTTTTTTCTCTTTTTAATTCTTATTTTTCTTTTTTATACTAGTTTTCAGGGCCTCATGATCACCCAATGATAAATAGATAACTGGGTTCCTCTTCGGTCTCTCTTGAGCATCTGCACAGCATTTGCACAGTCCCTTGGGAATATCTTGCTCCCAGATTTCCCTTTTTTACTTTTAAATGTTTTACTGCTTGCTCAACTAGTATCACTGCCTTAAGTGGCTGTGATAGTGGCCTCCCAATTTTTTGGCCACAAGGCTTACTATCGGTTTTGACAGTGCTCCTGGTCATTGGCTTTTTTGTGGAGCTTCAAACCATATCAGTGCCCTCTGTTGGCAGCAAGATGGCTGGCACTCATGGCTGTCAAGCTTGGTGATGTGAGTAGTTAGAAGTTACTATGCCACAGATTACACTATTCTTACTGAGGTTTGGTAGTTTTCTTGGATAAGCAATTTTTTATTTGTTAAATGCCTTCCGTTAATTTACAGAGTTCTGAAATTCTTTTTGACTGGTTTTCCCAGTTTTACTTTTATGGAGAGACTACTTAGAATGTTCTTGCTCTACCATTCCAGAAGTCTGATTTTCTCCCTTCATTGCTTTGTACATCTGTATTTTCCCTTCCACTTCCACTTGCACTGTTTACCTCAGATCTTTATCATTTGCCTGAACAACTGCAAAGACCTTCCAACTATATTATCTCTGCCTTCAACCTCTGGATGTCTGACTCCTTATATACTCTCATTTCTGTCAGACTAATATTTTAAAAATCCATATAGTAGATATTTCTGCCACCTGCTGCTCCAACAAACCCCAAAGAATCCCCTTATTGCCATTTAATCAATGCGAATTCCTTAATAATCTACCCAATACCTTTTTCTAATTATTTGGTCTCAGTCTGGCTTTTTATGTTTTATGTCCCTTCACCGCATGCACTCTATACTTCAACATCACTGGACTATTTTTAAGTCTTTGAATATTATGTTTATATTCATGAGTTTATAGCTTTGTGTTGTATCTTCGCCTTTGAGTAGGGTTTATCCCTACCTACAAAATACTCTAATTTCTTTGTAATTGAATTTGCATATGTTATTCTGAGCATCTTCTGATATTCTAATTTTCCTGATCCTCACTCAAAATTTCTCTCTCCTTTCACTCCCATAGTAATTAGCTAATATGTTATCATAACATTTTAAGGTCAGCCTTGCATTGTCTTTAGTTACATAATTAGATTAAGGGCAAGGACTATGTCTTAGTTTTTGTATCATTAGCACTCACAGAGTGTCTAGAATACAGTATATAATCAATAGTCATTTACTTATTGAATAAGGGGTAGGGAAAAGGTTTAAGAGAATTGCAGCTGTGGTATCCCTGAGCTATTCTGCTTGGTCTTAACTGAAGTCATGAAACTAGATGATATGACCCTGATATGTCTTCTAGGACTTAATGATCTTACAGATATGTGATTTAAGACTTCTGTGGTATTCATGCTTAAGTAAATTGGAAAATAAGTATTTCTACAGGCATAATGGAGACCAGTGACTAGGACAAATTAGAAAAGCAAAAGTGACAAATGATTGAACCTCAGAGAATAATTTCAGTTGCTGAAAGGGAGGAAGATCTATCTAGAGTGGTTAGAAGAGACAAAAGACTTATCACCCTCAATGAATGTCATCAATAAACGAAAACATTCTTGGCTGGGTACAAATGCCTGTAATCTCAGCACTTTGGAAGGTTAAGGTGGGAGGATCACTTGAGCCCAGGAGTTTGAGACCAACCTGGGCAACAGGGCAAGACCCAGTCTCTAGAAAAAAAAAAAAAGAAAAAAAAACAGGCATGGTGGCATGTGCCTGTAGTCCCAGCTACTCGGGAGGCTGAAGCACGTGGATCACTTGAGCCTAGGGAGGTCGAGGCTGCAATGAGCTGTGATTGAGCCACTGCACTCCAGCTGGGACACAAAAAGTGAGACTCTGTCTCAAGAAAAAAAAATTAATTAAAAAAAAGAAAATGTTTTGTGGGAGTTTTTTCTACGCAAAATATTCTGCCAGAGATTTTGACTAGCAAATGTATATGTTCTACTATATCCTCAACATCTAGAAGAGGACCTTTTATATAGCTAGCCATTATAGATAGATAATAGATAGTAACTGAATAAAAATGAATACATGAGTAAGTGAATGCCATGGCCTACAAGAAAATTATAGTCAAGTCAAGAAGTTGGAAAACATACCTAAAAAGTAAAGACCGGTAAAAAGTAGTACATATAAATGCTTGATATTGTACTTTAGACCTTTAGGGTTTCAGAAGAGAAGGAAGTTATAGCAAACATAATATTTGGAGAAATTTTTATGTATAGGTGGCACTTATGCTAAGGTACATGGAAAGAAAGGTGGGTGGGCACTCCTGAAAGAAAAGGCCACAGAGTATTTGCCTAGTTGTGGGACCTTACCAGAGTTTGATTCTCAGATTGATTATAAGTGGAGAGAGACAAGAAGTAAGGAACCAGTTAGGAGGCTACTACAGCAGTACATAATCCAGAAAACACAAACAGGCAAAGAAACATGTATAAAGATGTTTATTGTGATACTATTTATAGCAATTAAAAAATTAAAGACAATGTAAATGTCTATATAAGTTATACTACACTCATGGAAGGAGGTAGATCTGCACATACAGACATGAGATGTCTATGATAGTTTAAGTTTGAAAAGTTATTGTATAATATATACATATATAGCATAGTGCTAATTTTAGAAAATAAATGATTTAAAATACTAAGAGTGTCTGTACCTGTATGTATTGTATATGGAAAAGGGTCTGAAAACCTACACATAGAAAGATAAGTTTACCATTAGACATGTTGAGGTTTTTCAAAAGCATGTACCTGAAGATGTTGCTGTAAACAGATTCTATATCTCACCTGGGTCTCATTGATGGCTTCCTTACAAGAGTTCTTTTGAGCAAGGACATTTTCCTATTTGAGCGTGAAACTGTCTTTGTTTCCTTGATAATTTCCATTTTAAAATCTAAAAAAAAAATCACTAAGTTGGAGAACACTATATTATAAGCAATGAAAAGGGAAAAACTAGCAAGGATATTTTTCAGACATAAAGTTCATGTGAAAAAATCCCTGTCCCCACAACTGCTGCCATCTCAGGTTAAGTTCATCTAGTGTTAAGAACAGACTTAGGGATGACTGATACCCCTGACATGAACATCAGTCCAGGTTATGTTATATAAGTATGTTGGCCTTTAAGTCTAGCGCCCACCTTCCTCAGAGAGATTGCCTCTCTCCTCGTTACATTAGTTAATGTCAAATGTCAGGCCTCCTCCAACCAGCTGCTTTTACTAGACCATATTCCACATGACATTCCGTCTTCCTTGACACTGCTATTGTCCTATCCTAAATCTTTCCACTTGTCCCCTGGAATCCCTGCTTTGTAATAAGCAAACTTTCACAGATGCTTGACTTCTTCTTTTAAGAGTTCCCTCCATCTTCTTGTTTTAATAAAAACCATTTTCTTTCCCACGGACACTGCTTCCCCTGTAAGTTTCTCAAATGATATTCTAGCACACCATGCAAGTTCAGAATTGGTGTCTGGTTCCCTATTGCCATTTAGAAACCATTATTCTCCCAAATATATCAAAATATCATTATTGCCTGGGCACAGTGGCTCATGCCTATAATCCCAGCATTTTGGGAAGCCAAAGTGGGAGGATCACTTGAGGCTGGGAGATTAAAATCAGTCTGGACAACACAGTGAGACTCCATCTCTACAAGAAAATTTAAAAATTAACTGGGTGTGGTAGTATGCACCTGTGGTCCTAGCTACTTGGAAGGCTGAGGCAAGAAGATCAGTTGAGCCCAGGAGTTTGAGGCTACAGTGAGCTATGATGACACCACTGCACTCCAGCCTGGTCAACAGAGTAAGACTCTGTTTATAAAAATAATTTTAAATAATAAAAACAAAACTTTATTATTGAAGAACAATAGATTTCATGGATCTCAGTATTATAAGAGCCCTTTGAGGTTAATATTGCAGAAGAAAACATAGACTATGAACTCATCAAGGGCAGAGATGGTGTATTACTCATCTGACTTACAGAAATTAGAACATGACCTAGTTATATAGTCATTGTTTTAAAATGGTTTTTAAATAGAATGTACCCACACAGGAAACTTGTGTGTAGTTTGGCAATACTTTCAGAAAGCATACAGAAAGTATTAAAAGCAATAGAAATATATGTTGGATCTAAATAAATGCAACTAAGTGAAAAAAGAAAATCTAGACTATGGAAGACCAGATATAAAATAAACAAATAAATAAACAAAACAAAGCAAAACAAAAACCCTCCCAATACAAAACACCTAGAAATACTGCATAAAAATAATACACTTTCAAAGTGAAAGTAAATTTATAAAAAATTAAGACAAAATCAATATATAGAGGTTAGAAACAATGAGGATACTAAAAACCAGGAATGTCAGTTTATAACAATACTTTAGCCACCCTAAAGGCATTTGCAGTGTTAAAGTCACAATGGGACACAAGACAAAGCCATAGGTCTTTAGAAAATGGGCAAAACATTGGATATTGCTTTTATTCTTAAGACATTTGACAATTATGTAAACAAATTGCTACTGGGGAATTTAGCAGAGCTTTTGGCAGATTCTCAGGACAGAAGGGGGCAAAAGGAGAAGAGGCCCTGATAAACACCTCAAACTTTCAGTTGGAACTCCAAAGACTAAAGAAAACAATAAATAGTTCATCATGAAGGGAATGAGAACTAGCTTTGAAACAACTTAATCCCTGAGTAAATTAAGGTTATCTGGATGCTACTAGTTTAGTGTATGTCAGAAGTAAAAATCTTCTCTGGAGGAAAATAACTTCATCCGGAGGTTCAAATTGGCTCTACAAATTTTCACCAATGATGTTCACATAAATCAAGCAGAAATAACAAGATATTTTAAAAGACTTCACCAAAAACCAAGGGGGGAAAATGGCACTTGAAATAAGCACAGAAAAGTCAAATATGAACTTTAAAGTGACTATTATTAATATAATTCAAGTAATTATAAGACAAAGGAAAATATCAAAATAGACAATATTATAAGAAAATGTAAATTCTAGAAATAAAAAGTTTAATGATTATAAGTAAGAAAAGTAACAACTAGTAGATGAGTCGAATGACAGATTATACACAACTAAAGAGAAAATTGTTGAACTAGGAGTTAGATGCAAAGGACATATCCAGACTGAAACACACAGAGGGGGAAAAATGAAAAATACAGAAAAAAGTATACGAAATATACTTAAAATGTCAAAAATATGTATAATAAAATTATCAGAATAGATAGAATGGAGCAGGAAAAATACTTAAGGAGATAATAACTGAAAATTCCCTAAAACTGAAAAAAGATATCTAGTCCGGAAGTTCTGAAGCTACAAGTAGCATAAAACCTGAGGCATATTATAGTAAAGTTACACAAAAGCAAAGACAAAGATAAAATGTGAGAGTAAAAAGAAACAAGGGAAAAAAAGAACTATTTTCTTCTACTAAGCAATGTCAATGAAAACTGACAGGTGACTCCTCAAATTGAACTAAGGAAGCCAACAGACAATGGGATAACATTTTCAAAGTGTTAATAGAAAACAACTCCAAGAAGAATTCTCCATCCAGAAACTGTATTCTTCAGAAATAAAAGCAAAATAAAGACATTTTTCAGATGAACACTAAAGGAAATATCAAAGGGCATTCTTTAGACATAAAAAAAATTTCCAGATGGCAGCTTGGCAGAACAAAAATCAATGAAAAAGAAAGAAACAGTTAAATATGTGAGTTAACCTAAATAAATATTGACTCATAAAACAATAATACATATGCAGTAGGAATACTGGTTTACATCAAACTTTAATATGTCAGGGATGCATTTGGAAATCTATATGGTAGTCACTAAAATAAGAAGAAAACACATGACCAGAGAAAAAATATAGAAATTACTGACCTACCCCCCCCCATTTTAATCTAAAAGAAAACTAAAAGGAAAGAAAAAGAAATATAGAACAGAAGGGACAAATAAAAAGTAGTAACATAGAGTACCAAAATGGCAGCATGGAAGGATGCTGGCTTCACTTCCCACCCACCACACCCTAGAAAAACAAAAACAAATGTACAATGCTGAGATTTTTGCCAGAAATATCCTGGAACTCAAATATAATATGAGACAGTTCCCAGAGATGCAGAGAAGTGAAAAAACTCTGAGCAGATGGTAAGATAATTGGATTTCCACATCTGAGATACCCCTCCCCGCATTATGCCCAGCAACAGTGCATGGAAAGTTTTCCCCCAACTTGCTGTTTCTACAATGCAAAAAGTGAGATTGAGGTTTAAAAGCAGCTTCTCCACCATCTTGGGTTTTCTGGCAGGGGAAGCATCTTCATGGGAAGAATTCAGAGTGCCTGAAGGGAAATTTGTTCCTGAGGAGAGGCAAAGCGGGTAAGTGGGGCTACCATCCCCAGTTCTGGAAACTCTGCTCTATAGATCAGCCAAAGGAGACGTCAAATCAGAGTGATTGTTCAGCAACATCACACTGTAGGAGGTTTGTCCCACAGGTCCCATAGGCACAAACCCCTAGCTAGCCTTCCCACACTGCCAGGATATTCCCTTTGAGATCCCCTCCGTTTGGGAAGAGCAGTGCTCCAATCCTTTACTAGAACTGAGGCAATTCTGAGGTTTAGGTACCTCCTAGAGCTGAAAAGGAGGCTGTGACCTAGTAGACCAGCTTGGGCAACATGGTGAGACATCATCTCTATTAAAAAAATTAGCTGGGTATAGTGGTGCTTGCCTGTAGTCCCAGCTACTTGGGAGGCAGAGGCAGGAGGATCACTTGAGCCCAGGAAGTTGAGGCTGCAGTGAGCCATGTTTGTACCACTGCATTCTAGTCTGGGTGACAGAGCAAAACTCTGTCTCAAAACAAACAAACAACAAAAAACCTCTAAGCAAATATATTCAATATAAAACAAAACAAGCCAGACAGAGAAGACTGGAATAAATAACTCTTTAATGCAAAGACACATACGTAGACCCACAAGAAACAAGAGCAAACAGAGAACCACAATCTTCCCAAATGGATCAAAACAAGGAACCTGAAAATAACACTAAGGAGATGGTGATATGTGAGCTCTCTGACCAAGAATTCAAAATAGTAGTTTTAAGAAAACTCAGTGATCTCCAAGATAACACAGAAAAACAATTCGGAAAGCCATTGAAGAAATTTAACAAACAAGTTGAAATAATAAAAGAAATTAAACAGAAATCTTGGAACTTAGAAATACATTTGCTGAACTTAAAAATTCATTAGAGGCTCTCAACAGCAAAATGGATCAAGGAGAGGAAAGAACCAGTGAGCTTGAAGACAGTCTATTTTAAAATACACAGAGAAGAAAAAAGAAGAAAAAATATAAAAATCAACAAAGGTTGCCTACAAGATATAGAAAGTGATCTCAAAAGAGAAAATCAAATTACTGGTGTTTGAGAGGAAGTCGAGCAAGAGCAAGGGATAGAAGATTTATTTAAAAAAAAATAATAATTGAAAACTTTCCAAAACTTGAGAAAGAGATAAGTATCCAGGTACAGGAAGGTCAGAGAACACCAAACAGATTTGACCCAAATAAGACTACCCCAAGGACTATAATAATCAAACACCCAAAAGTCAAGGACAGAGAGAAAAATACAAAAAAAAAAACAGAAATAGAAAAGAGGCTAATAGCATATAAAGGACCTCCAGTTCATCTAGTAACAGACTTCTCAATAGAAATCATACAGAACAGCAGGGAGTTGAGCAACATTTTCAAAGTGCTGAAAGAAAAACACTGCCATGCAAGAATATTGTATCCAGAAAAGTTATCTTTCAAATATAAAGGAGACGTAAAGTCTTCCCTAGAGAAACAAAAGCTGAGAGAATTCACCAACACTAGACTCATTTTACAAGAAGCACTAAAGGGAACTCTTTGATCTGAAAGAAAAAAACACTAACATGAAAAAATATAACTTAAGCAAACAAATGAAAAAACATTTGAAGGTATGAAACCCACTGATAAAATTAAGTACACAGACAAACCCAGAATACTCTAATACTATAATTATGGTGTTCAACCCACTCATAACTTAGTATGAAGCCTAAAAGACAAAGCTATCAAAAATGATAACAGCTACAGAAACTGTTAAAACATTAGTAATACGTAAATTAAGATAACTGAAGTCAAACTGTGGGAGGGGTGGAGTTAAAGTGTAAAAATTTTTTAAAAATATTTTCCTTTTTATTCTTTATGATCTAAGATAGATTAACTTCTTTATAAAATAACGTATCTATAAGATGTTTTTTGTAAGGCTTATGGTAACCACAATGCAAAAATCTATAATACATTCACTAAAAATGAAATGCAACAAATTAAAACATACTACAAGAGAAAATCACTTCACCACAAAGAAAGACAGTAGGAAAAAAGAAAGGAGTTATAAAACAACCAGATAATAAGCAACAAAATGGCAGTAGTAAGTCCTTACTTATTGATAACACTGAATGTAAATGAGCTCAATCCTGCAATTAAAAGGTGTAGGGTGGCTAAATGGATAAAGAAGACCCAACTATATGCTACCTGCAAGAAATTAACTTCACCCATACAGATGATATGGACAGGAGATAGAGACGGGAAATACTGGGTAGAAGAGGGCAGTTCCCTGGCAAAGGGCCCGCTCCCAAGCCTGGAAACCCACGACCCTAAATGGGAACAGGCATTTCTGCTTTTGTGCCTGAATGTTGCCTTCTGGCCTGCCACCTCTCTCTTTCCTGTGGGTAAAGGAATATCGGCTGTTTCCCTTCACGGAGGTCTACCCGTCACATAGGACCGGAGTAAAGCCCTGGGGCAACAAAGGCATTATTTGTTGCTGGAAGACCCCAAGACTGAACTCCATCAGCCGAGATACCTGGACTTTGCTGTGCTATCTCTTCTTTCACGGTTTGAAATGGCTCCTATCTCTTCTTTTATAATGTTAAGGATTTTGCTGCAGACTGTGGCAATGACATTAAATAGAACGAGCATTTGGCCCAGCCATCAGAGGTGCAATTCAGAACGATGTGGTTTCCCTTTGGTGCGACCCTGAATCCCACCCCATGGCCACAGGGGCTCCTCTCCTTATCCCCTCCCCTTCTGGCTAGGGCACCTGGGCGAGTCTGCAGCACGTACGAGCTGCACCCAATGGCCACGGTGCGGGTGGGAAAAAACCACGGCTGCCGCTGGCACCCTGCGTAGCCAGCTGGCCAGTGCCTCCTGTTTGCCGTGCCGGCGGAGCCATTCCCCCAATGGCTGAAGGATCCTCACTGGTCTAAACTGGCGGAAAGATACAATAATTAAAGGAACCCATTTGCTCAAAGCAAGAAGTTCTTCCCCCACGCCCTCCACCCCGCCCCCCCCTTTTTTTTTTTTTACTTTAAACTGTTTTCTTTTCTTTCCTTCCCCCATGCACTCTGCTTATGATAGGGAGGAGCAACCCCTGCTTGCTAGTAACTGCAAATTCGCCAGGGCCCATTTGAGACTTAATCTAAACAGATCCGTGCAGCCTCTGAAATACTTTTTTTGTCCCAAACTCGATTCCAGGCTCCAGGCTGCAGCCCTAGAAAGGAAAACCAGATCTGAAGGATTCAAAGCCAGGCAACAGGCACAATGTAAATGCGCAGGACCAATTCCTGTCGACTAAATCCCTGCTTCATGAAAGGAGACCATGCTCCATGGCATAGATAAGGCCCAGGGAACGCAAAGTTGCCAACAGTAGCGGGATGGAGGCATAGGTGAGTGCGAACAATTCCTATTTTCTAGGCCCTCCCTGCTTCACGGGTGTGGGCTGCAGTGACACCTGTGGGTGGCACCTGCCATGGTTGCTGGGACTCGGGGATGAAAAGATGGAAGAGAAAGGAAGACTGCCTGTTTTCTCTCTCCCTCACACCCTGAGTTTTCACTGAAAGAAGGAAGGGAAATGAGGGACACTTCTACTTTCCTGTCTTTCAAAATGGGCAACCAGCTCTCTTCACCACCCCCAGCTTATACTCCTCTGGAGTGTATCCTGAATCCTTGGGACTACTTTGACCCTCAGAATCTGGAGAAAAAAATGCCTCATATCCCTCTGCACAAAGGTTTCACCAAATTATGAAGGATTGGCTTGGCCTCAGGAAGGAACCATTCATTTCGATACCATCTGGCAGTTGGACCTTTTCTGTAGAAAGGTCCTATCCAGCTTCAGTCTCATGCTTGCCCCCTCCTAGAAGTCCTCCCTGTAGACAAGCCCCAGTCTCACTCTTGCCCTCCAACAGATGCCTGGTGAATTTGGTTTTAGTAAGGTCCAGGTCCCCTTCTCTCTACAGGACTTGAAGCAAATTAAGGGGTATCTTAGCAGGTTTCCAGATAACCCCGACAGATATATAGAGGTTTTCCAGAATTTAACCCAAGTATTTGCACTCTCCTGGAGAGACGTGATGTTACTTTTGAATGGGACCCTGAGGAACACTGAGAAGCAGTCCACTCTGCAAGCAGCAGAGAGATTTGGGGATGAGCTTTGTATCACATATAGCATCAGGGAAGGGGGCGAACTTTATCCAACTGAAAGAGAAGCAGTACCAGTGAATGACCCTAAATGGGATCCCACTGACGAGATGGGAGACTGGAAGAGGGGACACTTTCAGGTATGCATAATGGAAGGCTTATGTAGGACGAGGACCAAGTCACTCAATTACAGCAAGCTATCCATGATAGACCAGGGATTTAATGAAAATCTCACTGCAGGCTGGGCATGGTAGCTCACGCCTATAATCCCAGCACTTTGAGAGGCTGAGGTTGGTGGATCACCTTAGGTCAGGAGTTCAAGGCAAGCCTGGCTAACGTGGTGAAACCCTATCTCTCCAAAAATACAAAAATTAGCCAGGCATGATGGCAGGTGCCTGTAATCCCAGCTACTCAGGAGGCTGAGGCAGGAGACTCGCTTGAACCCAGGAGATGGAGGTTGCAGTGAGCCAAGATCACACCATTGCACTCTCATCTGAGCAACAGAGCGAGACTGTCTCAAAAAAAAAAAAAAAAGATAGGGAGAGAAAAGAAAATCTGATTGCCTTCTTGGAGAGGCTAAGAGGAGCCTTGGTAAAGTACACCTCTCTATCTCCTCATTTTGTCAAGTGACAGCTAACCCCAAAGTATAAATTTATTATTCAGGCAGCCCCTGATGTAAGGAAGAAGTTGCAGAAATAGGCCCTGGGACCAGATAGTACTTTGGAGAACCTCCTGAAAGTGGTTGCCTTGGTCTTTTACAATAGAGATAGGGAGACACAAGAAAGAGGCAGAAGCTTAAGAGTCACCATGCAAGTCCACAAACCCCAGAATTCCCAGAATGCACCTGTTAACTACTACCGATGTGGCAAAAACAGTTATCTCTCTTCTAAAGTTTAACTGCTCCCATACAAGGTTTAATTTCTTTCACTAGGGCAAAACAGCTTGGGGTGCAAATTGTTAGTATATTTCACTTCTTATTTCTGTAATCTTTGGCACTCGATTCTTTCCTTGTATAATACACATGTTTAACCCATGCATACTTAACCTTATAAATCTTTTTTTTCTCTCTCACCTAGGACATCAAACTCCAAATGGTCAGGCAACCAGAGCCTCTGAAGATGGCTTCGTTTTGCCAGAGACCCTTAGGTAGATTGGGGAGGAATCTGACTTCTGTTTTCCCCAAAACAATGCCCCCTGTCAGCAGGAAGTAGCTCAGGTTGGTCATCGTCCATATTCTAATGGCAGTTAGATGTGCCTCTTCAGAGGGGGAAAATGATATCAACAGTAGACAGAGAAATACTGGGTAGGCGAGGGCAGTTCCCTGGCAAAGGCCCCACCCCTAGGCCTGGAAACCTACAACCCTAAATGGGAACAGGCATTCCTGTTTCCATGCCCAAATGTTGCCCTTTGGCCTGCCATGCCCCACCCCGTCCTGTGCCCATATAAACCCCAAACCCCAGGCTCCATGGACAGACAAACAAAAGAGCAGAGGAGCAGAAGAGTGGCATGGCAGAGAAGGAGAGGAGAGAAGGAGCATCAGAACATTGAGAGGAGTTCAGCTGGGGACAGTCAGAAAGAAGATCAGCCATGGGGTAGCCAAACTCCAGGGGAAGATCATCTCCCCACTCCATCCCTTTTTCAGCTCCGCATCCATTCTGCTGAGAGCCACCTCCATCATCCAGTAAAATCTCTGCATTCACCATCCTTCAAATCTGTTTGTGACCTGATTCTTGCTGGACACCAGACAAGAACCCAGGTACAAAGAGTGCACTGAGCTGGTTAACACTTATGCTGTCTGTGGATGGTAGAGCTAAAACAGCACTGTGGCACACACACTGGGGCTTTGAGAATCACAGGCACCCACCTGTAGAAGCTACCGTGGGGCCGGAGCCCAAAAGCACTTGCCCTGGCTCCTGAACCTGCCTGTCTGCGTGCCCCTCCTCCCATAAGGGGTTTGAGCATGCAGCAGCCGAACAGATGAGCCACACCCCTGTTGCACCTTCTGCAGAGGGGGGGTCAGGGAACTCTCCCATTTCACATATACAGACTGAAAGTGGGGGGATGGAAAAAGATATTCCATACAAGCAGAAATAAAGAGGCAAGAATAGCTATACTTACATCAGATAAAATAGACAACATATCAAAGATGGTAAAAAGAGACAGAGAGTCACTATATAATAATAAAGAGGTCAACTTAGCAAGAGGATAAAACAATTATAAATATTTATGTGCCTAACACCAGAGCATCAAAGTACATAAAACAAACATTAATAGATATAAAAGGAGAGAAAGACCACAATACAGTAATAGCAGTGTTAGAACTGATAAATCCAGTAAGGTTTCAGGATACAAAATCAATATACAAAAATTAGTAGCATTTATATACACCAACAGTGAACAATCTGGAAAATAAAAAGGAATCCCATTTATAATAGCTACAAAAATATAAAATATATAGGAATCAATTTAACCAAAGAAGTGAAAGATCTATACAAGAAAAATTACAAAACGCTGATGAAAGAAACAAAAAAGAAGATATACACAAATGAAAGGTTACTCCATGCTCATGACTGGAAGAATTAATACTGTTAAAATGACAATACTATCCAGAGTAATTTATAGATTCATCCTATCGAAACACCAATGACATTCTTCAGAGAAATTTTTTAAATCCTGCAATTTATATGAAATCACAAAAGACCCCCAAATAGCCAAAGCAATCCTAAGCAAAAAGGACAAAACTAAAAGCATCATACTACCTGGTTTCAAAATTTACTACAAAGCTACAGTAACCAAATCAGCACCATGGAAACAGATACATAGACCAATGGGACAGAACACAGAGCCCAGATATAAATCCATGCCTTTACAGCCAACTCATCTTCAACAAATGTGCAAAGAAGATACAATGGGGAAATAACAGTCTCTTCAATAAATGGTGCTAAGAAAGCTGGATAACTGGACAGGCGCGGTGGCTCATACCTGTAAACCTGTAATCCCAGCTCTTAGGGAAGCCGAGACGGGCAGATCACCTGAGGTCGGGAGTTTGAGACCAGCCTGACCAACATAGAGAAACCCCATCTCTACTAAAAATACAAAATTAGCCGGGCATGGTGGCACATGCTTGTAATCCCAGCTACTTGGGAGGCTGAGGCAGGAGAATCTCTTGAACCGGGAGGCACACGTTGCAGTGAGCCGAGATCATGCCATTGCACTCCAGCCTGGGCAACGAGAGCAAATCTCTATCTCAAAAAAATAAAGAAAGCAAGCTGGATAACTATATGGAGAAGAATGAAACTAGACCTCTATCTCTCATCATATACAAAAATCAAATAAAAATGTATTAAAGACAAAAATCTAAGACCTGAAACTATAAAACTATTAGATGAAAACATTAGGGAAATGCTCCAGGACATTGGTCTGGGCAAAGACTTTTTGTGTAAGACTTCAAAAGAAAAAAAAGCACCAGCAACCAAAATAAAAATATACAAATAGGATTACATCCTAATATTTATTCACAGTAACAAAAACAATTATCAAAATAAACAGGCAACACATAGACTGGGAGAAAATATTTGCAGACTATCCACCTGAAAAGGGATTCATAACCAGAATATATAAGAAGCTCAAACAACGCAATAGCAAACCAAATAATCCAACTTAAAAATGGGCAAAAGCTCTGAATAGACGTTTCTCAAAAGAAAACATACAAATAGTCAATAGGCCTCTCCCTCTCCCTCTCCCTCTCCCTCTCCCTCTCCCTCTCACTCTCCCCACGGTCTCCCTCTCATGTGGAGCCGAAGCTGGACTGTACTGCTGCCATCCCCGCTCACTGCAACCTCCCTGCCTGATTCTCCTGCCTCAGCCTGCCGAGTGCCTGCGATTGCAGGCACGTGCCGCCACGCCTGACTGGTTTTGGTGGAGACGGGGTTTCGCTGTGTTGGTCGGGCCGGTCTCCAGCCCCTAACCGCGAGTGATCCGCCAGCCTTGGCCTCCCGAGGTGCCGGGATTGCAGACGGAGTCTCGTTCACTCAGTGCTCAATGGTGCCCAGGCTGGAGTGCAGTGGCGTGATCTCGGCTCACTACAACCTACACCTCCCAGCCGCCTGCCTTGGCCTCCCAAAGTGCCGAGATTGCAGCCTCTGCCCGGCCGCCACCCCGTCTGGGAAGTGAGGAGTGTCTCTGCCTGGCCGCCCATCGTCTGGGATGTGAGGAGACCCTCTGCCTGGCTGCCCAGTCTGGAAAGTGAGGAGCGTCTGCGCCCGGCCGCCATCCCATCTAGGAAATGAGGAGCGCCTCTTCCCAGCCGCCATCACATCTAGGAAGTGAGGAGCGTCTCTGCCCGGCCGCCCATCGTCTGAGATGTGGGGAGCGCCTCTGCCCCGCCGCCCCATCTGGGATGTGAGGAGCGCCTCTGCCCGGCCGAGACCCCGTCTGGGAGGTGAGGAGCGTCTCTGCCCGGCCGCCCTGTCTGAGAAGTGAGGAGACCCTCTGCCTGGCAACCACCCCGTCTGAGAAGTGAGGAGCCTCTCCGCCCGGCAGCCACCCCATCTGGGAAGTGAGGAGCGTCTCCGCCCGGCAGCCACCCCGTCCGGGAGGGAGGTGGGGGGGGGTCAGCCCCCCGCCCGGCCAGCCGCCCCATCCGGGAGGGAGGTGGGGGGTCAGCCCCCCCACCCGGCCAGCCGTGCCATCCGGGAGGGAGGTGGGGGGGTCAGCCCCCCGCCCGGCCAGCCGTGCCGTCCGGGAGGGAGGTGGGGGGTTCAGCCCCCCGCCCGGCCAGCCGCCCCGTCCGGGAGGTGAGGGGCGCCTCTGCCCAGCCGCCCCTACTGGGAAGTGAGGAGCCCCTCAGCCTGGCCAGCCACCCCGTCCGGGAGGGAGATGGGGGCGTCAGCCCCCCCACCCGGCCAGCTGCCCCGTCCGGGAGGGAGGTGGGGGGGTCAGCCCCCCGCCTGGCCAGCCGCCCCGTCCGGGAGGGAGGTGGGGGGGTCAGCCCTCTGCCCGGCCAGCCGCCCCGTCTGGGAGGTGAGGGGCGCCTCTGCCCGGCCGCCCCTACTGGGAAGTGAGGAGCCCCTCTGCCCGGCCAGCCGCCCCGTCCGGGAGGGAGGTGGGGGGTCAGCCCCCTGCCCGGCCAGCCGCCCCGTCCGGGAGGTGAGGGGCGCCTCTGCCCGGCCGCCCCTACTGGGAAGTGAGGAGCCCCTCTGCCCGGCCACCACCCCGTCTGGGAGGTGTGCCCAACAGCTCATTGAGAACGGGCCAGGATGACAATGGCGGCTTTGTGGAATAGAAAGGCGGGAAAGGTGGGGAAAAGATTGAGAAATCGGATGGTTGCCGTGTCTGTGTAGAAAGAAGTAGACATGGGAGACTTTTCATTTTGTTCTGCACTAAGAAAAATTCTTCTGCCTTGGGATCCTGTTGATCTGTGACCTTACCCCCAACCCTGTGCTCTCTGAAACATGTGCTGTGTCCACTCAGGGTTAAATGGATTAAGGGCGGTGCAAGATGTGCTTTGTTAAACAGATGCTTGAAGGCAGCATGCTCGTTAAGAGTCATCACCAATCCCTAATCTCAAGTAATCAGGGACACAAACACTGCGGAAGGCCGCAGGGTCCTCTGCCTAGGAAAACCAGAGACCTTTGTTCACTTGTTTATCTGCTGGCCTTCCCTCCACTATTGTCCCATGACCCTGCCAAATCCCCCTCTGTGAGAAACACCCAAGAATTATCAATAAAAAAATAAATTAAAAAAAAAAAAAAAAAAAACAAATAGTCAATAGGTATATGAAAAAATGCTCAACATCACTAATCATCAGAGAAATGCAAATCAAAACTATGAGAGCCGGGTGCAGTGGCTCACGCCTGTAATCCCAGCACTTTGGGAGGCTGAGGCGGGTGGATCACCTGAGGTCAGGAGTTCAAGACCAGCCTGACCAACATGGCGAAACCTCATCTCTACTAAAAATACAAAACTAGCTGGGTGTGGTGGCAGGCACCTATAATCCCAGCTATTCAGGAGGCTGAGGCAGGAGAATCACTTGAACCCGGGAGGCGGAGGTTGCAGTGGGCCGAAATCACCCCATTGCACTCCAGCCTGGGCAACAAAGAGTGAAACTCCATCTCAAAAAAAAAAAAAAAAAAAAAAAAACACCACCACCACCAACAACCATCACCACCACCAACAAAATTACAATGCGATATGATCTCGTCCTAGTTAAAATGGCTTTTTATCAAAAAGATGGAATAAACGATGCTGGTGAGGTTGTGTAAAAAGGAAAATACCTGCACATTGTCGGTAGGAATGTAAATTAGTACAGCCAGTATGAAAAATAGTATGGAGGTTTCTCGGAAAATTAAAAATAGAACTACCATGTAACACAGCAATTCTATTACTGGGTATATAGTTTAAAGAAAGAAAATCAACATATCAAAAAAACATCTGGGCTGGGCATGGTGGCTCACACTATCAGCATGTTGAGAGGCTGAAGTGGGTGGATTGTTTGAGCCCGGGAGTTCGAGATCAGCCTGGGCAACATGCCAAAACCCCGTCTCTAAAACAATAAAATAATTAGCTGGGTGTGGTGGCATGTGCCTGTGGTCCCAACTACTTGAGGAGGCTGAGGTGGAAGGATTGCTTGAGTCCAAGAGGTCAAGGCTGCAGTGAGCCATGATTGCACCACTGCATTCCAGCCTGAGTGACAGAGACAGACCCTGTCCCAAAAAAGAAAAAAAAAAAATCTGCACTCCCATGTTCATTGTAGTACTATTCACAATAGCCAAGATATGAGATCAACCTAAGTAATCATCAAAAGATGAATGGATAAAGAAAACATGGTACATATACACAATGGAATATTATCCAGCCACAAAAAAGAATGAAATCCTGTCTTTTGCAGCAACATGAATGAAACTGGTGGTCACTATGTTACGTGAAATAAGCCAAGCACAGAAAGACAAATATCACATGTTCTTACTCATATGTGGGAGCTTAAAAAGGGATTTCATGAAGACAAGGAGTATGATTGGTGGTTACCAAAGGCTGCAAAGGTTAGGGGGAAGGAAGAAAGAAAGATATTGATTAATGAGTATAAATATATGGTTTGATTGATAGAAGAAATAAGACCTAGTGTTAGAAAGATGAGCAGAGTGAGGCCAGGCACAGTGGCTCATACCTGTAATCCCAGCACTTTGGGAGACTGAGGCAGTCAGATCACCTGAGGTCGGGAGTTCGAGACCAGCCTGACCAACATGGAGAAACCCCGTCTCTACTAAAAATACAAAATTAGCCAGGCATGGTGGCACATGCTTGTAATCTCAGCTACTTAGGAGGCTGAGGCAGGAGAATTGCTTGAACCCGGGAGGTGGAGTTTGCGGTGAGCCAAAATCGTGCCATTGCACTCCAGCCTGGGCAATAAAAGTGAAACTCTGTCACAAAAAAAAAAAAAAAAAAAAAAAGAAAGGTGAGCAGGGTGAATATAGCAATATAGCTTACAACAATCTATTGTATATTTCAAGCTAGCTAGAAGAGAAGAATGTTAATTGTTCCAGTGCAAGGAAAAACAAATATTTAGGGTGATGGATATCCCAAGTATACTAATTTTATCTTTACAAATTATGTGAATGTGTTTAATTGTCACATGTACCCTGAAACTATGTACATCTATTACAGCAGCAGTTAAAAAAAGACTTAAAATGGTAAGGTAGCATTTTAAACCCAATGTATAAGTAATCATATCAAATGTAAGTGGACTAAATATGCTTACTAAAAGGCAATTGTCAGATTGGATTTAAATGGAAACAAAAATATAAGAAATAAGATTAGACTTAAAAGGGGCTTAGCTTAAATATGAGAACAAAGGGATATTAAAGAATAAAAAGATGGGATAAAAGGTAATGACTATCAAAATGGAGACAAAGACTATAAAGCAGGAAGTGTTATTAGAGAAAAAGAATTATTCTAGCAGGAATCTATAATTCCATATTTGCTTGCATCTAACAATGTAGACTCAAATAAAGCAAAAATTGAAAGTACTAAAAAGATAAATGAAAAAATCCAGAGTGGGAGATTAGTAATGTCTCTTTTAACTGATAGCAATGAAAACCACAACTATCGTAAAAATACAGAAAATGTGAATGTGCTTAGCCAAATACACCTAACTAACATATACAGAATACTGCACTCAACATTACATGTCTTATAGACATTTAAATATAATGAGAGTATCACAAACAACTTCATGTCAACATATTTGAAATGTCAAATGAAATTGCCAAATTCCTAAAATATACAACATACTAAAATGGCATAAAAAGAAATAGAAAATCTAAGCAGTCCTATATATTTTGAAGAGATTAAATCTGTGATTAAATTGAGATTGAGACTGAGGCAAGGGTGTCTCAATGTAATGCCACATCTATCTAGGTAATGGAAGACCTAGTAAGAGCAATAAGGTAATAAAGGAAAATCAAATATATAAATATCTTAAAAAATGAAACTCTTTATTCACAGAGGACATAATTGTGTGTATCAAAGGAATTTGCAGATGAACTTGTAGAATTAGCTAATTCAGTAAAGTTTTGAAATACTGGTTTATTACATAAAAATCGATTATATTTCTATATGCCAGACAAAGTTAAAAATAAAACTTTAAAAATTTACAAGTACATCAGAAAACATAAGTGCATCAGAAAACATCAAAGGTCTAGAAATAAATATAATGGAGAGATATAATAATATTAAGTGGAAAACTATAAAAATTATTAGTTTTAAATACAAATTAATGAATACATGAATAAATGGAGGAATATGCCAAATCCATGGATTAAAAGATATAGTAGGAAATGATGACACAGAAAATGGCAAAGGAGGGAGCTCTCAGAATTCAACCCTCCACAAAAGCAACTAAGGATACGACAAAAATGGTGAGAATCAGAGCTTTGGAGAATTCTTGAATCTAGTCAAGAATTTATGACAACTAGGGAAAGTCTTGGTGAAGAAAGATGAGGATGCATTGTGGTAAAGAAAGTGTGGCATTTTAAATTGTCCACATACCCCCACCACCAATCTCCACATCAGTGGTGGCCATGATGACAGCAGCCCATATTGTAATGCAGGTTGCTAGTGCCAGAAGGTGAAATATGAATCTTATTTTCAAAAAATTGTGGTTGTTTGTTTTGACCTAAAGTTATCTGGCTCCCTGAACAACTGACACAAGGACTAGCCTTTATTTTGCCATACTTGGAGTGTTTCCAAGGATGGGGAGGCTTCCCAAGTGAAATTACTAAAAGAATTTAAGGATACAAGTATTGACCACCACAGCTTGGGCCTAGGGACAACAGTTGGGATAGCATTTGACAGACCAAAAAGCTGGGAAAAGATGAAGTTGGGGAAGGATACATATGGGGTAATAAGGGTTTTCAAAGCTTGTATGTATACCAGAGAATCAGGAAGTCCATATACATACCTAGAACTGGATGTATGCTCAGAAAAGGCATTAGAAGACCCAAAACTTTCACCTCTGGCTGAAATTTAGTTTCCAGGCAAGCGAGGAGTGAAGGCTAAAGAAGAGTTATATAAGTGGTCTAGCTAGCTAAGTGTTGAAAGAGCATCCCAACACAGAGCCAATCTACAAAGACCGGTAATTTATTTTATTCTTCTTTTGTTTTCTTTTTTGGCTCCAAGAATTTAAGGAAACTGTCAAAACTCTATATGACCACAGGCTAACAGAACTAAGACTTCAGTGGCCACATATGATGAAGAATACAGACTTTACAAAAATAGTTGAGAAAAGTCACTAAATAAACAAACAACACCAACCCCAAAGGCAGAACAACAAATCCTGGGGAGTTTCTAATTTCCTTGGGAGAATCTAATTTCCATAGTTGCTACATTATAATATTAAAAAGTCCAGTCTTCTACAAAAAAACTATGAGGTATGCAAAAAAAAAAAAAAAAAAAAAAAAAAAGTATGGCTCATTCACAGGAAAAAAGAACCAATGGAAATTGTCCATGAGAAGTCCAGCCATTGTACTTACTAGTCTTTAAATCAATTGTCTCAGATATGCTCAAAGAGCTAAAGGAAACCATGAGCAAAGAAAGTTACAAAAACCCGGGAGAATTATGTCTAACCGAAAGAGAGTACCAATAAAGAGAAACTGGCCGGGCATGGTGACTCACACCTGTAATCCCAGCACTTTGGGAGGCTGTAGGCGAGCGGATCACCTGAGGTCAGGAGTTCGAGACCAGTCTGGCCAACATGGTGAAACCCCGTCTCTACTAAAAATACAAAAATTAGCTGCACATGGTGGTGTGTACCTGTAGTCCCAGCTACTCAGGAGGCTGAGGCAGGGGAATCGCTTGAACCCGGGAGGCAGAGGTTGCAGTGAGCCAAGATTCCACCACTGCATTCCAGCCTGGGTGACAGAGTGAGACTCTGTCTCAAAAAAAAAAAAAAAAAAAAAAAAGAAATTACAAAAGGGACCAAATAAAAATTTGGGGGCTGAAAAGCATGATAACTTTGTTTTTTAAAAAACTTTTAATTTTTGTGGGTACTTAGGTGTATATATTTATGGGATACATAAGATGTTTTGATACAGGCATGCAATACATAATTATTACATCATGAAAGATGGAGTATCCATCCACTCAAGCATTTATCCTTTGTGTTACAAACAATCCAATTATGTTCTTTTAGTTATTTAAAAATGTACGATTAAATTATTATTGATAATAGCCACTCTGTTGTGCTATCAAATACTAGGCTTTATTCTTTCAAACTACTTTTTTATACCTATTAACTATCCTTAACTCCCCCTCACCACCCTACACAACCCACCCTCCCCCCACCCCACAATTACCCTTCCTAGCCGCTGGTAACCATCCTTCTACTCTCTTTCTCCATGGGTTCAATTGTTTTGATTTTTAGATCCCACAAATATGTGAGAACACGCGATGTTTGTCTTTCTGTGCCTGGCTTATTTCACTTAACATAATGACCTCCAGTTCCATCCATGTTGTTGCACATGATTGAATCTCATTCTTTTTATGGCTGAATAGTATTCCATTGTGTATAGGAGCACATTTTCTTTATCAATTCATCTGGATCCATTTCTTTATCCATGTCCATCTTGATGCTGTTCATGATAGCCAAGATTTAGAAGCAAATCTTGCATCAAGATGGACGTGTAGGTTGCTTCCAAATCTTGGCTATCATGAACAGTGCTGCAACAAACATGGGAGTGCAGATAACTCTTCGATAACTGATTTCCTTTCTTTTGGGTATACCTAGCAGTGGGGTTGCTGGATCATATGATAGCTCTATTTTTAGTTTTTTGAGGAATCTCCAAATTGTTCTCCATAGTGGTTGTACTAATTTACATTCCCACCAACAGTGTGCCAGGGTTTCCTTTTCTCCACATCCTTGCCAGCATTTGTTATTGCCTGTCTTTTGGATATAAGCCATTTTAACTGGGGTGAGATGACATCACATTGTAGTTTCAATCTGCATTTCTCTGATCAATGAGGTTGGGCACCTTGAAAAGTACATTAATTTTGAGCTAAAGGAAAATAAAAACATTACATGCCAAAACCTATGGGATGCAGTGAAAACACTGCTCAAAAAGAAACCTACAAATGCGTATATTAAAACATTAATTTCCTTTAGCTCAAAACATTAATTTTCAGCTAAAGGAAAATAAAAACATCACATGCCAAAACCTATGGGATGCAGTGAAAACACTGCTCAAAAAGAAACTTATAAATGCAGATATTAAAAAAGAGGATACCAAGTAAATAATCTAGCCTTCCAGATTCGGAACTAGATAAAGAACAGCATGCTAAATCTGTTTTTGTTGTTGTTTTTTAGAGATGGGGTCTAACTCTGTTGTCCAGGCTGGAGTACTGTGGCATGATCATAGGTCACTGCAGCCTCAGCTTCCTAGGCTCAAGCAATCCTCCCACCCCAGCCTCACAAGTAGCTGGGACTACAGGCATGTGCCATTGTGCCTGGTTAATTTTTTAATTTTTTGTAGAGACAGGGTCTCATTATGTGCTCAGACTGCTCTCAAACTCCTAGGTTCAAGGTATCCTGCCTCGGCCTCCAAAGTGCTGGGATTACAGGTATGAGCCACTGCACCCAGCCAAGCTAAATCTAAAACCAGTAGAAGAAAGGAATAATAAAGACTAGAGTGGAAACAGACAAAATAGGGAGTAGAAGCATCTACTTTCTGAGAGCAATAGAGACCGTCAACAAAAACAACAGCTTTTTCTTTTGAAAAGATAACAAAATTGGCAAACATTTAGCTAGACTTATCGAGAAAAAAAGGGAAAAGAATTAAATTATTAACATCAGAAATAAAAGTGAAGACATTACTACCAAACTTACAGAAATAAAAAGGATTACAAGAGAACTACTATAAACAATTTTATGGCAACAAATTAGGTAATCTAGATAAACAAAGTTCAAAAAATGCACAAACTTCTAAAACTGACTCAAGAAAAAATAACAGTTTGAATGGGAGATTGAACCAATAATCAAGAACCACCCAACAAAGAAAAGCTCAGGACCTGATGACTTCACTGGTAAATTCTACATAACATTTCAAGAATTAACATCAATTCTTCTTAAACTCGGCCAAAATATTGAAGAGGAGGAGATGCTTCCTAACTCATTCTGAGGTCAGCATGATCCTAATAATAAATCAGACAAAGACAACCCACGAAAGCTATGGACCAACATTCCTTATGGATATAGATGCAAAAATCCTCAATACAACGTGAACATATCAAATCCAGTAGAATATTAAGGAGGTTACACATCAAGGCGGGGCGTAGCGGCTCACGTCTGTAATCCCAGCATTCTTGGAGGCAGAGGCAGGAGGACCACTTGAGGTCAGGAGTTCAAGACCATCCTAGACAACATGGTGAAACCCCGTCTCTAATAAAAATTCAAAAATTAGCCAGGCGTAATGGTACACACCTGTAATCCCAGCTATTCGGGAGGCTGAGGGAGGAGAATTGCTTGAACCTGGGAGATGGAGATTGCAGTGAGCCAAGATGCACCACTGCACTCCAGCCTGGGCGACAGAGCAAGACTCTGTCTCAAAAAAAAAAAAAAAAAAAAAAAAAAAAAAGAAAAGAAAAAAGAAAAGAAAAGAAAAAAAAGAAAGAAAGAGAGAAAGAGAGAAAGGAAGGACGAAAATCATCTCAATTGACAGAGAAAAAGGATTTGACAAAATCCAACATTCTTTCATCATAAAAATTATCCAACAAACTAGAAATAGAAGAGAACATCCTCAACATGATAAAAGGCAAAGTCACAGGAAACATTATAGTCAATGGTGAAAGACTGAAAGCTTTGCCCCTCAGCTCAGGAAGAAGACAAGCATGCCTTCTTTCACTGTTTTTATTTAGCATTGTACTGGAAGTTCTAGCCAGAGCACTTATGCAAGAAAAGAAAAGAAAAATGTCCACATTGGGAAGGAACAAGCAAAGCTATTTTATTCAGAGGTGACACGTGACACAATCTAATGTACAGAAAATTCTAAAGAATCCACAAAATACTATTAAACCTAGTAAACAAATTCAGCAAAGTTTTAGGATACAAATTCAATATGCAATAATCAGTTGTATTTCTATATACTCACAATGAACAATCTGAAATGAAATAAAAATAGTTCCACTTACAATAGCATCAGAAAGAATTAAATACTTATAAATGTAATCATGAAAATGTAAAACTTGTAAACTAAAAATTACAAAGTATTGCTGAGAGAAATTAAAGAAGACTTAAAGAAAAATATATCCTGTGTTCATAAATTGGAAGATTGAATATGGCGATGCTACCCAAAATGATCTATAGATTCAGTACAATCTCAATTCAAACCCCGATGATTATTTTTTGAAAAAATGGAAAAGTTGGTCCAAAAACTCACATAGAATTGCAAGCTATCCCAAATAGCAAAAACGACCTTGAAAAAATAAAATTGAAGGACTCACATCTCCTGATTTTAAAACTTACTATAAAACACAGTTATCAAAATAGTGGCACTAGTATAAAAATAAACTTAGAGATCAATGGAATTGAATTTTGATTCCAAAAATAAAAACATACATGTACAGTCAATTTATTTTTGACTAGCATGTCTACACCGTTCAATGGGGGGAAAGAAGAGTCTCTTCAACAAATGGTGCTGGATCAGTTGGCTATTCAACCACAAAAGAATGAAGTTAAACTCTTTCCTCACACCACACAAAAAAATTAACTCAAAATGAATAACAAACTTAAGTGTAGATGCTAATACCTTAAAGCTCTTGGATAAAACAAAGAGGTAAACCTTCAAGACCACGGATTTGGCAAACATTTTTAAATATGACACTAAAAGCACGAGCAAAAAATGAAAGAAAACACAAATTGGACTTCACCAAAATTGAAAACTTTTGTGCATCAAAGAACATTATCAACATAGTGAAAATACAGCCCACAGAATGGAAGTAAATATTTGCAAATCATGTATCTGGTAAAAATCTAGTATCTAACTTTTCAGACAAGCAAATGCTAAGAGAATTTGTTGCCACCAGACCTGCCTTACAAGAGGTCCTTAAGGGAGTGCTAAATATGGAAATGAAAGACTGTTATTGACTACCACAAAAGCACACTTAAGTACATAGGCCATTGACACTATAAGGCAACTACAAAATCAAGTCTGCATAATAACCAGCTAATGAGGACAGAATCAAATCCACACCTATCAATATTAACCTTGAATGTAAATGGGCTAAATGTCCCAATTAAAAGGCACAGAGTGGCAGGCTGGATAAAAAAGCAAGACCCAACTGTTACTATCTTCAAGAGATTCATCTCACATGCAATGACACCCACAGGCTCAAAGTAAAGAGATGGAGAAAAATCTACCAAGCAAATGGAAAACAAACAAAAAAGGCAGAGGTTGCTATTCTAATTTCAAACAAAACAGTCTTTAAATCAACAACAATCAAAAAAGACAAATAAAGGCATCACATAATGGTAAAGGTTCAATTAAACAAGACTTAACTATCCTAAATATATATGTATGCACCCAATACAGGAGCTCCCAGGATCATAAAACAAGTTCTTAGAGACCTGCGAAGAGACTTAGACAATCACACAATAACAGTGGGAGACTTCAACACCCCACTGATGGTATTAGAACTTTGAGGCAGAAAACTAACAAAGGTATTCCAGACCTGAACACAACACTTGACCCAAATGGACCTAACTGGCATCTACAGAAATCTTCACCCCAAAACAACAGAACATACATTCTTCTTATCTGCACATGGCACATACTCTAAAATTGGCCACATAAGAGCCAGGTGCCGGGGCTCGCGCCTGTAATCCCAGCACTTTGGGAGGTTGAGGCAGGAAGATCACCTGAGGTCAGGAGTTCGAGACCAGCCTGGCCAACATTGTGAAACCCCATCTCTACTAAAAATACAAAAATTAGCCAAGTGTGGTGGCGGGTGCCTGTAATCCCTGTTCTTCAGGAGGCTGAGGCAGGAGAATCGCTTGAACCCAGGAGGTGGAGGTTGCAGTGAGCCAAGATCGTGCCATTGCACTCCGGGCTGGGCAACAAGAGCAAGACTCTGTCTCAAAAAAAAACAAACAAACAAAGGAAAAAGAAAAGTTGGTCACATAATCAGCCATAGAACAACTCAGCAAATTAAAAATAAAAAACAAAAAACTGAATTTAAACCAACCACACTGTTGGCCCATGGCACAATAAAAATAGAAATCACTAAGAAAATCACTAAAAAGATCACTCAAAACCATACAATTACTTGGAAACTAAACAATCTGCTCCTGAATGACTTCTGAGTAAACAATAAAATTGAGGCAGAAATCAAGAAATTCTTTGAAACCCAGGAGAACAAAGATACAACATATCAGAATCTCTGGGACACACACATTCTTTAGCTCGAACCACTAATAAGATCTGATTGCAGTGACACTCCAATAGCAATGAGTTAATCTAGTTTCTTGATTTTGGCTTTTAAGCATCATTCTCTAAGAAAAGGAATGAGGCTCTTCAAATAAACGACTGATTCTAGAGCTAGACAGGGAAAGTAGAAGATGCACCTGGGAGGCATATACAAAAAAGCAAGAGCATGCTCAAGAGACATTCCAAAACGAGACATAAGCCAGCTTGAAATGGGTGCCACTTACCAAACTGGGGAATATTTGAGCACCAAAATAATCACAGTAATGAATTATAACCCATTGAATAAAAAAAAGAGTTCATATAAATTAATGAATTAAGAGTGTAAGAATGAGATATTTACATAATTTTAAAGTACACCCCCCACAATACTTATTAATCATGAAAGGAAAAATAATAAATTTATAACAAAGAATCCTGGCAGGTACCACATTAACCAAATGATCAAAGGGAAGATCGATGCCTATAATCTCAGTGCTCTGGGAGGTCAAGGCAAGATCTCTTGAGGCCAGGAGTTCAAAAACAGCCTGGAGAACATAGTGAGACCCCATTTCTACAAAAAGAGGGGTGGGAACATCATCAGTAATGGAACAAAGCAAAATCGTGCACCACTTGCTGCAGTGAAAAGAACTGCAATGATATTTCTGAATAACCTGAATGCATAACCTGAACCTAATCATGAGAAAACATCAAACAAAAATGAAGGGACCTCTGTAAAAATAGACTTGGAATCTTCAAAAGTGTCAAGGATATAAAAGTCAAAGAAAATCTGAGTAAGATGACATTCAATAAATATTGAATTTGGTCTGAAAATTAAGTGGTAGTAATGTATCAGTGTTAATTTCCTGATTCTGATCATTGTATTGTGGCTTTGTGGGAGAATGTCCTTGTTTGTTGAAAGTATACACTGAATTATTTGAGGATGGTGGGGCATTAGGTTGACAGCTACTGTCAAGTGGTTCAATAAAGGATTTTTTTCCTGTACTTTTTTTTCTATAAGTTAGTTGTTATTTTCAAGAGAAAATAGCAATTTTTATTTTCAGATATATAATATATCTGTCTCCTGAAAAAAATATATATCTCCTGACAGATATATATATATTTTTATATCAGGAGATATAAAAATATATATATATAATATATATATCTCCTGAAAAAGATACACAGACACACACACACATGCACACACACACACATACACACAGTCTATTATCTATCTATCTATCTATCTATCTTTCTATCTCTTTTTCATTCCTATCATAAAGAAGGACAAGAAGCAGTTCACATTGATGTAGGATGGACAGCATATATATTTACTGTCTTGCCATTATTATATTAACTTTTCTATCCTCTGACATAATGTAATTCAATGGGCCCCAAATCATCTACTCTGCAGAATATTACATTAGTCCACATTATCAATAGTATCATATACATTGTATCACATGTATCATATACATTGGGCAAGATAAACAATAAAGGCTAAGCATTTTGGGGGCCTTAGTAAGACACATATGCTCCAGAGGTGAATAAATCCTACCAAGACTGAAGGGTCCACTATATCAGTAAAGAAAGGTTCTAGAATCCAGTGTGATCTGGTGCATATTTGGACATCCTCTCCAAAATAAAGGACATAGATTGCATCTTGCATCTTTCACTACTAAGAAGGAAGCATAAAATCTGGTAGACTTCTTTATGTTTTAGAAACAGCATTATTTCACACTTGAAAATACTTTTCTGAAATATAAGGCTGCCAGATGTTAGGGGGACCCAGAGTGGGAAAGTATTTTTGCTGCAAGTTAAGGCTCTGGTATAAATAGCCCTAACACTTAGGCCATACAACACAACAGATCTCATGGTTTTAGGAGTATCAGTAGTGGGAAAAGACAATGGAGTTTATGACAGACCTGAAAAGGATAATCTTGAAATAGATCCGTAAATTTCTGGAGTAAGGCCATGTTATCTGCAGCAAAAAACTACACTGTTCACAAAATACTTCAATGTGCTATTGAGCTATGGTAAAGTAAGAGAGCCTGTCCATGTGATATCAAGTGAGCATACAGACAGACCTACCCATCCGATATGGTTTGGATCTGTGTCTCTGCCCAAATCTCATGCTGAAATGTAATCTCCAATGTTGGAGGTGGGGCCTGGTGGGAGGTTATTAGCTCATGGGGTGGTTTCTTATGAATGGATTATCACCATCCCCTTGGTACTGTCCTCACCATCATGAGTGAGTTCTCATGATATCTTATTGGTTAAGTGTGTAGCACCTCCCCGTTTCTTCCTTTGGCTCCAACCACGAGAAGTTCTGGCTCCCCCTTCACCTTCTGTCATGACTGTAAATTTTCTGAGGCCTCCCCAGAAGCCAAGCAGATGCCAGCATTATGCTTCCTGTATAGCCTGTGGAACCATGAGCCAAATTAAATATCTTTTCTTTATAAATTACCCAACCTCAGGTATTTCTTTATAGCAGTGTGATAATAGATTACTATACTGTCATAAACTGGGTTACTCAAGATCACCCAGTCATAGGTGGCTCAACAGTAATTCATCATAAAATGTAAATGGTACATGTGGAATCAGGCATGAGGCAGGTCAGAAGGTACAAGAAACTACCTAAGCAGGTGACCCAGACACCCATGTCATTACCACTGTGGCACTGCCACTTCACTGTCATCACATCTATGGCTGGTCACATTGATGACCAGCTGACAGAAGAGGAAAAAAGCTGAACCTGTTTCATGAATGGACCATCTCAATATCTTGGTGAAAATAAACAGCTGAAGCCCTCTATCAGTGGTGATCCTGAAAGATGATGGGGAGAGAAAAATCCCCTGCAACGCCATAAGCAGAACTTTGGCGGCGAACCTGTGCATTCGTTTGTGTGGAAAGAGAAGTAGCCCAGGATAAGAATATATACATACTCATGGGCAGTGATGAATGGTTTGGCTGGTAAGCCAGGGGCTTAGAAGGAGAAAGATTAGAATACTGGGGACAAAATGGTCTGAGAATATACACATGTGGATGGATCTATGAGAAAAAACATGACATGTGGAGATCTTTGTATTGCATCTTAAAGCCCTCCAAAAAACAACTACCATGAAAGAGGCACTAAACAACCAAGCAGACAGAATGACACTCTGCCAGTTGATGCCAGCAAGTCTCTGTCATAAGCCACTGTAGTGCTGGCACAGTGAGCTCATGGACAGAGTTCTAGGTGGCAGGGATGGAGGCTATGTACAGACCAACAGCATGTGCCCCATGTTTGAGTGCCAAACACTCAAGTTGCTGGCAACAGAAACAAATGCAGAGCCCCCAGTACCCAGTATAGTAACATCCCTAATAAAAGCCAGCCACTTAGTGACAAACTGATTACACTGAACACCTTCTATTCTGGAAAGAGCAGCAATTCATTTTGACTGGAACTGATATGTATCTTAGCTGCAAGGTCTCAGACAGCATCACCACCTCGGGGCTTATAAGTGATTGATCCCTCAATGGGATCTCACATAACATTGCCTCTGACCAAGGGATACACTTTATAGCAAAGAAGGTGTGGCAATGGCCAATGGGTCCCACGAAGATGAGATCTACTAGTTCTATTTCCTTTGAGAGCTGCTGGCTTGATGAAGTGATGGAGCCACTTTTTGAAGGCACAGCTGTGAAAGCAGCTTGAAGCTACCAGAATGCTAGGGGAGAATGACGATACCTCAGGAAAATGAGGCATCATCTTCCAGGATAATTCAAAGACCATTATAAGGTGTGTCTTCAGTAGTAGAATAAATGGGCCCAGGTACCAATGAATGAAAGAAGTGTTCCATTTACCATCAGTATCAGAGACTTACTTAGGGAAATTTGTCATCTTTATACCTTTAGGTTCTGTAGGTCTAGACCAGTGCTGTCCAATAAAAATATAATGTGAGCCACGTATATAATTTAAAATTTTCTAGTAGTCACATTGAAAAAGCTAAAAAGAAAAGGGTGAAATTAATTTTAACAATGTGTTTTATTTACCCACATGTACCAGTCACATTTCAAGTGCTCAGTGGCCACATGGGGCTAGTGGCTCCTGTAATGGACAGTGCCAGTCTAGAGATCTTAGTTCCTGGAGGCAGAATGCTTCTACTAGAGGAAATAGTAGCTGTTCAATCGCATTAAGCTCCTTATGCCAAGAAGTCAGCAGGCAAGCAAAGGAGTCACTGTACTGATAGGGTAATTGATCCTAATCATTAAGATCATGTTACATAGCAGATACTGGACAATTCACTTGCCACTCTTGGTATTCCCTGGCCCAATTTGTATGATAGGTTGACAAGTGAAGCAGCCACAGCCTGAGAAGTCGTGATGACCGGGGGCTCAGGTATCCCAGAGATGAGAGTCTAGTAAGACCCCAAGACCAGCAGAGGTGCTAGCTGAGCATGAGAGGAATCTAGGATGGGGAGCAGGAGAGGAAGAAGAGGAATATTAGCAATGGTCTTCAGATAAGGTAGAGTAATGTGAGCCTGCCTTTCTCAAATACGTTTCCCAGGACAAGAAACTATCAGATTCCTGGAGGAGCTACTCCAAGATGAGGTGAAATTTCTATACAAAGCAAATGGACAGTAGTGGGTGGTACTGGGTACTACCCAGAACCTCCCTTCAGGGCCAAAGCACTCATTCCCCTAGATGCCTGAGTGTTGGCTGCTGATGGCCCAGAGAGGAGGCCCCTTCTGGAAGTTGCTTCAGCCAAAGGAAACTGCCTGGCTATAAACCCTAGGTTATATCCTTCACAGGGGCATTCACATCTCCCGTGGATCAATGTGGAAGAACTAAAGCCCAAATTAAATTTCTTACCTCACTGAGGGACAACTCTGAAGGGCCACCCTGGCATCAGAGTTTCTTATGGCATCTGCTGAGGCCTGTTGTGATTGCTTCACAGTTCAGCATCTACCTCTCCCCAATCCTGCCTTCCTCACTCTCTTAGAGGTATTATTCCCAAGAGCACTCCTTAACAAACATCCCTTCACAAATCTCAGCCTCCAGGTAACTTGACAGAAGAAGAATTCACATTAATTAAAACCCCAGAGTGATAACTAGATAAGAAAGTAGAAATGAACAATCTTAACCATCATCACTTCATTCATTTATGATTACATCTTATTTTCATGATGCTCTTCTGTGGTTTCGTAGGAGAAAAAAGACATAGTCATTACCCCCTAACCACCTCTCCATTTCCAACAGAGCATGGTTCCTCTTTTGGCTTATGTTCCTTAAAGAACACAAGATTACAGATTTTCTCTTAGATTTGAAAAAACCTAGTTGCCTCGTCTATCCCTGATTTTAAACACTTGCCTATTTTAGGTGCTTTCTCACAGTATATTTTGTAGTCATCACTGATCTTCTGTATGGCCATCTTTGGGTTCTTGTAGCAAAGCTCCTCAAAGGACATTTTAGTTATGTCTGTGAAGTAAGGAAAAACAGAGATAGAGTTTAGTTGTCCAAAGTCTGGGTTCAAAGATTCATATACTTTTGTTGAAGGTATTGCCTTTAAAATGCTGGGCGCAGTGGCTCACGTTTGTAATCCCAGCACTTTGGGAGGCTGAGATGGGTGGATCACAAAGTCAGGAGATTGAGACCATCCTGACTAACATGGTGAAACCCTGTCTCTACTAAAAATACAAAAAAATTAGCCGGGTATGGTGGCGGGCGCCTGTGGTCCCAGCTACTTGGGAGGCTGAGGCAGGAGAATGGTGTGAACCTGGGAGGCGGAGCTTGTAGTGAGCCGAGATTGGGCCACTGCACTCCATCCAGCCTGGGCCACAGAGGGAGAATCCATCTCAAAAAAAAAAAAAAGGTTATTTAAAGAGGCCAATAGTGTTTTAATGGGATGTTTACAGAAATAATACAAGTTCCCTAAGCTAAATTATAGGCAAGGAAATAAGCCTCCTCTTCCCTCCAGAATGAGAAGATCCTCTCCTTCTTAGGGAAAACTGACCCATGGAGATTATTTGCCTGAGGGTTGCTAGGGTAACCAAGATATGACTTGAAAGAGCTACTATTTTTTAATTCATATATGAGAAGTAACTCATACAAATGAATGGTGACTCCTTCAAAGCATCCATCTGTTGAGGGATTGAGTAGCAAATGTATGTGTTCTTTTGCAGAGACGGGTTTTTGCCATGTTGCCCAGGCTGGTCTTGAACTCCTAGATTCTAGCGATACTCCCGCCTTGGCCTCCCGAAGTGCGGGCATGAGACCACAACTACAAATGCATTTCAAACATTCTACTATTGCTTCAAAAAAAATTGAAGCCCCTAAGAATAACAAATGGCAAAGAACATGCTATGCTATGTTTTCCCTTTCTCAGCTCTGACTTTGGGAATTACTTTCAGAATTAACTTACCTATCTGAATATTATCAATAGTTGCAAATCATTGTCCTTTGGAGTGGATTTTTTTTCTAGAAAGAGCCATATATCATCTTAAGTTATGCATGATGAATTGAGAGGGAATACCTTTTTGTATCCAAAATGTGGTGAGACAATGAGGCTGAGATAGCAAGAGATGTTTTAACAATGATCTGGTTAACAGAAGCAGAATAGTAGCACCTTACTTCCTACGGAGGAGAAGTATTCATTTGGGTTGTGAGTTCTGGGATTTAGAGTATATCTAAATGCACAGAGTTCTCCTGGAACTCTCTAGGCAGTTCAGTACTTTCTGAAGCTATACTATTTGAGTCTATAAAGAGTACTGGGGTGTGGACCTGTGAATGTGAGTCATCATCATCATCATCATCACCATGATGTGTAATCAAGGAGAATCTTGACCAAAAGTGTTAAGAGCAGTGGGTTATTTCTGCAGTGGGTCCAGGTTTCTAGTCCTGTATCAATTCCTTCCTTGCTGAGCAACCTTGGGCAAGTCTTTTCACCATTCTGGAAGTCATGTTTCCCTGTATAAAAGATGATAGTGGTCGGGTGTGGTGGCTCACACCTGTAATCCCAGCACTTTGGGAGGCTGAGACAGGCGGATCACTTGAGGTCAGGAGCTCGAGACCAGCCTGGCCAACATAGTGAAACCCTGTCTCTAATAAAATACAAAAATTAGCAGGGCATGGTGGCGGGTGCCTGTAATCCCAGCTACTCTGGAGGCTGAGGCAGGAGAATTGCATGAACCTGGGAGGTGGAGGTTGCAGTGAGTCAAGACAGTGCCACTGCACTCCAGCCTGGGAGACAAAGCGAGACTCCATCTCAAATAATAATAATAATAATTACAGTTTTTTAAAAGTACCATACGTAGGCTAGGCATGGTCACTCACACCTTTAATCCCAGCATTTTGGGAAGCCAAGACAGGAGGATGGCTTCAGCCCAGGAGTTCAAGCCTAGCCTGGGCAACATGGCAAGACCCATCTCTACAAAAAAAAAAAATTAGCTGGGTGTGGTGGTGCATGCCTGTAGTCCCACCAACTTAGGAGGCTGAGGTGGGAGCTTCGCTTGAGTCTGGGAAGTCATGGCTGCAGTGAGCTGTGATTGTTCCACCACACTCCATCTCAAAAAAAAAAAAAAAAAAGATAATGTTCTAGCTCTGGTACTCTGTGAGTTTAGGGTACAGCTTGAGACACCAACCTACCTGAGATTCAAGGCTCTGATTTGGCCAAATGCAAAGAAGGCCCTTTATTAGGCCAGACTTGTGCTCCAAAAAAGCAGTGATAGAGGAAGTAATGATATGTGCTTTGGAGAGGGACAAGGAGCTTCCATGGAGGGTGGTTCACATTCTTACTGGCTATCCCTTGTGTCCCATAGCCACCAAAGTAACGCCTATTGCCCAACATATGTGTGGTGAAACTTACCAGCCATCTTTTCATCTACTTTGGTCTTGATTCCTGGGAAAGAATCTAAGATCCTCAGGATTTAGAGAGAGAGTGGAATCTCTATGGTTAAAAAAGAGGGCCTGTTCATGCTAGATTTAAATAACTTATGCCCAAACATGGCTCTGACAGACAGGCATCCAGGGCATCTTGGTTTGTATACAGAGTGCATATTAAAGTTTTAAAAAAGAGCCGGATGTTACATTCTTTTGGTAATCTAACAAGTACCATTTACTTAGCACCTGCTTACTATGTAAATACATTACCTCTAATCCTGAACAAATTAGGGGCCATTATCTCCACTAAATAGATGAAGAAATTAGGTTCAGAGAGAAGGAGTAACTTGCCCAAGCTCACAGTGCATATGAATGGTATAACTGAATTTTCAAAGCTTTTGCTCACTCTTTATCCATGTTTTTCAAAGTGTAGGTCATGACTCACTAGTATGCCAAAAAATAAATGGTGACATTGTTAGCTTTTATATGACATGAAACATAATAGAATAAAGAATGCTGGAGTACAGCATCTTATGTAATAAGGGCAAGTATTGCTTTGGAAATTTTTTTTCATATATATGTGCACACATATACACAGGTATATATTTAAGGAATTATGAAGTCAAACGTATTTATTGTGGATCAAAGTTTGAGAAATATGCAGTATTCCAACTGCCTCAACATAGATAATTAAAGCACTATGCTCAATTTGAATAATAATGACTAACATTTACAGTATTGAACTCTTAAGTGATTGTCAAACATTGTACTAATAGCTTTCATAGATGATCTCAGGTCACCTGCACAAGTTTGTTATTATTCCCATTTTACAGATGAGAAAACTGGGGCTCAAAGAGAAGTTAAATACATTGCTCAAGCATACAAGTGAATAGGAGAGCACGGGTGTAACCCCAGACTTCTGGGACAGCAAAGCCTTTTGCTCCTAACGATGTCTCTCCACTGCCTGGGTGGGCTGGTGTGTTATGTTAGGGAAGCGGGTGACTGTAAAATATGTTCACAGAAATGCGCTTGGACCCTATTCTGGAGGAAATGTGGTGAGGTGGAACATGCTTATTAGATGCATGAAATGAAGTATTCAGCATCAACTATGGTGATGCTTTGGTGGGCCAGAGTCTAGCTACACTTGAGCACTCTGGCTCCCTCAGATCCAGCAGGGAGCTCTACAGTCAGTCTGTCTGGATTCAAATCCTGACTGCAACTTACTCTGACCCTGGGGAGGTCACATCCTCTCTGTGCCTCAGTTACTTAGTACTTACCTCTTAGGCTGTTTTGATGACCAAATTAGGTAATCCCTGCACTGCATAGTGCTGACGCTTAGTAAATAATTAGTAAATGTTAAATATTATTTTCCAGTTGCCCATATGTAAAGGTCAAAAAAATTACAGTGACTGCTCTGACCTGTTAGAAACACTGGAGATGTCAGCTCTACCTGGAGAGAGCCTCCTTGCTTCAGGTCCTCAGTAGCTATCTTTCGCCACTGCCTATAGTCCATTTCCTTCATGTCAGCCAAAGCCTGGCTTAACTCTAGAGACTGCTGAATCCTCTTATAAAGAAGAATGTTCTCTTCTTTGCCTATAAATTCTCTTTTATGCTGTCTGGAGCTGATGAACCTGTTCTGTGTCTAAGAGAAGAGGGTGAGGGGAAGATGGCATTTGTTACAGGAACTAGACCAGAAGCAATAATTTTGTAATAACTCAGTGCTCCATGCCTCCCTGTTACATGGTCTTATGCAGGTTGTTTTCAGTTGTTAAGAACCATTGCTCCTTTACATGCCAACCCCCACCCTTTTCTAATCAAACTCATTTTCTATAAGGAAGAAATTTTCTGTGGTTGTGACTTTTTCAAAGTCATCTTTTTTTTTTTTTTTTTTTTTTTGAGACGGAGTCTCGCTCTGTCGCCCAGGCTGGAGTGCAGTGGCGGGATCTCGGCTCACTGCAAGCTCCGCCTCCCGGGTTCACACCATTCTCCTGCCTCAGCCTCCCAAGTAGCTGGGACTACAGGCGCCCGCCACTACGCCCGGCTAATTTTTTGTATTTTTAGTAGAGACGGGGTTTCACCAAAGTCATCTTATGCACTGAGTCCTTTTCCTTGAGAGGTTTAGCTTTAGAACAACAGGGACCATGCTGATCTTTGGTTGACTCTAGGAAAAATAACAATTTCATTTACTTTAACACATAACCCTTTTAAAACAGTAATTACTCTTTCTTCTTCCCTCATCCTCATGATTCCTTCCTAACCCAAAGTCCTTCCTACCGTAAAAAGGAGAAACCAGTAGTCCTCTTCATCTAGAAACTCATCATACCAGGGACTGAGCATCTGAAAACCAAACACAGCATATGCATTATGAGGTGGATGGTCAGCTTGCTGCATCTTTCCTGCATATGTTCACCTGGGAGCAGAGTAGGCTGAAGATTCTGGGTTCTGTAATTTGGAGATCTAATGGAACAGCAAACATTAGCTATGACCAACCAGGAGGCATTCTTTTATCTCTGAATAGAGCAGCTAACACAGCCTCTCTCTAAGTCTCAGAGGAGAGCACTAAATATTTACTTAAGAAGAGAGATGACAAATAATTTACAGAACCATTACTTAACATCTGCATATTATTTCATTCTGTTCCAAAGTAATATCTCATTTTTTCTCAAAATGGCCCTGAAAACCAAGCATCTTTCTTTGGTGTGTCTACTCATATCTCCCACTTGAAGACCTTACCCTTTTGTGAATAACATTTTATTACATTAAAACAAACAAACACACAACAATAAAACCTATGAGTTAGTGCTTAGCTAGATATATTAACCCATACTCTCAGTTTCATTCATTCATTCATTTGACAAATGCTTTATGAATGCCTCCTATGTGTCAGGCACTTTACAAAGTGCTGGGAATATAGAGATCAACATGCTGCAAGTGTCGCTATAAGGAGCTCAGCTTCCAGCGTGAACAGCAGCATAACACATGCTCTAACAGAGGTATTAACAAAGCTTCTGATTCAGTCAGGGAAATCCAGGAAGAATTCATAAAGGTAAGGAGGTTTAATCTAACTGTGCACCTTGCAGGATAAGTAGGAGCTCACCACAGGGAAGTTGAGTAAAGATCATGCCATGCAGTAGAAAGAGCTTAAGCAAAGGCATCGGGATAGGAAAGAACATGTTTGGGAATCATGAGTACTTCAGTGTGGGCTGAAATGTGGCATTCATGTGAAGAGCCCAGGGATGGGGAAGTGGCAAGAGAGGAAGCAGGGATGCATTGGAATTATATATGAGGGACTTGAATGCCTTGCTGAGTAATCTGGGGATTATTTTGTAGGCAATGAATTGTTGATAGTAATTTTTAAGAATGTAAGATTATCTCCGCCAGCTGCCTCAATCATGCAGCGAAAAGGTGAGTTTAGGGATATAAATTTTAGTAGCTTTAACAAATCTCCTTGGCTCCTGGGAAACTTGAGTGAAGTGTATTCCTGAGACAATTCAGTTCAGTGATTGAATCCGAGCAATATGTAATGTAATATAATGTTACTCATTAATAAATAAACTGTAAATATATATTAAATATGAATAATAAAAAAGCATGTGTGAAATGAGCACCCTATTAACATCCCTTTTGGTTTAAAAGGTTTATGACTAGGCCGGGCATGGTGGCTCACACCTGTAATCCTAGCACTTTGGAAGGCCAAGGCAGGCGGATCACCTGAGGTTGGGAGTTCAAGACCAGCCTGACCAACATGGAGAAACCCCGTCTCTACTAAAGATACAAAATTAGCTTGTCATGGTGGCACATGCCTGTAATCCCAGCTACTTGGGAGGCTGAGGCAGGAGAATTGCTTGAACCCAGGAGGCGGAGGTTGCAGTGAGCTAAGATCACACCATTGCACTCCAGCCTGGGCGACAAGAATGAAACGCCGTCTCAAAAAATAAATAAATAAGTAAAAAAGATTTATGACTCAGGCTGGGTACAGTGGCTCATGCCTCACACCTGTAATCCTAGCAGTTTTGGAGACTGACGTGGGCAGATCACTTGAGACAAGGAGTTTGAGACCAGCCTGGGCAACATGGTGAAACCCCAGCTCTACCAAAAAATAAAAAATAAAAAAATAACTGGGCATGGTGGCGTGCACCTATGGGAGGCGCATGCCACCCACAGGGAGTACCACAAATTAGCTACTGGGGAGTTCAGGTGGAAGAATCACCTGAACCTGGAAGATGGAGGTTGCAGTGAACCAAGATCGTGCTACTGCATTTCAGCCTGGGCAACAGAGGGAGACTTTTTCTCAAAAAAAAAAAAAAAAAATTATGACTCTACCTAATAATTAATAGATAAATAAATTTATTTCTTAAGAAACAATGCTTAATAGAGCATTTTCAATTAAAAGAAATAACTAGATATACATTAAAATAATAGTCATGAATAATAAATATGATAAAACAGCATCTAAAAACCCTATAATAGTTTTAATAGTTTTTCGTTAGAATGTATTAGGATTTTCTTTAGAATTGAGCTTGTCCATCACTTGACAAACCCTCCCGGCCCCTTCTCAGAGCAGTGTGTGATGCAATAGATGAAGGTTCTGCAAACATTTTCTATGAAGTGCCAGATGGTAAATATTTTATGATATATGGGCTATATAGTCCATTGCAAGTACTCAACTATGTAGTTGTAGGACATGGTAGTATGTAAACAAACGGGCACAGTTTTGTTGCAATAAAACTTTATTTATGGACACTAAAATTTGAATTTCATGTATTATCCATGTGCCCTAATATGTTCTTCTTTTGATTTTTTTCCCTACTATAAAGAAATGTTAAACCATCCCTAGCTTGCTGGCCATGCAAATACATGTGGGAAGCCGAATTTGGCTCCCAGACTGTAGTTTGCTAACCTTGCAATAGACTGAGCAGGAATCTGGACACTGGCTCTGCACTTGTCAGTAAATAGCAGTGAGACCTGAGAATTTGGCCCATCAGCTGTACAATGAGAGAAGGGATGACAGAATCTCTAATGACCTATTCTAAGGTTATATGTGTCTGATAAAAGATCAGAAGAGGATGAACATGTATTTACCTACTCACTACCAGGCGCTGCATATAGAGTGTCTTTGAGGCAGCCATTATGATCCCCAATGTACTGATGAGAAAACCAAGGATCAAGATGAGTGATGTCAGCAAGATGGCTGACTAGAAGCCCCCAGCACTTGCCCCTGCCTCCATAAACACAGCTGAAACAATACATGAATAACTACATTCTAATAAAAGTTAAAATAACAAAAGGAAAGTGTACATTGAAGGAGTAACAGAAACCCTGATGAACACAGAAACTCAGGATAGCCACAGAGAGAATGAAAGGAAACATTGGGCCTCCACCACCCACTCCCCGAGCCTGGATCAGCTGGGGACCGGGAGGAACTTCTTCCTATTGTGAAAAGCTAGGCTAGAAGATCTCAGCAGCCCTCATTAACACATTAGACACCTACAGTCCTCACCACTGGGGTCCCCTGCAGTCCTCACAGGCACTAAGCCCAGCTGAGGGAGCTGCCTAATGGCCACACAGCTATGCTCCCACCAGAGAAGGAGTTGACACTGTGCCCTGCCTCCTGTGGCCTGCAAGACTACCGTGCTATACCATCTTGGAAATGGTATTACTGCTGGAATGTGTCTTGCTCCAGGGGCAAGCAGCCACAGCTTCCCTTCATCCCTGAGGGTAAACTGCTGCCAAACCACCCCCACCTGATGGCCTGACATCCCCAAGCCAAGTTGCAGGCAGCTGTCACACTCTTCCCCTTGGGGCCAACCACAAGTGGAACTGCTCTGCCCACTTCTGCCTAACCCCTTCAGGCTGAACATTAAGCTCTACACTCCCTCCTGGGGAAATGGCACTTTGGTAGAATTGCTTCATCTACCACACTCAGCTGCAGCTGCACCTGCACCCTGCCCCTAGGGGCCTGAACTGAAATGGCACACTGCCTCCTGAGGAAACAGTGCCTTGTTGGAGCTGCCCCATATTTCTCTCCTAGTCACTGCTGAGCCCCGAACCTGTGAACTGAAGCCAAAGCTTCACACGCCTTCCTGGGAAATTGATGCATTGGTGGAACTGCTCCATCTATCCCTCCAGTTGCTGCTGTACCCTGGCCCCTGGGAAAACAGAACCTTGGCTGTCCAGAGCAGTCACATATTCTCATGCTTGATTTAAAGCAGTGTCCTGCCTCCCAGAAGAGCGGTCACATACACCAATACCTAAGCTGAGTGGCATCTTACATCCCAGGGAAATAGTGCCTGGGCTACCTGGAATAGTCACACCCCTGGGCCTAAGCTGAAGTGACACTGAGCAGCTGTGCATTCCAGGACTAAGATGACATAGTACCCCAGGTCCCAGGGAAACAGAACAGTGGCTGAGCTGAGGCACCCCACACTACAGGCCAAAAGAATTATAGTACCCTGCTTCCCTGTAGCTGAACTAGCCCTCTAGAGTCCTAGCTGCTAAGACATCCCTTTCCCTGTATCCCAAGTATTCTAGCATACTTGGTGCCACTGCGCCTGGCTTCAGAGTCTGGGATACTTCTGAGCCCCACCGTCCCAGGGTCTAGAGTCACCACTACACGGTGCCTCATCCCTAGGGACCTGAGTTGCCACTGAGCCCTATTGGCTCAGGTTCCCAAACCCACTCTGTGGGCCCGAACCTCCAGAGTACCCCTTCTTCCCCAAAGCTGGACCAGAGCTGTGCTCTGTCCCTCAGGGTAGAATTACAGTTACAACCGAACCCCGGGGCTTGAGCTCCTAGGGGATGCTGCAGAGTCACATATCCTGGCTCTGTGGGCAGCCTACATCCAACCATTCCACATAAAGTGAACGTGCACCCCAAGACCCAAGTGCTACTAATCTGTACAATAAACTGCTGTGACACAAATATACCTATATAACAAACCTGCATATGTACCCCTGAACGTAAAATGAAAGTTAAAAAAAGAAAATAAGCAAAATAATAGAAATATATGTCTATAAATATTACATATACACATTATGTCTCATTTGAAATATAATACAAGTATATTTTATGTGTATGTCATAGATGTACATTATATGCACACACGTATTCATATACATTATGAGAATTTTACATTTATTTTATATATACACATATATTAAGTATGTATTTTTAAAATTATTTTTAAGTCCTTTATTAAGGTATGATTGACATACAAAAACCTGTAGAAATTTAATGTATACAACTTGATGTCTCTGAAGATAAGTATACACCCATTAAACTGTCATCACAATCAATACCACAAACCTGTCCTCCAAAAGTTTCCTCCTGTTCCCTTTGGTTTTGTTTGCTTTTTTTTTTCTTTTGTGGTAAAAACACTTAACACAAGACCTATTCTCTCAGTGAATTTTAAGTATACAATATAGAATCGTTAAATGATATTTCATATGTTGTACAGTAAATTTATCTCTCGTGACTGAAACATGGTACACTTTGATCAACACCTCCCTGAAGCTGCTGGCAACTGCCATTCTATTTTCTGCTTCTATGAGTTTATCTGATTTAGATTCAATACATAAGTGAGATTATGCAGTATTTGTCTTTCTGTGTCTCACTTATTTTAATTAGCATGATGTCCTCCAGGTCTCATCTATGTTGTTGCAAATGGCAGGACTTCCTTCCTTTTAAAGACTGAATAATACTGCATCATATACACCACATTTTCTTTATCCATTCACCTTTTGATGCACATTTCAGTTGTTTTCATATCTTGGCTATTGTGAATAATTCTGCAATGAACATAATAGTGCAGATATCTCTTCAAGATCCAGATTTTAATTCCTTTGAATATATCCCCAGAAGTGGGATTGCTGGATCAAAAGGTGATTCTACTTTTCATTTTTTGAGAAACCTGCATACTGTTTTCCATACTGGTCACACCAATTTACACTCCCACAAACAGGAATGTAAATTTGGGCATCCAGTGTGAAAAATAGTATGCAGGTTTAGTGTCAGTGTATAGAATCACAACTGTTTTTGAATATTGATTTTATCCTGCAACTTTACTGAATTCGCTAATTAGTTTTAACTGTTTTTGTGGTAATTTTAGGGTTATCTACATATAAGATCATGTCATCTGCAAACAGAGGCATGATAGTTTTACTTTTTCTATATAGTTTCACTTCTTCCTTTTCTATTTGGATGCTTTTTTTTATTTTTTATTTTTCTTGTCTACTTTCTCTGGCTAGGACTTCCAGTATTTTGTTGATGAGGAGGGGCAAGAATGAGGATCCTTAGCTTGTTCTGGATGTTAGAGGGAATGATTTCAGCTTCTCGCCATTGAGTATGATGTTGCAGCAAGCTTTTCATAAATGGCCTTTATTGTGTGGGAGTACCTTCCTTCTATATGTAATTTTTGAGAGTTTTTGTCATGAAAATATTTTGAACTTTGTCAAGTAATTTTTCTGCATCTGTTGAGCTGATCATGTGATTTTTACCTCTAATTCTGTTAATGAGTTGCATCACAGTGATTGATTTGCATAGGTCAAGCCATCCTTATAACCCAGGGATAAATCCTACCTGGTAATTGTGTATAATTCTTTTAATAGGCTGTTGTATTTGGTTTGCTAGTATTTTTTTCTTTTCTTTTTAAAGACAGTATCTTGCCTGTCACCAGGCTGGCATGCAGTGTCACGAACATGGCTCACTGCAGCTTCAAATTCTTCCAGAAATCCTCCCTTCTCAGCATCCCAAGTAGCTAGGACCACAGGCACACGCCACCATGCCAAGATAATATTTTTATCTTTTATAAACACAGAGTTTTGTCATGTTGCCTAGGCTGGTCTTGAACTCCTGGGCTCAAGCAATCCCACTTCAGCCTCGCAAAGTGCTGGGGTTACAGGCATGAACCACTGCACCTGGCCATGCTCGTATTTTCTTGTGAATATTTGCATCTGTTTTCCTCAGGGATATTGACCCGTGGTTTACTTTTCTTCTTGTGTCTTTGTCTGGCTTTGGTGTCAGAGTTCTAGCCTCATAAATTACTTTGAAAGTGTTCTCTCTCCTTATACTTTTGGGAAGAGTTTAAGAAGGATTGGTATTAATTATTAAAATATTTGATGGAATTCACCAGTGACGCCATCTTGTCCCTGGTTTTTCTCTTTTGGGAAGTTTATTATTACTTCTTCAGTCTCTTTTACTGTTATTGGTCTGTTCAGGCTTTCAATTTCTTCTCGACTTAGTCATGGTAAGTTGTATGTTTCTAGAAATTTATTTCTTGTAGGTTGTCCAATTTGTTGGTGTATAATTATTAATAATAGTCTCATTATCCTTTTTATTTCTGTGAGAATAAATTGTAACATCTTTTCTTTCATTTATAATTTTATTTATTTGAAACTTCTCTCTCTTTTTTTTAAGCCTAGCTAAGGATTTGTTGGTTTCATTTATTGCTTAAGAAAACAAACTTAGTTTTATGTTTTTAAAAATTGATTTTCTATTCTCCATTTCATTTATTTCTTCTCTAATCTTCATCCTCTTCTTCCTTCTGATAAGTTTAGGTTTAGTTCTTCTTTTTCTGGTTCTGTGAGGTGTAAAGTTAGGTGGTTTATTTGAGATTTTTCTTTTTTAATGTAGGCATTTATTGCTATAAACATCCATCTTAGTACTGCTTTTGCTGCATCCCATAAGTTTTGGTATGTTATTTTTATTTTCATTTGTCTCAAGTATTTTCAAATGCCCTTTTTGATTTTTTTTGAGCTACTAGTTGTTTAAAAGTGTGTTGTTTAATTCTGTGTATTTATAAATTTTCCCATTTTCTATTCTTGATTTCTAGTTTCACTCCATTGCACTTGATAAAAAAAAATACTTGTGGCCAAGCGTGGTGGCTCACGCCTGTAATCCCAGCACTTTGGGAGGCTGAGGCAGGTGGATCGCCTGAGGTCGGGAGTTTGAGACCAGCTTGGCCAATGTGGTGAAACCCCGTCTCTAAGAAAAATGCAAAAATTAGGTGGGCATGGTGGTGGGCGCCTGTAATTCCAGCTACTCAGGAGGCTAAGGTAGAGGAATTGCTTGAAGTCAGGAGACAGAAGTTGCAGTGAGCCAAGATTGCGCCACTGCACTCCAGCCTGGGTGACAGAGCGTGACTCTGTCAAAAAAAAAAAAAAACTTGTAATGTTATTTCATTTTATTATTTTAGAGACAGGGTTTCATTCTTTCACCCAGGCTGGATTGAAGTAGTATGATCACAGGTCACTGTAACCTTGAACTCCTGGGCTTAAGTGATCCTCCTACCTCAGCCTCCCAAGCAGTTAGGACTACAAACATGTGCCACCACGTCTGGCTATGGAATATTTTTAATCTTAAATTTGTTAAGACCTTTTTGTGACTTAGCACATGATCTATTCTGGAGAATATTCATGTGCACCTGGGATGAATAATTATTCTGTTGCTGTTGAGTAGAAAGTTCTGTATATGACTGTTAGGTCCAGTTGCTTTATGAGGTTGGTCAGTTCTGCTCTTTCTTTGTTCATTTTCTGTCCGTATGATGTATCCATTATGAAGAGTGGGGTATTGAAGTCTTCTATTAAAGCAACACAATAATAATAGAAGATTAAGTTCTTCCTTCAGATCTGTCAATGTTTGCTTTATATATTTAGGTGATGATGTTGGGTGCGTATGTATTTATAATTGTTACAGCTTCCTATTAAATTGACCCTTTTATCATTGTATAATAACTTCCATTGGCTTTTGTGACAGCTTTTGACTTAAATTCTATCTTATCTGATTTAGTATAGCCAAATATGCTTTTTTGGGTTACCACTTGCATAAAATATCTTTCTTCAACCTTTCACTTTCAGCCTATCTGTGTTCTTAAATCTATCATGAGTCTTTTGTATCTTTGGGTCTTGTGTTTTTATACATTCATCTACTCAATGTCTTTTGATTGCAGAGTTAAGACGATTTACATTTAAAGTAATTATCGTTAGGTAAAGACTGTTGCCATTTTGTTAATTGTTTTCTGTTTTGTAGCTCTCTTCTTCCCTCTCTTTCTCTATTGCTGTCCTTCCTTTGTGATTTGATTGTTTTTTGTAGTGATATACTTTATTTTCTTTTTATCTTTTAGGTATCTACTATACATTTTTTGTGGTTACCATGAACCTTGCATTAAACATTTTATAGTCATAAATCTGTTTTAAGCTGATAACAACTTAACTTAAATTGCTTTAAGCTGATAACTTCAATTGCATACAAAATTCTGCACTTTTCTTCCTACTTGCCATAGTTTACATATTTGATGTCAGCTTTTATTTTTTCTATATTGTGTTTTCATTAACTAATTTCGGTGGTTATAATTATTCTTACAACTTTGTCTTAATTTACACACTAGTGTTCAAAGTGATTTATATACCTTTATCACAATATTACAGTATTATGTGTTTGTCCTTATATTTACCTTTAGCAGTGAGATTTATACTTTCACATGCTTTTGTATTGTTATTTAGCATCTTTTCATTTCACCTTATTCTTGAAGTTCCTTTAGCACTTTTTGTAAGGCAGGTCTAGTGGTGACAAACTCATATTTTGTTTGGGAAAGATTTTTTTTAAACACTTCTTCACTCTCAAAGGATAATTTTTCTGGGTAAAGAATTCTCAATTGCCAGTTTTCCTTTTCTTTCCTTCAGCATATTGAATATATCATCCCACTCTCTCCTGGACTACAAGGTTTCTGTTGAGAAATCTGCTGATAGCCTTTTTGAGCCTCCCTTTTATATTACAAGTCACGTTTCCCATTCTTCTTTCAAAATTCTTTGTCTTTGACTTTTAATAATTTATCATATGTCTGAGTATGAAACTCTTTAGGTTCAGCCTATTTGGAGATCTTTGAGTTTCAGAAATCTAGGTATCCATTTCTCTCCCTAGATTTGTGAAGTTTCCAGCCATTATTTCTTTAAATAAGCTTTCTATCCCTTTTTCTCTTGCTTCTCCTTCTGAGACTTCTATGTGTATATTGGTTCACTTGATGGTGTCCCATAAGTCCTTTAGGCTTTCTTTGCTCTTTTTCATTCTTTTTATTTCTGAAATGATCTGTCTTTGAGTTCATTTCTTTCTTCTGCTTAAAACATAAATCTGTTTTAAGCTGATAACAGCTTCAATTACTTTAAGCCTTTGAAGCCTAATCAAGCCTGCTGTTGAAGCTCTTTATTGAATTTTTCAGTTGAGTCATTATATTTGTCAGCTCCAGGATTTCTATTTGGCTCTTTCATTGTTTTTTATTTTTTATTAAACTTCTAATTTTATTGATGCATGTTTTTCTGATTTTGTCCATGTTTATCTGTGTTTTCTTATCACTCATTGAGCTTCTCTAAGATGATTATTTTGGCTGGGCATAGTGGCTCACCCCTGTAATCCCAGCACTTTGGGAGGCCAAGGTGGGAGAATAGCTTAGGGCCAGGAGTTGGAGGCTACAGTGAGCTATGATCATGCCACTCCATTCCAGCCTGGGTGACAGAGTGAGACCCTGTCTCTCAAAAAAAGGATTATTGTGTTAAACAGTTTAGAAATTCTTTATAAAAAGTACAAGAAAAATTTTTTTTCAGATGTTATTTTGAATTATTTGGTCAAGCAGTTTATGGATCTCCATTTCTTTAGGGTCAGATAGTGAAATGTTATTAATTTCCTTTGGTGATATTACATGTACCTGATTTTTCATGACCCTTGTATCCTTGCATTGGTGTGTGTACGCTTGACGGAGGAGTCACCTCTTCTGGTCTTCACAGACTGGTTTTGCCACACACAAAAAGGCCTTTGCAATTAGCCAGTCAGAGATTCTGGGCTGGTTAGCTGGCAATGTTTATAGGCAGGCCTGCTGTTGGCTTCCATGAGTAAGGTCATTATGTCTATGGGTGGGTGAAGCTGGAGCTGCACCTGTGGGCAGATGGAGTTAGAGCCTGGTTCAAAGGCAGTTGGGGCTGTCTCAAGGTCTGCAGGTGGTTTGGGTTATAGCTGAGTCCACAGGTGGTCAGGGATAAAACTGAGGCTGCTAGCAGTCTGGAAAAGCCATTGAATGTGGCTGTCTCTAGGTCCATGGGTGGACAGGGCTGCCTCAGAGTCTGTCATCAGGACTGGGGTCAGCAAGCCTGTTATCAGGGTGTGGTTCCTGCTGGATCTCAGGGCAGACGATATTTCTTCTGTGACTGCAGTTGAGCAATGTGGAGCTGGGTCACAGGGCTGCTTCCGTGTCTAATGAGACCGAAAGGCATTGGGTCGTTAACAGGGTGTTAAGCAGGCATAGTTTCTGCTAAGACCATGGGAGGGTGGGTCTGGTGGCAAAATTATGGACAAATGATGCTGGACTGAGTCCACAGGAGATGAGGCTGATTCTGGATCTGCAGCCAGGATCCTGACTGACAGGCCTGCTACTAGAAGCATGAGACTGCTTTTTCAAAGCAGCTTTCCTTGGTCTTGAACTCCACTGGGGTGGTGCAACCTCCAACTTGGGTCCCAAAGCTCATCAAAAGGCACTTTTTTCTGTGGATAGTTGGCAAGTCCATGTTTCTATGGGTGAACAAAAGCTGGGGACCTCCTATTTCACCATATTGCTGATGTCACTCTGAGTATGTATGTATTTAGTGATATGTGCTACGGACAAAAATAAAATGGGGAGCTGGTTGCAATTTTATATCAAATGGCCAAGGAAGTCCTCACTGAAAAGGTGACTCTTTAATGGAGACCTGAGGGAGTGAGAGACTAAGCCATGCAGTTATCTGTATGTTACAGAGCACAGCCAAGCTGGCAGCGTGCCTGGCACAGTTGATGATGAGCATGGGGTGGGGGTGGAATAGTAGATGAAGCCAGAGAGGAGAGGTGGCATGCAGATCATGTAGGGCCTTGCTAGATTTATTAGGGACTTTGGATTTTACTGAAAGTAAAAATCTTCATTGAGACAGCCATCTGTTTTCAAGGTTCTCACTCATTTCCTTTTATTTATTTTCAGTTAAATTACACTATGTTTTGACAGAATCACTGTGGTTGGCATGTAAATGAGTTGATGAGGGGCAAGGGTAGACACCGAGGCATCAGTTAGAAGACAATAGCAATATTACAGGTGAGAGGACAGGGCTTGGGTGAGAGTGGTTGTAACAACGGTGGAAAGGAGTGGTCACTTCTGGATTTCTTAAGGTAATGCCAACAGGGTTTGCCAATAGACTAGACATGGGTGTAAGACAAAGAGGTGAGTCAAGAATGATATAAAAATGTTTAGTCTGAGTAACTGTGATAGGCTAGTCTTCTCCACGTACAAATATCTTCAGTATATTTGCACCAAGTCCCAGGCAGAAGTATTTGCTGTGAGAATCTGCTGATCCAGAAAGCACAGTCCCAGTCTGAATCTCTGTCGTAAAATGGCTCCACAAAATGCAGAAAGACCACTGTGCTTTAATTAATCAAAAATTGAGCAAAGGAGAACTTTGGTTGTGGATCCACTAGACTGATCTATTCTGAAATTACCTCACTGTACAACCCTGGATAATTATGATATACTGGAAATCATGCCAGACTTAGAGCCGAAAACTCCAGGATTCTGATCCTGGATCATCTACTAGCTAGCTGCATGGCTTTGGGCTAATTCACTTACTCTCTGTGTGACTCAATTCCCTTATCTGTATAAGAGAAGCAACAAGACTATTCTCTCTGTCTCTTGGGAGTGCTAAGAAGCATAAAGGACACAATGTGTGTGAATGTGCTTTACAAGGTAAATACGTTATAATGCACTAAATAATTTGATGTTTTTTATCTATTTGCTCCTCCAGATCTACTTTCTACTCTTCTTCACCCTGTTTGTGCCTTGGAAGATTAACCTGTATGCGCCACATCAATCTGTTCCCTTGTCCTCTGTTTGGGTTTATCAGATGAGGTGTCCTGGCAGGAGATGGGAAATCAGGAGCAGAGTGAGCTTGGGGTATCTATTTCTCCAATCCCTCCAAACTAGATCACTGTGAACTAGTTATATCCCTCAACTGATGATTACAGCTTCTGCCAAGTAAGTGTCCCACTCCATACAGCTCTTTCTCTCCTGGTTCTAGTAATTGCTTCCTGTCCTCAGTTCTTCATACCTAGGAATGACAAAGGTGCCCTGCCCTTACTGACTTTATGGTATGACACTATCCCTGTGGTTGCCCCACTGCACCACCCATTCCTTTGTGAGTAGTCCCTCTTATTTGTCTCTCATCTGTTACCCAACTTAACTTTGCCGTTTGCTTTCTGCTAAGAACTTGATGATACAATAGCTATATGATGGGCATCACTTCCTGTGAGTCTTCAGAGTATTCTCTTGCTTTTATCTAATGTTTTGAGATAAAAATAAACTCATCCTAATTGAACATTTCCTTGATGGCTAGTCTAGTAAAGGGAGACCTTGCTTTTCAATACATAATGTTTATAACAGAAATTTAAAACTCTCCTCATAGAATACTCTGAGGTTCATGGTTTGGGGAGGCTTCACATAACAAGAAAGTGAAGAAGGAATGGACATCAACCACTCCCCACCTCCATTGTACTTTAGAATTTTTGGCTGATTTGGGGGACGTTGCAAAATTTGTGCCTTGAGACAGCGGTCCCCAACCTTTTTGGCACAGGGACCAGTTTTGTGGATGACAGTTTTTTCCATGAACTTGGGGCTGGGGGGATGATTTCAGAATGAAACTGTTCCACCTCAGATAATCAGGCATTCGATTCTCATAAGAAGCATGCAACCCAGATCCTTCATATTCACAGTTCACAGTACTGTTTGCACTCTAATGCTGCCACTGATCTGACAGAAGACAGAGCTCAGGCAGTAATGCTTGCTTACCCGCTGTTCACCTTCTGCTGTGCGGCCCAGTTCCTAACAGGCCATGGACTGATACAGATTTGCGGCCCAGGGGCTGGGGACCCCTGCCTTAACAGATCAACCAACTCTTCAATATGTAAAGGTTTATGTGGGTAATTATATAGTCACTTAGCCAGTATAGGTGACCAGATGGGATTTTTAGTCAGTTTTGACCTAATTTGCCAGATATAACTTATTTCTGTGAGGCATGGCCTACCTTGCAAATCTCCTTCTGGGCTTTGGGAATCCAGGGGATCACATCCCCAGAGGGCAATAGTTCCTTCAGGCCCTGAATGGTTTGGGATTTGAGTGGTAAGCACGGACCAATCTGCTCATTCAGGTAGAGCTCGCAGATTCTGTCACCCAGCAAGTGACGAAAGATTGCATTCCCATTCTTTTTGTTATTCAGAAGGACACTGAGGAAATGCTGCAAGTCCTGCCAGAGGTCAAGAAGTTGGATCTCCACTTTCAAATTCAGCTTCTTCAGGTGGTCCCGGAAAGGGTTCCCTGCACAGGCATCAGCACACAAGGCCAAGTGGATGTATCCTAAGGAGAAGCTTTGCTTGATGGCCTTCTGAATTGTCATCTTGGAGGAGTGATTGACAATGGGGATGACAGTCCTCAGGTGGGTAGAGACCTTTGTCTCAAAGGGGGCTTCCATGTGGAGGTGGCTCTTGGCTTTATTCTCCATGCTGGATATTTTTGCATAATGCATATCCTTTTCCAGGGAACTGATTCTTGTTTCCTTTGAAGAAGCCATTTTCAGGGAAGGCATTTGTATAACCACCTTCTCTTGAGGACATGTCTCCTGTAGGGGCATACCAATAGCATCTGGCTTGAGATCCATTTCCAGAGACCAAGAGTCAGGATCTACCAATTGCCACATCTTCCTCTTGGCTTTCCTGCTTGAGTACCGTTTCTGAAAGTGGTGGCACTTCTTGATGCTCATGTTCAGAGGGAGCCCTCCTATGTGGGTGTAGCAAACGCTGTATAAGCGAGTCTCGTACTCTTGCATCAGACCATGGCATGCTTCCTCCTTGGCCATGGTCATCTTGGTGTGGGTGTAAAAGTTGGGAAGCCAATAGCTCTGGAGTTTGAACAGAGCCACTTTCTGCATGTGGCTCAGGATCTCCCTCCTAGTGGTTGATTGGTTGGGATGCCAGATGGAGAGGTTCAGGAGGGACTCTGGAAATAATACAGAGAAATCATGGGTGAAAATGATGGGATGATGGCAGTGATGATGGTGTTGGAGAGGTTTTTAATTTTTTTCAAATGTCTTTGTATATAGCATTTTATTAGTTCCTCATATAATCCTGGAGTATGAATAGTTTAAATATAGAGTCGACACATTTTTATGGTTTTCTCAGCACACAGGGATCCCTTTATCTTATTCTCCATAGAAATAAGCCATGCTATGGGATTCCTCTAGCTACTTTTTAGATTATTAAATGTTATTTTAAAGAAAAGCAAAAGCACAAGAAAAACGATTAAGAACAAGAGACATCTACATCTGAACAGGATTTTTGATGAAGAGGTTTGGACTGGATAAGTAGAACTAGCCCTGATTTTAATGTCATCAATTCTCAATTACCTATGTGAGTAGAGAGGAGTATGACTAACCCCAAACAGCACATCTTTTGGAGCACATTTGTATTTGAGTTAGGAATGCCTCATCATCTAATCAATGAACAAACAAGTATACATAAATCTTACATTCTAGAGAAGAAGTTGGCAAATTTTTATGTAAAGGGCCAGATGGTAAATATTTTGGCTTTGTAAATCACATAAAATTAGCCCTATGAAAATGTAAAAACGGTCTTAGCTCACAGGCCACATACAGTGCATTTGGCTGGTGGGCTGCAGTTTGTTCTAGAGAATCCCAATTAAAAAAATAAAATTACAAAAGTACATAGACTTAAATGTTACAGGTGCTTTTCAAGTATCCTGCCCCAATTCCTCCCCGCTCCTTCCAGCCAGCCTTCATTGGCAGGTAGTATCTTAGAGAGAGGCAAGTGCCAGCTTAAGGACAACTGTGTCTTTCAATACTTTCCTGGTTAAGGGTTGGGGTTGCCACTAGCCTCTCTGATACATAGAAGATGGAAAGAAGGTGGGGTTTCCTGCAAAGAAGGAGACTGAGGATTATCAGACACTGGATTTACTTTTTTGTTGCATCCCCCCAAAAAGATGCTTTATAATTCTTACTGATGTTCATGTTACAGAGGGTTACCACCCTGGAGCCCTCCTGCAGATGAGTGGCCCTCAGCATGAGGAGGAGGGACAGGTAGTAGTCTCTCACTTCCAGGTCCATCTCATCTATGCTCAGGATGTTCTCAGCAAGGATCCAGAAATCCACCAATTCTTCACCTACGGGTGAGACAGAAGAGGCACAGAGCTATACCCTAGTTTTGCCCCTTTGGTGGTTGCATCTGGGTGAATCAACTGACATCCCCCACCAGCCTGTTCCACTGCATCAATCATCATTCCTGGTGATTGGTTCAAGGTATCATCTCTAGAAAAGTTCTACTGTGGGGGAGAATTGGAGGCATGGGGAGAAGAGGCTTAATGCATGGGAATCCTTTGACTTTTTGTTGCTGGTGTTAGAAAAACCATCACTGGAGGGAAAACTGCAAGACTCTGGGGGAGGATTATGAAGTAATTAAATTTTGTCCAAAAAAAATGAAGATTGGGGAAAAAAACCACATTTCCTAGATCATGGACTGAGAATGGCCTGCAGAAGGACACTGGAGCCAAAAGATGCCAAAGACTACATTCCCTTTTGTTAAAACTTGGCCAGGCCTGAACTCTGAGTGGCAAAGTGAAAGATGTAGTCCATCTAGTTCTTCCCTACCTGCTCCTTGGAGATCCAGGATTTCACCCTTAAAATTAGGGCTAAGGCCTGGATGAAACTTAATGTTGTTGAGCTGGAGTGTCAGCCAGGGCCAGCTACCAGCCTCCCAGAACCCAGTAACTACTGGACCCAATAGAACAGAAGCCAGTCTTCCCATCACTCCCACTACAGGGATTTGTTTACGTGTTCCTTGTCCATCTCCCCACCAAAATGGCAGCTTTGTGAAGCAGGGACTTATGGCTCTTGTTCACCTTTGTAACCCAACCTACCAGGCCAGTGGCTGCCACATAGCAGTGCTTAATGACACTGTTAAATGAATGAATGAATAAACGAGTAAAAGGGACTCTGACTACCTTTCCCTTAACCTACACTATGGACCTCAGTTTTCAAAGATTTTTATCCAAACTGCATTATTAAACATGTTTATATTCAACACAGACACACATAATTGTTAACTGGGGCTTAGGGCAATCTGAAAACCATTAGGAACTTGCAAAAGCCCCAGGAACAACCCCAAGAACCCACCTGCACTGCCTGTGAGGTAGGAATAGAAGCGCCACATCCCTCTGACCCCGCCAATGCATTTCTGGAGTAGCCACTGGTCTGCCTTTTTCCATCTCATCATCTTGGCTGCCAGGAAAATTCCACCATAAGAGAGGGAGAATGAACTCTTCCCCTGACCCCTCTCCCAGCCTTGCACACTGCCAGACCCCCATTTGTTTAATGTAGTGAGGACAAATTGTGACCAGTTAGATGAGCAGGGTCCAGATTATGTGGTGCTTTTGAAGCTGGGCACCATCTGGTGACATGTGTTAAGGTTCATGGGAGGGACCCACAAGCATGCACACAATTCACATAAACACCCTCCAACCAAAGCCCCTTCCCTTCTGCAGTCTCAACCTGACAGGGACTTTGCCCTTAGTGTGCATTTTAATCCATCTTTACCTACATATATATTGAAGGGGGTTAGTTGAATATAGCAGGTGATTTCTTACAACATTTTACTCTGTGAATACTCCTGAATCTTAAATTTTCCTGGGGTGAAACATATTTAGTTTCCTTTCCCTAGTGAGCCAAAAGTTACTAATTCAACTTTAGATGAAAATTTTATTCATTCATTCTTTCAGTACATGTTTATTAAATGCCTACCAAGTATCAGGTACCAATATAGGTGCTTGAAATACATCAGCAAACAGAACAAAAAATCCCTGCCTCCAAGGAATCTATATTCTTGTGAAGGAGACAGGCACACAATAAGCATAATAAATAAGTACATTATCTAGTGAGGTTGAAGGTTATAATCAGAATAGAAAAAATGTGGAACGGGATAAAAGAAATTGGTAGTGGTTCAATGAGGAGACAAGATTTGTACAAAGGGTTGAGGAGGTGAGAGAGGGAGCCATGTGAGTATCTACGGAAAGAGCATTCTGGGTAGAGGAAAAAGCCAGTGCAAAGCCTTTAAGTGGAAATGTGTCCAGCATGTTTGAGGAATTGCAAGGAGGCCAATGTGACTGGAATGGAATGAGTGAGGGGAGGGAAGTAGGAAGAGATGAGATAAGAGAGGAAATGGGGCCAGTTCTCTAGGATCTTGAAGGTCACTGTAGGGGTGTTGAATTTCTCACTGACACAGGAGTCATTGGTAGTATTGGGGGTGTTGAGAAGCAGTGGGGACAGTGAGAAAAGGAGTAATATGATCTGAAATACATTTTTTTCCAATATTTTTATTGTGGGAGAGTACATATAACATAACGTTTACCATCTTAACTATTTTTAAATGTACGGTTTAGTGGTGTTAAATGTATTAATAATTTTGTACAACCATCATGACCATCCGCCTCCAAAATTCTTTTCATCTTGCAAAACTGAAACTCTTTACTCATTAAACAGTCACTGCCTATTTCCCCCCTCCTCCCAGCTCCTGACAACCACCATTCTACTTCTTTCTCTATGACTTTGACTATCCTAAGTACCTCATATAAGTGAAATCATACAGTATTTGTCTTTCTGTGACTGGCTTACTTCAATTAGCATGTCTTCAGGATTTATTCATGTTGTAGTCTGTCATAATTTCCTTTTTATGGCTGAATAATATTCCATTGTGCATATATATATATTTAAAATCTCACATTTTGCTTATCCATTCATCCATTGATGGTTTCTTGGACTGTTTCCACACTTAACTATTGTGAATAATGCTCCTATGGACATGGATGTACAAATATCTCTCCAGACCCTGCTTTCAATTCTTTTGAGGTATACTCAGAAGTTAAATTGCTGGACCATATGGTAATTCTATTTTTAATTTTTGAGAAACCTCCATGCTATTTTCCACAGTTTGTACCATTTTACAGTCCCGCCAACAAATGCAAAAGAGTTCCAATTTCTCCACATCCTCACCAACGCTTGTTATCTTATTTTTTTTGGTACACAATGGGTGTGCAATGGTATCTCATTATAGTTTTGATTTGTGTTTCCCTAATGATTAGTCCCGTAGAGCATCTTTTCATGTGCTATTGGCTATCTGTATATCTTCTTTGGAGGAATGTTTTGTTTAATTAAGTCTTTTCCCTATTTTTGAATCATGTTGCTCTTTGTTGTTGTTGAGTTTTAGGTGTTCTCCATATATTCTGGATATCAATCCTTTCTCAGATATATGATTTTGAAGTATTTTCTTCCATTCTTTAGGCTGCCTTTTTACTTTTGATAGTATCTTTTGATGCACAAGTTTTTTGATTTTTTATGAAGCCCAATTCTTTGTTGTTGCTTCTTCCTTTCCTGTCATATCCAAGACATCACTGCCAAATCCAATGTTGTGAACATTTTGTCCTCCATAAGTTTTTTCATGAGTTTTATAGTTTTATGCCTTAAATTTAGGTCTTCAATCCATTTTGAGTTAATTTTCATATAGGGTGTTATGTAAGGGTCCAATTTCATTATTTCGCACGTGGACATCCAGTTTACCCAGGACTGTTTGTTGAAAAGATGGTCCTTTCCCCATTGAATGGTCTTGGCACCCTTGTCAAAAATCATTTTACCATATATGTGAGGGTTTATTTCCAGGCTTTTTATTCTACTCTGTCTTTCCATATGTCTGCATTTATGCCACCACACTGTTTTTTATTTATTTATTTTTATTTTATTTTATTTTTATTATACTTTAAGTTTTAGGGTACATGTGCACAATGTGCAGGTTTGTTACATATGTATACATGTGCCATACTGGTGTGCTGCACCCATTAACTCATCATTTAACATTAGGTAGATCTCCTAATGCTATCCCTCCCCCTCAACCCTACAACAGGCCCCAGGGTGTGATGTTCCCCTTCCTGTGTCCAAATATTCTCATTGTTCAATTCCCACCTATGAGTGAGAACATGCGGTGTTTGGTTTTTTGTCCTTGCGATAGTTTGCTGAGAATGACACTTTCCAGCTTCATCCATGTCCCTACAAAGGACATGAACTCATCATTTTTTATGGCTGCATAGTATTCCATGGTGTATATGTGCCACATTTTCTTAATCCAGTCTATCATTGTTGGACATTTGGGTTGGTTCCAAGTCTTTGCTATTGTGAATAGTGCTGAAATAAACATACGTGTGCATGCGTCTTTATAGTAGAATGATTTATAATCCTTTCAGTATGTACCCAGTAATGGGATGGCTGGGTCAAATGGTATTTCTAGTTCTAGATCCCTGAGGAATCACCACACTGACTTCCACAATGGTTGAACTAGTTTACAGTCCCACCAACAGCGTAAAGTGTTCCTATTTCTCCACATCCTCTCCAGCACCTGTTGTTTCCTGACTTTTTAATGATCGCCATTCTAACTAGTGTAAGATGTTATCTCATTGTGGTTTTGATTTGCATTTCTCTGATGGCCAGTGATGATGAGCATTTTTTCATGTTGTCTTTGGCTACATAAATGTCTTCTTTTGAGAAGTGTCTGTTCATAGCCTTTGCCGACTTGTTGATGGGGCTGTTTGTTTTTGTCTTGTAAATTTGTTTGAGTTCATTGTAGATTCTGGATATTAGCCCTTTGTCAGATGAGTAGATTGCAAAAATTTTCTTCCATTCCGTAGGTTGCCTGTTCACTCTGATGGTAGTTTCTTTTGCTGTGCAGAAGCTCTTTAGTTTAATTAGATCCTGTTTGTCAATTTTGGCTTTTATTGCCATTGCTTTTGGTGTTTTAGACATGAAGTCCTTGCCCATGCCTATGTTCTGAATGGTATTGCCTAGGTTTTCTTCTAGGATTTTATGGTTTTAGGTCTAACATTTAAGTCTTTAATCCATCTTGAATTAATTTTTGTATAAGGTGTAAGAAAGGGATCCAGTTTCAGCTTTCTGCATATGGCTAGCCAGTTTTCCCAGCACCATTTATTAAATAGGGAATCCCTTCCCCATTTCTTGTTTTTGTCAGGTTTGTCAAAGATCAGATAGTTGTAGATATGTGGCATTATTTCTGAGGGCTCTGTTCTGTTCCGTTGGTCTATATCTCTGTTTTGGTACCAGTACCATGCTGTTTTGATTACTGTAGCCTTGTGGTATAGTTTGAAGTCAGATAACATGATGCCTCCAGCTTTGTTCTTTTGGCTTAGGATTGACTTGGCGATGAGGGCTCTTTTTTGGTTCCATATGAACTTTAAAGCAGTTTTTTTCCAATTCTGTGAAGAAAGTCATTGGTAGCTTGATGGGGATGGCATTGAATCTATAAATTACCTTGGGCAGTATGGCCATTTTCACGATATTGATTCTTCCTACCCATGAGCATGGAATGTTCTTCCATTTGTTTGTGTCCTCTTTTATTTCATTGAGCAGTGGTTTGTAGTTCTCCTTGAAGAAGTCCTTCACATCCATTGTAAGTTGGATTCCTAGGTATTTTATTCTCTTTGAAGCAATTGTGAATGGGAGTTCACTCATGATTTGGCTCTCTGTTTGTCTGTTATTGGTGTATAAGAATGCTTGCACCACACTGTGTTGATTGCTGTAAACTTGTAGTAAGTTTTGAAATCAGAAGGTGAGTCCTGCAGCTTTTTTGAAATTTTTTCAAAATTGTTATGGCTGTTTGGAGTTCCTTGGAAATTTTAGGATTGACGTTTCTATTTCTGCAAAAGATGTCATTGAGATTTTGATAGAGATTGCATGAATCTGTACATTGTTTTGGGTTGTATTGGCATGTTAACAACATTAAGTTTTCCAGTCCATAAATAAACATCAGAGGCATTTGTTTATGTCTTCTTTAATTTCTTTCAGCAATGTTTTGTAGTTTTTATTGTGCAAGTCTTTCACCTCCTTAAGTGAATTCCTAAGTATTTTATTCTTTTTAATGCTATTATTTAATGAAATTGTTCACATAATTTTCCTTTCAGGTTGTTCATTGTAAGCGTATGGAAGTGCAACTGATTTTTTGTTTTGTTTTGTTTTTGACTTTGTATCCAGCTACTTTGCTGGATTCATTTCTTAGTTCTAACAGTTTTTTTATGTGTGGAATCTTTGGATTTTTCTACAAAATACTACATTATCTGCAAATGAAGATCATTTGACCTCTTTCTTTCCAATTAAGATGTCTCTTATTTTTCCTTCTTCTTTTGGCCGAATTGCTCTGGTGAGAGTTTCCAGTATGGTGTGAAATAGAATTAGTGAAATCAGGCATTTCCTATTCCTGATCTTAGAGGAAAAGCTTTCAGTTTTTTGTCATTGAGTATGATGTTCACTGTGGGTTTTTCATATGTAGCTTTTATTATGTTTAGATAGTTTCTTCTTAATCCTAGTTCGTTGGACATTTTTTTTTCATGAAAGGGTGTTGTATTTTGTCAAATGCTTTTTCTGCATCTATTGAGATGATTATGTAGTTTTCTTCTTTCATTCTGTTAATGTGGTATATTACATTCATTCATTTTCGTATATTGAGGTGTCCTTGCATTCCAGGAAAAATATCCCTTTTGGTCATGGTGTTTAATCCTTTTAATATACTGTTGAATGTGGTTTGCTAGTATTTCATTGCAGACTTTTGCATCAATGTTCATCAGGAATATTGGCCTATACTTTTCTTTTCTTATAGTGCCTTGTTTGGCTTTAGTATCAGGGTAATGCTGGCCTCAAAGAAGGAGTGAGAAAGTGATCCTGCCTCTTCAATCTTTTGGAACAGTTTAAGAAGAATTAGTATTAATTCTTCTTTAAATGTTTGGGGTATAAGTCACCAGTAAAACCATCAGGTCCAGGACTTTTCTTTGTCAGGAGATTGTAGATTACTGTTTTAATCTCTTTGCTAGTTATAGGTCTACTCAGATTTTTATTATTATTATTATATTTTAAGTTCTAGGGTACATGTGCACAATGTGCAGGTTTGTTACACATGTATACATGTGCCATGTTGGTGTGCTGCACCCATTAACTCGTCATTTACATTAGGTATATCTCCTAATGCTATCTCTGCCCCTCCCCCCACCCCATGATAGGCCCCGGTGTGTGATGTTCCCCTTCCTGTGTCCAAGTGTTCTCATTGTTCAATTCCCACCTATGAGTGAGAACATGCGGTGTTTGGTTTTTTGTCCTTGAGATAGTTTGCTGAGAATGATGGTTTCCAGCTTCATCCATGTCCCTACAAATACATGAACTCATCCTTTTTTATGGCTGCATAGTATTCCATTCTACTCAGATTTTCTATATCTTTTGATTTAGCATTAGTAGATTTTGTGTTTCTAGGAATCCTTCTATCTCATCTAGGCTACCAAATTTGTTGGTGTACAATTGTTCAGAGTACTCTTCTATAATCCTTTTTATTTCTGTAGAATTGATAGTAATGTCCCCACTTTCACTTTATTATTATTATTATTATAAGATAGGGTCTTGCTCTGTTACCTAGGCTGGAGTGCAGTGGCATATCAAATGCCTCATTACAGCCTCAAACTCCTGGGCTCAAGCAATCCTCGTTCCTCAGCTAGTACTATAGGTGCATGACACCTGTCTGGATTTTTTATTTTTATTTTTTGTGAATACTGGGTCTCATTATGTTGCCCAGGCTGGTCTTGAACTTGTGGCCTCAAGCAATCCTCTCATCCTAGCTTTGTAGAGTTCTGGGATCACAGGCATGAACCATCATGTCAAGACTCATTTTGAATTTAGTGATCTATAGTCTTTTTTAGTAATTATTAAGTCTTCTCTTTTTCTTTTCTTTTTTTTTTTTTCTTCTGAGCAGAGTCTTGCTCTGTCAGCTAGGCTAGAGTGCAATGGCATGATCATGGCTCACTGCAACCTCTGCCTCCCGGGTTCAAGTGATTCTCCTGCCTCAGCCTCCCAAGTAGCTGGGATTACAGGATCCCGCCAACATGCCTAGATAATTTTTGTATTTTTAGTAGAGACAGGTTTTCACCATGTTGGCCAGGCTGGTCTCGAGCTCCTGACCTGAGGTGATCCACCCCCTAAGGCCTCCCAAAGTGCTGGGATTACAGGCGTGAGCCACCACCCCCGGCCAGTCTTCTGTTTTTCTTAATCCACTTAACTAAAGGTTTATTTTGCTGACTTTTTCAAAGGACCAATTTTTGATCTCACTGATTTTCTCTATTTCATGTTATTTACTGTAATCTTTATTATTTCTTTTCTTCTGCTAGCTCTGGGTTTAATTTGCTGTTCTTTTTCTAGAGCCTTAAGTTGTAAAGTTGTGTTATTTGAGATTTTTCTTTTTAAAATGTAAACATAGCTATAAATTTTCCCATTAACACTGCTTTTATTTTATCCCATAAGTTTTGTTGTTTTCATTTCCATTTATCTGTAAGTATTTTCTAATTTCCCTTGTAATTTTTTCTTTGATCCATTGTTTAATACTGTGTTAATTTCCACAATTTTGTGAATTTTCTACTTTAACTTCTGTTATTTATTTCTAATTTCATCCTTTTGTGGTCAGAGAAGATACTTTGTATGTTGTCTTTTAAAATCTGTTGAGAATTTCTGGCCTAATATATAATCTATCCCAGAAAATGTTCCATGTGCACTTGAGAAGAATGTGTATGCTGTTGTTGTTGAGTAGAGTGTCCTGTATATGTCTTTTAGATCTAGCTAGTTTAATGTATTGTTGAAGTCTCTATTTCCTAACCTATCTTCTGTCTTACTATTCTATTCATTATTAAGAGTGGGTATTAAAGTCTCCAATGATTATTTTAGGATTGTCTATTTTCTCTTTCAGTTCTGTCCATTTTTGCTTCATATATTTTGAGGGTCTGTCATTAGGTGTGTAGATGTTTATAGTTGTTACATCTTGATATGTTGAAACTTGCATTAACAAGTAATGTCCTTCTTTGTCTCTTGTAAACTTTTTTTAAAACTTAAAGTCTATTTTGGAAGGGGAGGGAAGACAGTGTAGGATAAAAATAAATAAATTAAATAAAGTCTATTTTGTCTGATATCATTATAGGCACCCCTGCTTTCTTTTGGTTACTATTTACATGGAATATTTTTTCCATCCATTCATTTTCAATCTATGTCTTTGACTCTAAAGTGAGTCTCTTACAGACAGCATGTAATTGGATCTTGCTTTAAAATTTATTCTGCCAATCTCTGTCTTTTTATTGGAAAGTTTAATCCATTTACAGTTAAAGTTAATTTCCTTTTTTTTTTTTTTTTTTGAGATGGAGTCTTGCTCTGTCGCCCAGGCTGGAGTGCAGTGGCGTGATCTCCACTCACTGCAAGCTCCGCCTCCCAGGTTCATGCCATTCTCCTGCCTCAACTTCCCAAGTAGGTGGGACTACAGGCGCCTGTCACCATTCCCGGCTAATTTTTTTGTATTTTTAATAGAGACGGGGTTTCACCGTGTTAGCCAGGATGGTCTCGATCTCCTGACCTCATGATCCGCCCGTCTCAGCCTTCCAAAGTTCTGGGATTACAGGCATGAGCCACCACGCCCAGCCTGAAGTAATTTACTATTAAGAAGAAACATGTCATTCTGTTATTTGCTTTCTATACACCTTATAGCTCTTTTGTTCTGCGTTACCAGGATTATTGTCTTCTTTTGTGTTTAATTGATTTTTTGGTGAAACATTTAAATTCCTTTGTCATTTCCTTTTGTGTAAATTCTGTAGCTATTTTCCTTGCAGTTATCATGAAGATTACATTTAACATTGTAAGTTTATAACACTCTAAGTTGATTTATATCAGCTTAATTTCAGTCACAGACAAAAACTTTGCTTCTTTGACAGCTCTAACTCCACCTCTTTTGGTTGTTGATGTCACAAAATTACATTGTGTTCCCCAAAATATAAACTAATAATTAATTAATGTGCATTAATATCTTAAATTATGTGGAAAACAAAATTTAATGTGGAGTTACCAACCAAAGTTACATTAATACTATCTTTTAGACGAGTAGTTATTCTTTTAAAACATATATTAATCTCTTAAATCTTGAAAAAACAAAAAAGGGCAGTTATAAATCATTACAATGATGATAGCTTTTAAATATTATTTTATTATGATTTTATGATGTTAGTATTATATTTATTTTTATTGAGATCTTTACTACATATGGCTTCAAGTTACTGTCTAGTGTTCTTTCATTTCACCCTGCAGGACTCTCTTGAGCATTTCTTGCGGGAAAGCTCCCTCAACTTTTGTTTATCTGGGAATATCTTAATTTCATCCTTGCTTTAGAAGGACAGTTTTGTTGAATACAGGATTCTTGGTTATTTTTTTTTCTTTTAGAACTTTGAATATATCAACCTACTGCCTGCTGGACTCCACAGTTTCTGATGAGAAATCTGCTTATAATCTTATGAATATCCTTTGTAAAGTGATGAATAATTTCTCTCTCTTACTGTTTTCAACATTCTCTCTCTGTCTTTGGCATTCAAGAGTATAATATGTCTTGGTGTGGATCTCTTTGAGTTCATCTTACTTGGAGTTCATTGGGCTCTTTGAGGTCTATATTCATGTCTTCCATCAAGTTTGAGAGGTTTTTAGCCATTATATATTCAAATATTCTCTTTGCACCTTTCTTTCTCTACTCTTTTTCTAGACTTCCATAATGTATGTGTGTGTTGGCCTGCCTGATGGTGCCCCACAAGTCCCATCAAGGGTCTCTGTTCAGTTTTCTTTAAACTTTTTTCTTTCTGTCCCTCAGATTTAATAGTTTCTACTGTCCTATCTTCTGGTTTACTGATTCTTTCTTTTGCCTGCTCTAATCTGCCTTTAAATCTTTCTAGTAGAATTTTCATTTTAGTTGTGCTTTTCAGCTACAGAATTACTTTTGTTTTTTTAAGGTTTTTCTCTGTATTAATATTTCCATTTTGTTCATTTATCACTTTCTTGACTTTCTCTACATCTTCCTTTAGTTCTTTGACCATATTTAAGGCAGTTGTTTTAAAGTCTTTATCTAGTAGATCTGCCATCAGAGCTCTCTCAAGGACAGCTTCTTTAGGTTTATCTTTATTTTCTTTAAATTGACCATACTTTCCTCTTTGTGTGCCTTCTGATTTTTTTTTGTTAAAAACTGAATATTTGAACCTAATGATGTGTTAACTCTGGAAATCAGATTCCCTCCTTTTCACAGAGTTTGCTGGGGGGGTTTTTGTTGTTAATTTTGTTAGTTGTTATTATTATTATTATTATTACTGTAGGATATCTCTGTGCCAAGAATTGGCCTGAGGCATAAATTTATCTCCCTATATCTTTTCTGAGCCTGCAACTTTCTTTAAGCATAGGCAGTTACTTTCTAATTTTCTCCATATATGCAGTTGTTTTTGAATGCCCTAATCCTTAAGATCTGCCTCCCAAAAAGAAAAAAAAAAGAGAAAAATGAAGAAGGGGGAAGATGTCAGCTCTGTAAATCCCCTAAAAATCACTTCAGCTAGAGGGAGAGGGGCTTACAACAAAGGGAAAGTATAACAATGTGTGCCCACGTCTTTGCCTGTACTTCTGTGATCAGAAGTAGCAATCGGAGCACAGATCCTTAATATTTGGAAGACAAGATTCTTTTTGCCCACCCTGGCTCCTGTAAGCTGCCCCAGGAACATGTGCACAACTGTGTGCCATGGGGCTGGGGTTGAGGGTAAGTAGCTGCCACTGTGCAAAGAGCTGAAATTGAATGAGATCAACTACAATTTACTGTCTAAAGTTTCCCCCCAAACATTGCAAGTTTCAATAGACTCTAGAGTTTCAAAATATTTACATCATACAGATTCTGCCAGTACAATTGTTGTCTAGATGAGGAAACAGATTCCTAGTGCTTCCTATTTCATCATCTTCCTGGGAGTCCCTCCAGCACCACCACCAATTACTTTTTAAGAGGCTCACTCTGGCTTCTATGAGGAAGAGAGCAAGAGCAAAAGCAAAGAGACAAATTAAGAGATGATTTCATTAACTAGGTAAGAAATTCTGGAGGCTTAAACCAGTTGGTAGTAATGAAGGTGGTGAAATCTGTTGGTTCTAAATTAGGCAATTTTACTATGTTCTGCGGCCACCATTAATTTTCTCATTTCTGGCTACAGTGAGATAAACAGCCCAGTCCATCAGATTCCTGCATATTTCTCTTGATACCAATATTTCAGGCTAAGAGTTTACCTATTGCCAAAACATGGGCTGGGATATGCACATATCTATAAATTCAGCCAGTATTTGTACCTTACTATAGTACTGACAGGCATAAGATCATTATGAAGTGTGACTTCCTATATTTCTACACACACACACACACACATACAGGCATAAGATTATTATGAAGTGTGACTTCCTATATTTCTACACACACACACACACACACACACAGACACACGCATGCACACCAATGCTTACCTCCTTCTGGGGACTTAATGAAACTGATGAACTCCTGACAGAGAATGTAATGGAAACACAAGTTTGTTTTACAGAAGAAAGGTAATCGGCATTTTTCCAACCAGGTCAATAACCCTTTGTATTTGGCAATCTAGAGTCAAAGCAAAATAGAAACAAAAATGCTAAGTGAAACCGAACTGCTAAAAAAATACAACTTAGTAAGTGGCAACTAATCACCTCACACTTGCAGTGTCTGGCCAGAAGGATAGGTGTGTTGATTAAAAACAATTTCTATAAACCTGGAACCTGGACTTAAGAAAAAGAAGTATCAAAGAGGAGCAGAGACTTGCAAAGAAGTAAATGGATCTGTAGAAAATAAAAAGCTTGATCTTTCATGAAAAAATTCTTTCTTATCCCTGAGTGAAGTTGTTAAAGAAAAAATCTAAGTCTCGCTTGACAGAAGAAAAGCAGAAAAGATTTGGGTCTGTGGTGTCAGATCATAACTCTATTCAACTTGCTTCTTTGTAAACACACTCATAATTTCTAACAAGCTCCTAACCCCTATCAATTGCACTATATGTACAAAAACAAAATTCACACATAGCATCATTTAGAATACAGGATATATTCTGAAGGATCAAGCCACAGAGAAAGGAGGTAATTTTTTTCAGCTTTCAGGGTTATCCTTGGGAAATCAAACATAAGCTTCAGAATAGAATGTCTCTTCTCAACTCTCCAGAACTCAGGGAAAGCGAAACCTTGTTGTTATCAGGGTTTAGAGTGGTCTGTCTGATTCTACATGCCCCCTTGTAGGGGATGTGGAAGCCATTGGTAAGTCTAAGGTCTACATAGTGGAAAAGGAAAACAGGAGTGGGGACAAGGGGAAAAATAAGAAAAAAGAAAAAGGGCATAAAGAAAAAAATTGGGAGAAAAACATGCCTCTGGAGAATAGTGGAGTAGTCACTAGAAATTGCAGAGAAGCATCTTATCTTGATGTATATCTGATAATGCATACTGACAATAATTATGTGGCCCATGGGCTGCCACTTCCCATCCCACACCCATTGCAGACATTGCCAGTCAATTCCCAGACTCTTTCTTGCTTAGAAGTGCCCTTAAAGTTCTTCTCAGGACAGTTTCCCAAGTGTCTAACCTATCACGGTAGATGTGAGAATCCCATTTGCTAACTATGGGCTAGAATATAATGGAAATAATTCACCAGCAATTGCTTGGATAAGAGGTAAAAAATGTAAAAAGGAGAAATGTAGACCTGGATTGATGCTGTCTGTTCTACTCACCTGCTTTACAGTTTCTCCTATAGTTACCCTCTGGACCTCCTCTTTTTCTCCCTCTCCCAATTCACATTTCAAGTAGTTCCCTCAGGCCAGGCACGGTGGCTCAGGCCTGTAATCCCAGCAATTTGGGAGGCCGAGGCGGGTGAATTGCTAGAGCTCAGTAGCTCAAGACCAGCCTGGGCAACATGGTGAAACTCCGTCTCTACCAAAAATACAAAAAATTAGCCAGGCACAGTGGCATGTGCCTGTGTGGTCCCAGCTATTTGGGAGGCTTAGGTGGGAGGATTGCTTGAGCCAGGGAGGCAAAGGTTGCAGTGAGCTAAGATCGCATCACCGCACTGCAGCCTGGGTGACAGAATGAGACCCCATCTCCAAAACAAAAACAAAAACAAATTAACAACAAAAAACAATTATAGTTCCCTCATTCTCCACCCTAAACTCTCTACCTCTGAAGAATTTTACTCACCAAGTTACAAGGTATTTCTGGCCACAAGCTCCACTGTGAATTTTCAACAGTATAAAATGGTGTCTGACCAAAAACCTGCAAAACAAAGCTAGGAAACAGTCAAGGGAGTAGAGCTTCTCTTCATGTATATGACACAGTCCCTCTACAGCCACAGAGGAAGGGAGGTTCCATGGCTCTTTTATTTCAAGGGACACTAATTCTTAAATTTATTCTACTCCATCAACTTGCCCTGCACACATGCAAACAAGCTCTAAACAGACTGAATTGCACGATTCACTCATCTTTTGGCTCCACCACGCCCCAACCTGGGAGCTATCTTTCCTGTGGAGCCTGAGCCGACCTGAGAGCTATTTGCTTGTGTGCAAAGGCCAAGGCCCATGATATTAGAACATATTTACTTTGTGTACTCAGTATTCACTTTTCTCCCTGGACTTAGCAAATGTCTAAAATGTTTTCCCAGTGAAAAATAGCTTTGGGTTTACCTAAACTGGAGAAGATAGAGAGGACTAAAGATGTGGAGACTGGGGATACAAATTACACAGGGAGGCATTGAGAGTGTCCAAAATTGATAATGTAATTCTAGGATACCATCCCCTTTTGTCATGGAAAAGAGACTGTCACCTAGGCAACCCCCTTTGAAATGGATGGGAAAGGACTTCTATGTTTACAGGTATGTAAACTTAAGCAGTCTCATCATGGGCAACAAAATGTCTTCAAAGTGTCCCAGAAGTATTTGCAGAAAACTAGACGGGCTGAAGCTCCAATTACTGGCTGAACTCTCAGCACATCATGTCAGTCTGACCATCTCCCCTAGATGAACAGCCTCACACTTTTGTTAGTCTATGGCCCTCTTCCCTCAATCCCATTTGTCCCTTGTCACTGGCTGTGAGGTGCTGAAGGAAGGTGATGTTGCTGTCTGCATGTTACAATTGTAAGTCTGTAAAGGAGACTCAGTCCTTAGGGATCTCTCTCTGCTCTGCACTCAGTGTGTAACACAACACACACTGAGTGGGGTGTTAAGCTACCTTTAAGGAGTGGCAGTAGGACTGTGAAGTTATGAGATTATGTGGGAGTGGGGTTTGGAAGCAGTTTCACTACCCGACATTTATACCATAGAGGGCACAGGCTAATGTGGAAAACACATCAGGCCTGGAGCCAGCAGACCTGGTCAGCTCCTAGAACCGCCCTAGATTCACTGTGTGATCTTAGGCATATCATTTAACTTTTTTGTTTGTTTGTTTGTTTTTGAGATGGAGTCTGGCTCTGTCACCTGGGCTGGAGTGCAGTGGAATGATCTCGGCTCACTGCAACCTCCGCCTCCTGTGTTCAAGTGATTCTCCTACCTCAGCCTCCCTAGTAGCCGGGATTACAGGCATGCGCCACCATACCTAGCTAATTTTTATATTTTCAGTAGAGATGGGGTTTCATCATGTTGGCCAGGATGGTCTTGAACTCTTGACCTCAAGTGATCTGCCTGCCTCGCCCTCCCAAAGTGCTGGGATTACAGCAAATCATTTAACTTCTGAGATCCGTTGGTAAAAAGGGAAAATACTTCCTACTTCACACGGTGACTATGGGAATTAAGTGGTAGAAATTTGTAAACTTAAGGAGTATTCAACATGAACTACTACTGCTGTCTCTCTTTATAGGCCACAGCTGCCTAAGTGGCTAGGACTTTCTTATACTCTTGGCTGGAACTCCCCTCCCCAATCACTCTCTGTTTCTAGAACATTATTGTGAATTGTTTTAATTGTGTTGGTGAATTGACTGATTAACGGGTCTTAAGATTACTTCTCGGCCAGGCGTGGAGGCTTACGCCTGTAATCCCAGCACTTTGGGAGGCCGAGGCAGGCGGATCATCTGAGGTCTGGAGTTTGAGATCAGCCTGACCAACATGGAGAAACTCCGTCTCTACTAAAAATACAAAAGATTAGCTGGGCGTGGTGGTGCACGCCTGTAGTCCCAGCTACTTGGGAGGCTGAGGCGGGAGAATCACTTGAACCCAGAAGGTGGAGGTTGCAGTGAGATGAGATTGTGCCACTGCACTCCAGCCTAGGCAACAAGAGCAAAATCTGTCTCAAAAAAAAAAAAAAAGATTACTTCTGAAACCTTCATTAAGACAGTGGCAGAGACAATAGTAAGAGTGAGAAACACATAAAAGACCCACTCCCCGAGAGGCCTTTTCCTTATCCTCATTTTAATCCTGTTGCCTGACACCACCATCCATCCAAGCACCCAAGCCTGTTACCCTTGCTTCCTTTCTTCCTGTTACCACCTTGCCCAACACTTAAACAGTGACATGGTCCTATATTTTGTTTTGTTAACAATCTCCTCTACTTATCCCATCCTCCTCTCCCCTTTCCCTTTAGACCCTCATTACTTCCCACCTAGATGATTGAAACAACCTCCTAACCGCTTTCCCTTCCTCCATTAAGGTCTCCTGCCCACCCATTGGCCAGACCTCTGCAGAGTAGTTTTCTCGGATGAAAGTCTGAACATGTTACTCCTTTACTTCAAATCCTTCGATGGCTCTCTAACACCTTGGGGTAATGTCCAAACTCCTAGGCATAGTTTGCCTGATCTCCAGGGCTTGGCGCAGCCTGCCTGTGCAGCTTATCTCTTGTGGCATCTCACCCTTACAACTGTTCTTCAGCCTTCCTGAGTTACTTACAATTTGCCCCAAAGTGTCAAAGGATTGTGTTCTTTGGTGCCTTTACTTTCTCTGTTCTGTCTATAATGCTTTTGTTTTTCTTGCTATTCACTCCCTAGTCTTTTCCTCCTATTTTTATTCTTTTTTTTTTTCTTTCTTTTTGAGGTGGAGTCTCGCTCTGTCACTTAGGCTGGAGTGCAGTGGTGCAATCTCGGCTCACTGCAACCTCCGCCTCCTGGGCTCAAGTGATTCTCGTGCCTCAGCCTCCTGAGTAGCTGGCACTACAGGCTCCCGCCACCACGCCCGGCTAATTTTTGTATTTTTAGTAGAGACAGGATTTCACCATGTTGGCCAGGCTGGTCTCAAACTCCCAAATTCAGGTGATCCCCCCACCTTGGCCTCCCAAATTGCTGGGGTTACAGGCATGAGCCACCGTGCCCCGCCTCCTCCTATTTCTTTATGCACCCTTTCCTCCTCACCTTCTGCTTCCAGTTACCTGTCAAGTACCTCCTTGTCTTTTAATATTTGTCTTGTGTCAGCTTTTCCTGACTTTTCCAGGTAGGGATGATCTCTCTGTCTCATGAGTACTGTACTCCCACTGCCTCCTAAAAACTTCTGTCATGTCACCCAGACCTTCAATAAATATCTCTCACACTAGACTGGGAATTCCATGAGGACAGGAATGCAGGGATGGTGTCATTAATATGTGCATCCCCAATACTAAGCCCAGCCCAGGGGCTGGCACAAAGTAACCACCCAATAACCATGTGTGGGATAGAGAGGGTGCTTCTCCCACTTGACTGAAATTTCGCCTTTTAGTATATACCATCTTATGGGAAAGGGTGCATCAAGATGAGTCACAATTCATAAGGCACCAGTGTTAAAATGTCACCAAGGATTTAAACCAAAAAAGATTCAGGATAAGTCCAGGTTTGAGTTTAAGAATACTTTGATGTTTGAGGTTTGTTTTAGTTGCATAGATTAAGGAAATAGATAGGTTTGTTCCAGTCAACAACAATTTCTATGCACTAAACACCTGGTAAAGGGAGTAGAGCAGAATAAATAATCCTCAGTCCTTGTCCTGCAGAAATTCACTGTCTCATAATCTACTGGGGGCCACACACACACACACACACACACACACACACACACACACATACAACTCAAGAGAGTTGCAAAGTGCCAAGGGGCTCAGAAGCAGAGAAGTTCCCATCAGGAGGTTCCAATGCTGAGGACCTAGGAATTCCTTAAGGAGAATGGAATTTAAGCAGAGATTTGAAGAGTATTTAAGATTTTCGTAGGTGGAACTATGGGAAAGGTATTCCTGGCAGAAAACAGACACAGCCCAAGGAGAGGTTCAGAGGTGGGGGAATGCCAGGGGTACCCAGTGAGGGTAGACCTCTGTCAACAGAGCACTGGGGATCAGCAGAGGGTATGATGAGAAGTAACTTTGGACAGGTAAAGGCAAGTAAGGAGGCTGGGGATTTAGGATCTGATGACATCAACAATGGGAAGCTTTTGGAGATTTTACAGGTGGTTCTGGTTCATGTTTATTTGCTCAAATTAAAAGAGTTTTTTTATTTAAGAAGACATTTAGTAAAACCCCAAATAACAACAAACAAACAAAAAAAGTCACTCAGCTCTGTGAGATTCACTATTCAGCTGCTGATGAAATATTTGTATTTAAATCTGAGAATGCTTACCGGGAGGGAAAGAAATGTGTTGAAAAAATCGGCAAAGACTTCATCCTCTAGCAGAATTATAAGATTTGTAGAACCAATTATCTCTATATGGAGAGAGAGAAATAAAAAAACAAAACATGAACCAGAATTGCATTCAGGTTCAGAAAATGAAGCAATCGAATGGATCATTTCACGTTGCCAAATCTCAGCATGATGACAGCCTCTAGGGTCATGCAATTCAATTTGCATGTCCTTCTCCAGGACTCTCTTTTTCAATATCGTTCTGCTTAAACACTCCCAGCTGTGGGGAGCTCACTGACTCAGGTATGCCCATTCCGTTTATGAAGAAGGCGAAGTGGTAGATTTCTTTTTTCCTACTGTGACTGTCTTCCTTTATCTTATGTATGTAAAAATCACGCCCTCTGAAGCTTGACAGAATTCACTTAAGTCCCCTTAAAAGGGACAGTGCTTCCAGTATTTATAAAGACATCACAGACGTCTGCTTACCTCCAACCCCACTGGCTAGTCACCAGGCAATTCTTCAACCCATTCCTCACATGGCCTTCTCTCCATCTGGTTCTCTCATTGGCTGGAGTGGTACTCACAACTGAAATACTTCAAATGCTTCCCAGAGCAGAACATAAGAGAACCCTTGCCTAGGTTGCATCTGATGTTAGTGTAATGGGGCCTGAAGTGGGGTTAGCTTTGGGGGCTCTCATATTACACTATTAACTCCATTATGCTTTTACTTATGAGGTCACATTTCAGAAACCAAGGGCAGGAATGTACATTTATTCCAGTCAAATTTCAACTTGGTAGGTTTGGTCTAACATTACTGCCTGACAAGAGCTTTCTTGAATATTAATTTGATCATGCAACATACTTATTACTTCTCTCAGGTGTGATCATCGTGCTGCCCAAGTTAATTCAAGAAGATAATGTCATAAAGCCAAACACGGAGACCCCAGGTGAATGAAGCAACTAACTCCTCTAGTAAATAAGAGTTTCCTCTAATTTACTGTCTATGCTCCTTAGAGCACAATATTCAGCTAGTGAATAATAAACTAATTGTTTTATCAATGGCCCACCATCACTCAGTCATACCCAAAGTTCATAATGAAAGACTGAAAAATGGGTCCGAATACTATGCCCTAAGCTCATCTCTCAACCTAAGCATCTGATGAGGACAGTAAGTGCCATGCACAGTCACAAACATGTAGTTATGATATAAGAAAACTAAACAATCATTTTTCCTGATGACACTGGTGGTTGTTGGCTTCATATATTAGAAATAGAATTAGAAACTCCTGGCCAGGCATGGTGGCTCATGCCTATAATCCCAACACTTTGGGAGGCTGAGGCTGGTGGATTGCTTGAGGCCAGGAGCTCAAGACCAGGCTGACCAACATGATGAAACCCTGTCTCTACTAAAAATACAAAAATTAGCCAGGCATAGTGGCGGGAGCCTGTAATCCCAACTACTTGGGAGGCTGAGGCAGGAGAATCGCTTGAAGCCAGGAGGTGGAGGTTGCAGTGAGCCGAGATCGCACCACTGCACTCCAGCCTGAGTGACAGAGTGAGACTCTGTCTCAAAAAAAAAAAAAAGGAAACCCAGATAAACACTATTGTGAGTGACAGAGCTGGTATCAGCACTTGCCCTCTGTTCACATACATCTTTTTTCTTGCTGTCAAGTGCTATGTGTGTTTTATGTGTACCCCTCCCAAGCCCTCTGCTCTTCTTTTTATAAGCAGTCCTTGATTTATTTAATCTATTCCATATGGGTGATTCCAAAATCTGTGTTTTCAGTCCAGGCTTCTCTCCTTCACTCTGGTTTTAAATATACATGAGCTATGGGCCAGCTCTACATGCATATCCATCAGGCACTTTCATCTCAACATGTTCAATGTGTCCAGGCCTCCCAACCTGCTCCTTTTCCTACATTCCCAGTCCCAGTTACTGGAATTATCATTCAATAAATTATCTAATCCTGAAAACTGAGGCTCTTCTCTCTGTCTCTGTCCCTGTCTCTCACTCTCACTCTCACTCTCAATCTCTCTTACTCTTGCTCTTACTCTCTTGTTCTCTCTCTCTCCCCTCCATGTCCCTACATGCAATGGGGGATCATGCTGTATGGTTTCTCTTTGTACCTATCTCTGGAATCTGTCTTCTCCTTTCCATCCATAAAGTTACTCTTCCATTACAGGCCTCTATGCTCTCTCACCTAGACTTCTGCATCAGCTTCTTAAATGGTCTCCCTAGCTCCCACCTCTTGCCCTTCCAACCACCCTACACGTACTGCCACCATAATCTGTTGATATTATTATTGTTAAAGTCTTTCAAAATCTCCTTGATGTCCTAGAAGGTAAAGTCCAAACTCTCTAGTATAGTATCTGAGGCTTTACCCCATCTGGCTTTTGAGTTTCCTCCCAGTCTCATTTCCTGCCTCTCTGCGCACTCTGCCTCCTGTTTGCAAGCTAAGCCAAGGCATTGCTGTTTCCTGCATGTGCTAGGTACTCTCACTTGAAACCTCCATGTCTTTGTTCCCATATTCCCATTGCTTCAAATGTTTTCTTAAGCACAGTCAGCTCACAAATTAATAGTCATCCATTAAGAACTGGTTTACATATAATCTTGGTGAGCCAAGAAAGGTAGAATCTACTGCAATGGTAGAATTCATCACTATCTCCCTATACCATCACGTATATCCTCCATTATTACAATTAACAAGTCTGACTGTTTTTATCCATCGATATATCTGTCTTCCTCATCAGACTGAGCGTGTGAGAGGAGGGACTTTGTTTTTTCACCTTTCTTCCTCTAGGCTCTAAAAGTGTTTGCACAATGTCTAAGTTCTGTAAATGTGGAATAAATTGTTCTTTCAAAAGATAATCTTCAATCTTTTTTTTTTTTTTTTTTTGCCAAAGTCTCACTCCGTCACCCAGGCTGGAATGCAGTGGCAAGATCTCAACTCACTGCAGACTCTGCCTCCCAGATTCAAGTGATTCTTGTGTCTCAACCTCTCCAGTAGCTGGGATTACAGTGCATGCCACCACACCTGGCTAATTTCTGTATTTTCAGTAGAGATGGGGTTTTACCATGTTGGCCAGGCTGGTCTTGAACTCCTGACCTCAGGTAATCCACCTGCCTCAGCCTCCCAAAGTACTAGGATTACAAGGGTGAGCCAACGCTCCCAGCCAATGATTTTCAATCTTTTGGACTTTTGTTTGTTTATCATTCATAGAGTCTAACATGGATTTGTTGAATGAGTATATTACTGAGCCCATCTGAATACAGAAAAGTGGGGTTTGGCAGAAATTCCCTAGTGATTGTTGTTCACAGCTACACACACCGCTGGTGGCAAGGGGCCTGACTATGCTAGGGCTTGCCATTGCCAAAACAGTCTTAAGGAGATATAGAGACAAGGCTCTGTACATCCTTCCCTTCCTCATCCTCTCATTTCTCCATTCTTGTTTTTCCTTCTTACCTGTTCTGCCTTCAAACTTCCTAATAATTTGAGAAGGCTTTTAGCACCCATTCCACGCCATAATAATATTGACTTGGCAACAAATGAAATCACTGCATAATCTCAAACCCCATACCAGTCTTCTCTCTGGAGGAGAGGTGGCCCAATCCACATTTTACTTCCTCCCTCTTGCCTTAGTTGTCTTATGAATAAGGCCCTGTACTATCCTCAAAGATCTGGTGGCAGAAGGTAGGAGGAAGGGGAAGAAGGAGAAAGAGAAGGAAAACAAAGGCATGAATAACACAAAAGTCACCCATGGTGCCCCTGAATGGCTCAGATCTATTAACAATTGGGAAGATGAATGGTTTGCCTTATTTGAGAGACTCAAGGCCTTGGAGACATCCCTGGCAGAGACTCACCAGCACTGCTCATGTTGCCATGCTCTTCCTGACACAGTAATTTGTTAGGGGCAGAATTACCCCCCAGTCAATAGAACTATATCCATTGTGAACACGTAATGACACCTTCTCTAAGGGGTTCCAGATTCTATCTGGCAGTGATCTACTTACCTCTGGTGTAGGCCTTAATCTGAAGATAAGTCTTTATCTTACCTAATCTGCTGAATCCCCTTGGACATACAAGACTCCTCCTATACTTAAGCCTTTAGTTCATACTATTTTATTTGACAAGTTCTTTATAATTGTGCCCAAGATCTCTTGTCTGCTCCAACCTCTCCCATGCTAGGGTGACTTTTGCATTGCTAAACTCAGCTCCTAAGGGTCTTGTAAACGGTTACATTTGATGTAATTTTAATAAGCAGTAACTCCTGGATATTCTGCCCATTTAAAACATCAACCTCCATTGCTTCAGCCCAGGAATTCAAGGCTGCTGTGAGCTGTGATCACACCACTGAACTTCAGCTTGGGCAACAGAGTGAAACCTCATCTTTAAAAAATTAAAATTAAAACATCAGCTTCCAAGAGGTTTGAACTCCCTTCCTCTGAAGACTCTTCAGGCTCTTGGTTTTCTCATTAAACAACTCTTCATTTCTCCTGTTCTTCCCTAATAGGAAGTAAATATTAAGATGAGAGACCAAAAGCCCTATAATCCTTCAAACTTTAGCCAAGAATTACTGAGAATAGAATTCTTCAGTGTCACACCCAGAGAGGGCTTTTAAGTCTTGGGATTGTAGGGAAGCTTATATAATGTCCAAAAGGCTTTCCTATGGGGGGTGGAGGGAAAACTGAAAACTGGAAGGATTATTGTTAATAATGAATCGTCAATACAATATCACTTACATTTGAAAAAGTGCTGTACTTTCTTTAGAATATATAAAGACCAAATACTGCATTTTAAAGTGATTTTAGTGAGAAGAGATTCTTGCTTTACATCTTGATGTTCTATGTATTGCAAGATGAGATTGTAGCTTACCATACTTCTTCAATCTGTTATCAATTACCTTATTCACCTTATTAATTAGTCAGTTTAACATGCACACATCTTAAGAGAGTTCAGTGTGAAGCACTGCATGATTCTACAATATCATATTATTCCTTGAATTATCACCTCTTTTGCAAAATAAATAGAGTCAAGGTCTCCTCCTAAAATAATGGCATATACAGTAGTAATATATGCTCACATTCCTTAAGATGGAATGCTTTCAGACTGTTTTCAATCAAGCTGTGTGCACCTACCCTTGAGTCCTAATTGCTGCCCCACCGTCTTTCCCACAGTTCAAAAAGGCTGACTGTTGGAGCCATTAACAACCAAATAGGGTCACTCTAAAAACAGTAAAGATGAAAAGCCAGTATCACTGGCTAAATCTTGAAATGCATAATGGTTAGATCCCTGACCCTTTCATGACCTTCTAGTTCCCAAAAGAAAAGGGCACCAGATGTCTCCCAAATGTGTGGTAATAAGAATTACCTTATTGACAGGGTTGTTGTTAAAAACCTAAATTGCCGGGACCGTCCCCTGGCAATTCTGATTTAGAAGGGGTGGGGCTCAGGAGTCTGTATATTTTCCAAGTGCCCCCAGATAATTATTATCATCAGGTAAATATAGAAAATATTGGGGCCAGATGCAGTGGCTCACGTCTGTAATCCCAGCACTTTGGGAGGCCAAGGTGGGTGGATCACTTGAGGACAGGAGTTAGAGACCAGACTGGCCAACATGGGGAAACCCCTTCTCTACTAAAAATACAAAAAAATTATCCAGATGTGGTGTTGCGCACCTGTAATCCCAGCTACTCAGAAGTCTGAGGCACAAGAATTGCTTGAATCTGGGAGGCAGATTTTGCAGTGAGCTGAGATCGTGCCATTCCACCCCAGCCCGGGCAACAGAATGAGACTCTGTCTCAAAAACAAACAAACAAACAAACAAACAAACAAACAAACAAATAAATTGGTTTCTAAATGAAATAGAGCTGCATTCACATCTCAGATCTGACATTTACTAGATCTGATCTGGTTTGCAAAACTCTGGGCATCTCCTTTTCCCAAGTGCACAGTTACCCTGGAAATGACAGCAGGTCTCTTTGGCAAAGATTAAGAAGAATATTCACCGTAAATACTTGCAAAATATTACAAGATTCTTCCTAACTGGTAAAATGCTTTTTTTTTTTTTTTTAAATTTCAGAGCTTCTAGGTCTGACTCAGGGCTGAAAATTGGATGAGGGACCTGATTTTCTACCATGATGGCTCATTTTAGGCTCCTGTTCATTCACTCAACAAATATTTATTGGGCAGGTCTATGTGACACAAACTGTTCTAGGTGTTTGTGATGCAACACTGAATAAACAGTCTAAAATCCTTGCCATCACAGAGCTTATACTTTCCAGTAGAATCTTATTGAATGAACACACATTTTTTAAGGACCCCATGATCAATAACCACTATAAAGAATCTGTGGGTTAGATCATTCAGATATCCACACAGGCTCAACTGCCTATTATGATAACTACGCTTATTTTGTTTTTGATGGTTAACACGACCTCCAGTAGAAATAAGAACCAATTTCAACTACAACACATCTTTTTCAGCATTTGTGGTTGTCCCCATTGTGCCACTACTGCTAGCACCACCGCTATTGAGTGTTTGTTGTCATAGGCACTGCCATGCATAACCTCTCATTGCTCCTGAGCTTCTGAGTCTTCCTTCAAGATGAAAAGTTTTGGGCTGGTCATGGTAACTCATGCCTGTAATCCCAGCATTTTGGGAGGCTGTGGCAGGTGGATCGCTTGAGTCCAGGAGTTTGAGACCAGCCTGGGCAACATAGTAAGACCCTACCTCTATTAAAAAATGATTTTTAAAATTAAATGTGTATATATTCTATATTTAATTATATATCATATATTTAATTTTAAAGATTAAATGTATATATCATATATTTAATTTTAAAGATTAAATGTATATATCATATATTTAATTTTAAAGATTAAATGTATATATCATATATTTAATTTTAAAGATTAAATGTATATATCATATATTTAATTTTAAAGATTAAATGTATATATCATATATTTAATTTTAAAGATTAAATGTATATATCATATATTTAATTTTAAAGATTAAATGTATATATCACATATTTAATTTAAAAAATAAATGTATATATCATATATTTAATTTTAAAAATTAAATGTATATATCATATATTTAATTTTAAAAATTAAATGTATATGTCATATATATCATATATTTAATTTTAAAAATTAAATGTATATGTCATATATATCATATATTTAATTTTAAAAATTAAATGTATATGTCATATATATATTTAATTTTAAAAATTAAATGTATATGACATATATATCATATATTTAATTTTAAAAATTAAATGTACATATCATATTTAAATTTTAAAAGTGAATGTATATATCTATATTTAATTTTAAAATTGAATATGCATTATATATAATTAAATATAAATTTATAAATATAAATATATATACATAAAAGTTCTGGGTGGAGGATCTGATTGCTGAGTCCAGGACAGGATATCCATGTCCTTACTGCCAGGGCCAGGAGAGAGACTGTCTGGTCCCCTCTGGCATCCATAGTGGGAGACAGTCCCTCCAAGACTCACACAATAAATTTTCACTCTAAATAAAAAAGAAGGTCAGAGAGTGAGTGACCAAAAGGTTTTTGAGATACACACACATATCTCTATGTTAACTGGATTCTGTGCTTAGTCATATGCATCTAACTTTAACAGGAAGAAGAACTACATCATGTTTACTGGGTGCTTGGACAATACTTGCTTATATACTTTTCCTGCTCTTCTCTCTATCCCTCTGTCACTTCGTTTAAATGGGTCATTCAATACCAAATGGAGAGTAAGTGCCCTTTCCAGGCTCATGTAAATATGGTGCCCTCTGGTGCACGGTGTTGAACATTACACTTTTCTTTTCAAAACTCCACTCTGTAATTTGAAGGTTTTGTTTCTGTTTTTCCCCAAACATAATCTTCAGTTCGTTTTACTTTCCAAAGTAATTAGGATCACTGTCAGAGTGCTCACACCTGCTGTGACATGAGAAGTACAGAAAGGCCCTTGTCATCCGAATAGTAGGTCTGCCTATTCCACCATCGTATCTGGCCTTAACTATAATCCTCTGTGGCTTTGTAGGCGCCTGTTAATATTATTTTACCTGGAAGATACAGTTGTGAGATATAATATTTGGAGGCAATCATTTACTACAAGAGATGAATTTATTAGTGTCAGGCTTCTGAGCCCAAGCTAAGCCATCATATCCCCTGTGACCTGCACGTACACATCCAGATGGCCGGTTCCTGCCTTAACTGATGACTTTCCACCACAAAAGAAGTGAAAATGGCCTGTTCCTGCCTTAACTGATGACATTACCTTGTGAAATTCCCTTTTCTGGCTCATCCTGGCTCAAAACTCCCCCACTGAGCACCTTGTGACCCCCACCCCTGCCCGCCAGAGAACACCCCCCTTTGACTGTAATTTTCCTTTACCTACCCAAATCTTATAAAACGGCCCCACCCCTATCTCCCTTCACTGACTCTCTTTTCAGACTCAGCCCGCCTGCACCCAGGTGAAATAAACAGCCTTGTTTCTCACACAAAGCCTGTTTAGTGGTCTCTTCACACGGACGCGAGTGAAAATTACTATTTAACAAGACTTCAAAAGTACTCAAAATGGAATGGTTCTAAGGGTTAACACATGGTTTTGGTATTTCTTTAACTTTCATCTTTGTGGAGAAATAATATCTTGAAATACTAATACTTGGGTTTTGGTTCCCAACCCTTGCAGATGACTTTTCCTCTATTAGTCAAAGATCTTGCATCAAGATGAGGTCAGATTATAATAGCAAAAAACAAAAAGTCAATTTTAGGTTAAAAAAATCTAAAATATGCTCTTAATATCAAAAAGGGGAGGTGTCACCAGGGGTGGTGGCTCACAGCACTTTGGGAGGCCAAGGCTGGAAGATCACTTGAGCCCAGGAGTTTGAGACCAGCTTGGGCAACATGACAAGACCCAGTCTTTACAAAAATCAAACAGAAAAAAAATTAGCTGGGTGTGGTGGTGCCACCTGTAATCCCAGCTCTGGAGGGTGGGTTGTGGGGGAGCTGAGGCGGGAGAACTGCTTGAGCCAGGGAGTTCGAGGCTACAGTGAGCTGAGATGGTGCCACTGCATTGCAGCCTGGGTAATAGAGCAAAACCCTGTCTCAAAAAAAGAAAAAAAAAAAAATCAGGAGGAGGCCTGAGTGAAGTAGAAAACAACTTTACCATATCAATGGGAAAGCATGTACAGGGGAGCAGATTCCCTGCCCCCTCAACTTCAAGGGTACGAGAGGAGGTTCAACAAAGCTAGAGGAAGGAGGAGCTGCAAGGCTTGGCCAAGGCAAATATATCCAAGGTTGTTGGGGAGAAACAAGGGGCTGGAAGCCAGAGGTGACAACCAGGAAAAGGGCAGAACCTACAGGGGGTGCTGCAGAGCCCCACTGGTCCCCAGGACCAGAGAGAAGCACAGAATCTGAAATGCACCTGAGGCATATTTTACTTCCATGCGAGGGACCCCTGTTCATCTCTAGTGGGGAGCAGCGTTGTTGCCTGATCGTTCCAACAATGCAGGTGTCAGCTTTCTGTGGAAGCTGCCTGCTGGTCACATGCCAAACATCCAACACATGCATGCCATCCCACATTCTGAGACGTGGCTGAGCCCCCACCTCTCAATGACATTGGGAAGCACCCTCCACCCCCACAATAACTCAGAATGCCCACCAACCCCCAAAACTAGGGGGTGAAGGTCCCTGACAACCAAACAACTCATTCCTGCTGTACCTTCACTTTTGACTGAGAAAATTAAAAAGGAAGAGTAGGGCCAGAACCAAAGGATGCATTTGCTTTAGGAACTAGAAAAAAAAAGGAAACAAGACAGTTGATAACCCTCTAGAGTCCCTGATCCCGCCCTCTATCCTAACTGGATGCTTTAGTCTTGTCAGGAGTGAGGAAAGCTTGACAGATTCTTCATGTCCTGGAGAAAGCAGGGGAATGGCCAGGCGCGGTGGCTCACGCCTGTAATCCCAGCACTTTGGGAGGCCGAGGCGGGCGGATGATGAGGTCAGGAGTTCAAGACCAGCCTGGCCAACATTGTGAAACCCCATCTCTACTAAAAATACAAAAATTAGCCGGGCGTGGTGGCATGTACCTGTAATCCCAGCTACTTGGGAGACTGAGGCAGGAGAATCGCTTGAACCCAGGAGGCAGAGGTTGCAGTGAGCCGAGACCACGCCAGTGCACTCCAGCCTGGCGACAGAGCGAGACTCTGTCTTGAAAAAAAAAAAAGCAGGGGAGCAGCAGAATGGGAGGCATGAAGGCACTCTTTGCCAGAGTCCCCAGTAATTTGACTCTACTTGGCGTTCTACCCTCCTTGACACCCAGCTATAGCATTATGTGACATAGCTAAATATCTAGCTACCTTAAGCCACTTTCTTAACCCTTTTGAGTTTTAGATTACTTACCTCTAAACCTCCCTGATAAGACATTTGTGAGGATTAAAAAGAAAAATATGGAGCATAAACAAGCCATTGAACTTTATTATACATGAGAACCACAAAGGAGTAGTTCCGGATGAGTTTATTGCTTGGAAATCAATCAGATATGTACAGAGCAATGGGCTGAAAGGCCTGGAAGAAGAATTTTCTAGACTCTACACTTGGGGAGACGGGGCTGAAGAAAGTCTGGAAGCAGACAAGCCTCTGAGCTCTCACTACATGCAGGGTGTTGCTTTGTTCTATTAAACCCTGCAGAGGGCTGGACATGGTGGCTCACATCTGTAATCCCAGCATTTTGGGAGGCAGAGGCAGGCAGATCACTTGAGCCCAGGAGTTCGAGACCAGCCAGGGCAACATAGGGAAAACTCATCTCTACAAAAATAAAAAATTAGCTGGGCATGGCGTGACGGCTTGCACCTGCAGACCCAAGTTTGGGAGGCTGAGGTAGGACGATTGCTTGAGCCCAGGAGATTGAGGCTGCAGTGAGTGGTGATTGCATCACTGCACTCCAACTGGACAATTGAGTGAGACCCTGTCTAAAACAAACAAACAAACAAACAAAAAATCCTGCAGAAGAAGTTACCTTCAAGGGTCCCATGTTTCATTTGATAAATCACAAAGTAATCAAAGGAAAGACCTCAAGAACATTCTAGGAGATCTGAAGAGTCAAAAACAGTCTCTTCAATATGAGCATTGAAGAGGTCCAGAACAAGAAAGAATGAGGAGGTGGTTATTGTAATGGGTAGATTATCATGTACTAAATATGACTAGCGGTAGGAATTCTATGTGCTGGGTGAAGGATATTTACAAAAAGGCCCAAAGGCAGGATATCATGAATTTATTTTAATGTCCTCATGGAAGGAGAATGAGGGATGCAGAGACATGCAGGGCACACAGATCACTGTTGCTGGAATTGAGGAGAGAGGGAAAGGGAGCGAAATACTTGGGGAGCTAAGAGTGAGGGCCATAGTTGCATGCCTTGTTTCATTCTCCTGTCCTCTGCACACTGCTCAGGAAATGAGACTGAGAGAAACCAGAAGGGGAAGGAGGGTATGCCTGTCCCAGAGAAGTCTGATGCCTCAGCATGAGACACCTCTGAAAGAAGGATGCAGGATTATCCTCTCTGGCAGCTCCACCTCCCACAACTTCTCATCCAGATGTCCTGGAGTATGCAGGCAATAGAGAACCAATTGTGGCACATCCAGGTTCAGGCCTTAACAAAAATGTAGCAATACCACCAAAAGGAGAAGCCATAGATCCAGATCATCAAAATTGGCACTGAAGATCACATGCCAACAGAAGAAGGTGGTGACAAACATAATGTCATTTCTGTCATCATCCATCCACTGATATAGCCAGAGATTGGTTTGAACAGCATAAAGCCTATGTGCATCAGCCAAGAGCCTGTGATCATATACAAAAAGGCCTTCGTGATCCAGATCAGTGGCATGTTGGGAGCCCACAGCTCTGCGGTCACCACCAGAGTCAGCAGGAACATGGCCTGGGTGAGCAGCACTTGAGACTGAAGCTCCACTCCTTCTGTGTCCTGCAGGTAAGACACCATCAGGGGCAGAAATATGAACATGCCCAGAGCCTGGGCACCTTGCTCCAGAGCAGCACATCTCTTGGGCAGCAGGTTCTGGCTCACCATGTCTACACACCCACTCAGCAAGAAAGTCATATAGAGAGTGAGATGCTGCCACTGTTTGCGGAACATAAAGTTTCTCTGATGATACATCTTGCTGATAAGCACAAACTGTCTAGGAATGCTGTGCAACTCTTGGGCTACTAAAATGCAGGCACTCAATATCTTCAGCAACCCATTGTAGTATATTTGCCATAGCCTCGCCCATCTTCCTTTGCTCCAGGGATGGCGTGGTGGATACTGGACAGGGGCATTGCATATTAAGGCTCTGGAGACAAGTTGTGCATGATAAAGTCCATAGAAGAAGAAAGACAGCCCTGGGTACAGATGACCCTCGAAGCCTCCCATTGAACTGAAAGTAGGTCTGATCAAAGGCAGAAGCAAAAGGCTCAGGAATGACCATTCACTCAGGGCCACCTCAGTCTCTAGAATGTGGAGGGGGCCTCCTAAGGCTTAGTTATATTCTCTATCCAGCCCACTGAATCCACATACAGAAAGGAAATGGTTTTGGAGGAGGCCCAAACCTATGGTTGGGTGGGTGTCATGGTTTCCGTCTGGTCTTCTGCTCTGGTTCATTGGTAATCAGCTAACCGTTGACAAACAATGAAATAAGCATATTGTCCAGCATAATCCTTGGGCGTCTGCCATTCTCAGAGACTATGCTAGAGGTCCCCCTCTTGCCTCTCCTCCCACAAACCCTTGACCCCATTACTCCCTTCCTTACCTCACTCCTGTACTAGTCTGTTCAGGCTGCTGTAACAAAATACTATAAACTTGTGTCTTATAAACACTAGAAATTTGGCTAGACACAGTGACTCATGCCTGTAATTCCAGCATTTTGGGAGGCTGAGGTGGGAGGATTGCTTGAGCCCAGGAGTTCGAGACCAGCCTGGGCAACATGGTGAGACCTCATTTCTACCAATTAAAAAAAAAACAAAAAAATTCTTTTAAAATTAGCTGGGTGCAGTGGTGTGCACCTGTAGCCTCAGCTGTTCTGGAGGCTGAGGCAGGAAGATCCCTTTAGCCCAGGAGGTCAAGGCTGCAGGGAGCCATGATCACCTAATCTTGTGGCCTTTCATTAGCCTTACAAAGGTAGTTTCAGGCTGGGTACGGTGGCTCACGCCTGTAATCCCAACATTTTGGGAGGCCGTGGTGGGTGGATCACTTAAGGTCCAGACTCCAAGACCAGCCTGGCCAACATGGTGAAACCCTGTCTCTATTAAAAATACAAAAATTGTCTCCCTCTCCCTCTCCCTCTCCCTCCCCCTCTCCCCACGGTCTCCCTCTCCCTCTCTTTCCACGGTCTCCCTCTGATGCCAAGCCGAAGCTGGACTGTGCTGCTGCCATCTCGACTCACTGCAACCTCCCTGCCTGATTCTCCTGCCTCAGCCTCCTAAGTGCCCGCGATTGCAGGCGCGCGCCACCACGCCTGACTGGTTTTTGTATTTTTTTGGTGGAGATGGGGTTTCGCTGTGTTGGCCGGGCTGGTCTCCAGCTCCTGACCACGAGTGATCCGCCAGCCTCGGCCTCCCAAGGTGCCGGGATTGCAGACGGAGTCTCGTTCACTCAGTGCTCAATGGTGCCCAGGCTGGAGTGCAGTGGCGTGATCTCGGCTCGCTACAACCTCAACCTCCACCTCCCAGCCGCCTGCCTTGGCCTCCCAAAGTGCCGAGATTGCAGCCTCTGCCCAGCCGCCACCCTGTCTGGGAAGTGAGGAGAGTCTCTGCCTGGCCGCCCATCGTCTGGGATGTGAGGAACCCCTCTGCCTGGCTGCCCAGTCTGGAAAGTGAGGAGCGTCTCTGCCCCGCCGCCATCCCATCTAGGAAGTGAGGAGCGCCTCTTCCCGGCCGCCATCCCATCTAGGAAGTGAGGAGCGCCTCTGCCCCGCCGCCCCGTCTGGGATGTGAGGAGCACCTCTGCCCGGCCGCGACCCCGTCTGGGAGGTGAGGAGCGTCTCTGCCCGGCCGCCCCGTCTGAGAAGTGAGGAGCACCCCCGCCCGGCCAGCCGCCCCGTCCGGGAGGGAGGTGGGGGGGCCAGCCCCCCACCCGGCCAGCCGCCCCGTCTGGGAGGTGAGGGGCGCCTCTGCCCGGCCGCCCCTACTGGGAAGTGAGGAGCCCCTCTGCCCGGCCACCACCCCGTCTGGGAGGTGTACCCAACAGCTCATTGAGAACGGGCCATGATGACAATGGCGGTTTTGTGGAATAGAAAAGGGGGAAAGGTGGGGAAAAGATTGAGAAATCGGATGGTTGCTGTGTCTGTGTAGAAAGAAGTAGACATGGGAGACTTTTCATTTTGTTGTGTACTAAGAAAAATTCTTCTGCCTTGGGATCCTGTTGATCTATGACCTTACCCCCAACCCTGTGCTCTCTGAAACATGTGCTGTGTCCACTCAGGGTTAAATGGATTAAGGGCGGTGCAAGATGTGCTTTGTTAAACAGATGCTTGAAGGCAGCATGCTCGTTAAGAGTCATCACCACTCCCTAATCTCAAGTACCCAGGGACACAAACACTGCGGAAGGTGGCAGGGTCCTCTGCCTAGGAAAACCAGAGACCTTTGTTCACTTGTTTATCTGCTGACCTTCCCTCCACTATTGTCCTACGATCCTGCCAAATCCCCCTCTGCGAGAAACACCCAAGAATGATCAATAAAAAATAAATAAATAAATAAATAAATAAATAATAAAAATAAATAAAAATAAAAATACAAAAATTAGCTGAGGATGGTGGTGCATGCCTGTAATCCCAGCTACTCAGGAGGCTGAGGCAGGAGAATCACCTGAACCCAGGAGGCGGAGGTTGCAGTGAGCAGAGATTGCACCACTGCAGTCTAGCCTGGGCTACAGAGTGAGACTCTGTCTCAAAAAACAAAAAAACAAGAAAAACAAATGTAGTTTCAGTCTCCAAACAAGGAGGGAGTCAGTTTTAGGGAGGGACTGTTATCTTTCTTGCCTCAAAGTTAAACTATAAACTAAATTCTTCCCACAGTTATCTTGGCCTATGCCCAGAAATGAGCAAGGACAGTCAGCCTGTGAGTCTAGACGCAAGATGGAGTCAGTTAGGTTAGATTTCTCTCACTGTTATAATTTTTTCAAAGGCAGTTTTGCTGTGATTTGAATACCCACTCCAAGACTCATGTTGGAATGTAATATTGCCACAGTGACAGTATTAAAAGGTGGGACCTTTAAGGGGTAATTAGGTAATGATGGCTCTGCTCTCAAGAATGGATTAATTCCGTTATCACAGGAATGGATACTTAGTGAGCACTCATAAACAGAATGAGTTCTGCCCAATTTCCTCTGTCTGCCCAATTTCCTCTATCTGCCCAATTTCCTCTCTGTCTCTCTCATGCACTCACTCACCATGTGATGCCTTCTGCAATGCAACTCACTCACCAGATGCTGGTGCCATGCTCTTGGACTTCCCAGCCTCCAGAGCTGTGAGTCAAATATGCTTTTGTTCTTTATAAATTACCCAGTCTGTGATACTCTATTATAGCAACAGAAAACAGAATAAACAAGTAAATAAATAAGAATAAATAAGTAAGTACTTTAAGTTTACAACAAGTAAACTTTCCAGGCAGTTCTTTCCACTCCATCCCCACCCACTGCCCTTGTTCAGGTATCATCAACTCTGAGTTATTGAAACATGTCTAATCAAGTTCCAATACTCATCTGTTCCTTTCCAAATAACAGATAGATGAGCTTTGGGAATTGAGAGCTAATCATAATATTGACTAATTTAAGTTATCCAGTGGAATCTCATGGCCTTGTAGATAAAGTCCGTGTCTTTAGAATAAGCTTCAAGGATCCTTATGCTTTGGCCTGGTCTCATTTCCAGTCCCTTCCCACATGTGCCATTGCCCCAGGCTTATCAGAAGCTTCTAGTTCAACCTGGAATCATCTTTCTGTCCCCTACACCATCTCTCTCTGGAGAACTCCTCTTCTTCCTTTTTCCTTCAAGTTTCAGCTTAAGCACTGAGTCCTCCCAGCTGGGGAGAATACTTCTCTATGCAACTTGTACATATCTGTATCATTGCGCTGGTTACACCATTTCATAACTGTTTATTTACGGAGGTGTCTGTAAAGTCAGAGACTATGTCTTGTCATCTTTGCCTCTTTAGTATCTAGCCCCATGCCTGGAGGTGCTGAATAAATGTTTGATGGATGAATAAGTGAGTAAACTATCAAATGATCATGTAGCCTCTACTGTAAAAGGCTTTATAATCTAGTTATGAAGACAGAACAGATACATACAAACGATGCCAGGTCACTGCTTGCTAAGTGCAAAGTGCCAAATGAGTGGAAAAAATGACCAGAGCTATGCAATTAAAGAAGAGAGCTCACTCCAACTGCAGAATCAGGGCATATGTGATCATTCTTAGTTAACAAGATGAAGAGACTATGATATGAGAGTTCAAACCTTGACTCCTTTGTCTTTGGGCACAGAGATGCAGAATGAAAAGATGTGGAACACTTGGTGTAATTATAACTTCTCAGCCAGAGACACAGACCCTTTTGCATAAACTAGTGTTTTCTAACACTTTTTTTCATATCTGTGTCCCTAAAAAGCCTTTTTCAACATGTTTCTACTCACCACCTTCTCCCTATGAAGACTTAACGTCACTCTGCACGTCCAAAGGTAGCAGGAGCGGGGAGTTGTTGCTATTGAGCCAGATGTACCACTGACACCTAGGATGGGGAAGGAGCAAGTGGTCAAACTTACCAACTGATGTTCCACAACCTTCACACATGGCCTCTACCTGAGACAACTCTCCAGGTATGCCTGTGGATACTTCGTTGCTCTCTGGCTTACCCCTCAGGGATAGTCTCTAGGGGGCATAAGTCCCAACAGTAAAGTGGGGGCATTGCTACACATCAGAGTCATCTTGGGGAGCTTTTTAAAAACACAGATTACCAAGTTTCATCCTGACCCTAATGGGCTGGAACCCAGGAATCTGCATTATGAATCACACCCCTCTCCCACCACTGGTGATTCCAGTACAGACGGTCCTTCACCGGTGCTTGGAAACCACCAACTTGGCCATTAAGCCACACCTGGACACCATCTCCCCACCCTCACTGATGCACAGATTCACTCAGGAGTGTGTGGCAACATCTTTATAACGGCAGAAGCCAGCAAAGTTTACCAGGAGAGGCTGGCACTCAGCTGGGGACAGGGAGGGCAAGGGAGGGAGCAGGCCAAGAGAGGGAGGCATAGGAGAAGGAGAAAAAGAGAGATAGAGAAGGCTGAGAGAGAACACGGAGAAGTCAGAAAGAACGCAAAGAGGTTGAAAGCAGTCCAGATTCTGAGAAGGCAGAAGCAAGGAAGGGGGTTCAAGGAAGCCCGAAAGCTGCGCTTTCTCTCTCAAGGGTGTGGGTGAAGTTAGAATTCCTCCTGGTCCAGGACCCTGGATACATTATGGGTTAGTAATTAAGAAAATGAGGAACCTGACTGTGTTTGAGACCTGGTTTGGCCATTTTCTAGGTGGATGTTTTAAAACAAGTTATTAGGCCAGGCGCAGTGGCTCACACCTGTAATCCCAGCACTTTGGGAGGCCGAGGTGGGAGGATCACTTAAGGTCAGGAGTTTGAGACCAGCCTGTCCAACATGGTGAAACTCCATCTCTACTGAAAATACAAAAATTAGCCAGCTGTGGTGGTATGCACTTGTAATCTCAGCTACTCAGGAAGCTGAGGCAGGAGAATCACTTGAACCCAGGAGGTGGAGGTTGCAGTGAGCCAAGATCGCACCACTGCACTCCAGCCTGGGCGACTAAGCAAGATTCCATCTCAAAACAACAACAATAACAAGTTGTTTATCTTCTCTAAAACTCAATCTCCTCATACGTAAATGAGGAATTATGGGGATTCCACGAAAGATTGTATTTTAAAGCAAGTTGTAAATATAAATACCTAGCCAGGCTTGGTGGTGTGTGCCTATAGTCCCAGCTACTCAAGAGGCTGAGGTGGAAGGATTATTTGAGTTCAAGACTGCAGTGAACTATTATTATGTAACTGCACTCCAGCCTGGGTGACAGAGCAAGACCCTATCTCAAAAACAAAACAAAACAAAACACCAAAACCTAAATAAATAAATCCTTTTATATTAAATCTATGTATTGTATTATATTACATTATATGCTAAATATATTAAATGTATAAGTATATATAAAATAAATATATTAAATAAATAAATACCTTGTTAGTCTTAGCACTGGATGAGACCAGTAAAGCTAATTTCTTCCAAATTTCTCTTTTTCTTTTACAGATGAAGAAGCTGAAGCCCACAGAAAAGTGACTTACTGGATGTCACATGGTTAGTGGGTTAGTTGGTAATAAAATATACTCTGAGATGCTCAGTCACAAAGCAACTGTTAACAAGAAACACAAGAACACCCCACCCAGCTCAGCACAAGGCACAAATGTTAAGTGGGCCAAGGCTGTCACTGCAGTCTTTTGAGAGCCCTTCTTCCCAGGGAGCCCGCAAACTCACGGGAGAGCCGAGCACTCAGGCAGGTCTATGAGCTGGATCTTGATTTTCGGTTCCACACTGTCTAACCTCTCAGTGATATTGTCAGGAGTAGAGATCAGAACTGGAGGACAAGGAGAGTCAGCACCAAAGAACAGCAACCATCTCTGCAGAAGTGTCTTACACTAAGAGATACCCAGTGCCATCCACATGCCTACCATTCAAATGCTCGCTTGTATAAATCCTGAAGTCTAGAACACAATTGATAAAAGCTCTAAGCAAATCTCCAGTTATTTTGAAGGCAGAAGGGAAGAGGCTGGTCAATATGGAGTCCAGAAACACAGATATTTAAAAGTAAGAATTTATCTGACTTTATCCAGTATTGCCCAAAGAGAAAGATGTTATTTGGGAGAAAAAAAAGTAATTATTACAGAAGTGAAATCATTTTGGAGAAGGAACAATTTGTCTAGCTTTTCCTTTACCTGCTGTGTTTTTCCTATGCATGTACCCAGTTATCTATATGTTGAGTCAATGTTCACCAGGAGGTACTAATTAAGTTGTCCCTAGGAACCCTAATCCCAGGGCACGAGAAGAGGAAAGTGTGGATGGTGTGTGTGCATGTGTGGGTGGTGTGTATGGGGGATGGGGGTTCTTCTAAGCAGGCATGAGTATTTCAGTCATGGAAAGATAGCTCCTTTAATGTTAATGAATAAATAGGCCTTCTGGTTTATATATTAGTGTCAGTCAGTCCTTCAGAATCCTAATCAAATGATAAACTTGAGTTTCTGGATCTGTAAAGCTGAGATTTTGGTCGTGCTCAGAATTTATCCTGCCTTCTGTGATCCCCACATCCCCACCCCTCTCTCTGCCATTTCAGCTACAACAGTATCTAATACTGTTCAGATCACATACTTGCAAAACATGTGGAAACGTGTGAGGCAGTCTGGCAGATGCAGCTGCAGGCAGAATTGGAACCTCTGGCTTAAGTGTGGTCATGTTTTTCCATATTACCTTAATGAGCAGGGAGATTGGGTCTACATGCCGAAGAAATTTGACCCTATGGGACAACAAACTTGCTCAGCTCATCCTTATTGTTTTGTTTTATTTTTTTACTTGGAAGTCCAAAATCATGCTCAACACATTCTGCTGGATTCTCCCCAGGTGACAAATACTCGTGACCCTGAAGCACAATTAAATTAAGAAATGCTTCAGCTGGGCGCGGTGGCTCACGCCTGTAATCCCAGTACCCTGAGAGGCTCAGGTGGGTGGATCACTTGAGGTCAGGAGTTCAAGACCAGCCTGGCCAACATGGTGAAACCCCGTCTCTACTAAAAATACAAAAGTTAGCTGGCCATGGTGGCGCACACCTGTAATCCCGGCTACTCGAGAGGCTGAGGCAGGAGAATTGCTCCAAACCAGGAGGCAGAGGTTGCAGTGAGCCAAGATCGCACCATTATACTCCAGCCTGGGTGACTCCGTCTCAAAAAAAAAAAAAAAAGAAAAGAAAAGAAAAAGAAATGCTTCAAGGTGCTTCTGACCTAATAATTGTGACCTCTTCTCTGAGGATCTCTTAAATTTCCTGTCTCTTCTGCTGCCTGCTACTCCTCAGAGACTCTGTAACCAAAGTCTTCAATCTGTGAGCCATGAAGCCTTTTTACCAGCCATGCCCTTTGGAATTCAGTCTTATCAAGTTCTTTGATCATGCTTGTGTGAGGCAATCATGGTATAATCTCCCACAAAGTGAAAAAGTTTGACTCTTTTCTTCATATTTTAAATTACTACCAGGTTATTAAAGATAAAATGGGTCTGGTGCAGTGGCTCATGCCTGTAATCCCAGCACTTTGGGAGTGTGAAGTGGGAGGATTGCTTGAAGCCAGTAGTTTGAGATCAGCCTGGACAAAAAAGCAAAACCCCATCTCTACAAAAAAACAAATTAAAAATTAGCCAGGCATGGTTACACTAGCCTGTGTCCTGGGAGGCTGAGGTAGGAGGATCCCTTAAGTCTAGGAGTTCAAGGCTGCAGTCAGCCATGATCCTGCCACTGCACTCCAGCCTGGGTGACACCGAAACCCAGTCTCAATAAATAAATAAATAATAACAATAAAGATAAAATAATGAAAGAAAAGAAATTACATATTTGTGTATAAAAGGAACACCCCAGAAACCTTAACCTACTCCACTGCAATTCAATGAATATTTCTTAACCAACTATAATCTGCCAGATCCTGTGCTAAAAGCTGGCATTACAAAGATACATAAAATATGTTACCTAGCCTCAAGGAATACAAAAACAGTACGTTTTGAACTCTTTAAGTCTAGGTAACATATTTTATGTATCTTTGTAATAGCAGCTTTCAAGGCTACCAGTATCACCTGGGAATTTGTTAGAAATGTAGAATACCAGGCCCCATCCCACAGCTACAGAATCTGAATTTGCATTTTACCAAATCCCTAGTTGATTTGTAGGCATATAAAGTTTGAAAAGGACTGATTAGCAGAAAAGACTAAACTAAAATCATCTTTAAATTTTATAATGGTGGTTATTTTTAAAAAGTGCAATGGGAACATAGAGGATGATGTGGTTAATTTTGGTGGCGGAAAGTTAGGGAAATCCTTATGGAACAGTAGACATTTGCATTGAAATTTAAGTGGAACAGGCCAAGAACTTGGGGGTGGGGAGCGGGTGAGTGTAGGAGCATTCTGGTTGGGAGGTGGGAGGTAGGCCCCCTGAAAAGCCAGCCTAGGACAGATGGAGTAAGATCTCACCCAGGGATGGATGATCGCACCCAGCCTGTCAGTGCCACGCTCCCCTTAGCACTGATACAGACGAGGCTGTGGAGTCGCTCATGATCCTTGTCACCAGACCTCCATGCTAGGAGCTGATCAGTGTGTGGACAGGGAGAGGGCTCTTCCCAGCTCCACGCCCTCAGTGACCCCTCAGGCATAAGGGGCTGATGTTTGCACTCAGCAAAGGATGCCGAATCTCAGATCTCGTGCCAGGCCACCTGGCCCCGGGCAGTAGCTCTGCAGAGCGACCTTGGTAAGAAGTAGATGCACGGATTCCCACAGATTCCCGGCAGCCCAAACAGACTCTGGGGAGAGGGCTTCCCTTTCATTCGGATTGTGAGGAACGTTGACTCTGGAGAAATTATGAAAAATAATGAAAAGGGTTTGGGTTAGGAGTCCCAGCCTGGCATCTTGCTGTGTCTTTAAGGAAGTCTTTGGGCCTCCACTATAAAATGAGGACGGCCCAAATGATTCCCAAGTCCTTTCTAGCCGTGATAGCCTGTGATTCTGGCAGCTTCCAGTTTAAGAAAGGTCTGCCATTTTCCCCTTTTTCAAACTACTTTGATTCTCTTGGAATTCACGTCTCCGTAGCAAAATAAAACGTTCTTGGGGACACAATCAAAAAAATTAGCCGGGCGTGGTGGCGGGCGCCTGCAGTCCCAGCTACTCGGGACGCTGAGGCAGGAGAACAGCGTGAACTCGGGAGGCGGAGCTTGCAGTGAGCCGAGATAGCGCCACTGCAGTCCGGCCTGGGTGAAAGAGCGAGACTCCGTCTCAAAAAAAAAAAAAAAAAAAAGGCACCGTCTGGTCTGGATTGGATTGTCCATCAGGGTTATATTTAGGGAAAATATATATGTGGTGATTAATTATGAAATAAATATTAAACATCAACTATGCATTTTGCTTGTCGGCTGAGTGGGATATCAAAGCAGCAGCTTGGGTTCTGGCCAAAAATAATCTCACATGTATTTGGAGAAATAGGACACATATTAGTGTAGGAACCAAGGTATATGTTCCTTACGGCCCTCTGAAGGTTCGCTGAAAAACCACTGACAAGATGCAGATTAATAGAAGGGCATACCAATTTATTCACCGTGTATACATGGGGAGAATCACAGAGCAACTGTCCACCTCCCAGCGGGGTTCAGAAGCCTACATACCATCCTGGCAAAACAGGTTATGGTAGCAGAGAGAAGAGCGATCTGTTGAGGGGATTACTAAGGTGAATGAATGGATCAGTGAACAAAGATTAACTTGTTCATTATCTTGTGAAAAAGCCTGTTAAGGTGTGGTTACATTCTTGGTCTTACAGGGAGCGGAAGGAGAAACAATTGTTTCTCTTGGGATCTCAGGCAGATAAAGGTTTTGGGAAAGACAGCGGGGTGGGGAGGAGAACAGGGAGACCTTGAGGCTTCTTCAGTTCAGCATGTCAAAGTGCCATATTGTAGGATATCAGCTTCCCAGCCCCAACATTAGTAAAGAAGAAAGCAGTATATAATTCCATAATAAAATATTATATTAATGATAATTGTTAACATTTCACAGTGCTGAACACTTTATAGGGATTACTTGATTTACACCCTACAGATATATGAGGTAAATCACTTAGGATGTTTTTGGCTATAAATAATAGAGGACCCTAAGCAGTAAAACATTTATTTTCTCACGTAGCAACAACTCTAGAGGTAGTACAGAGCCTGAGCTGCTAAATTCAGTGGCTGAACAAAGTCATCAGGGATTCAGGTTACTTCGAGGCTTTCTCTCTGTCATTCTCATTGACCTTATCTTCAGATTAGCAACCATTGTGGTTTCAAGATGGCTGCAACACTTCCGGTTACCTCATCCTCACAGACGTCCGGGGCAGAAAAGAGAGCTTTATTCTATAAATATATATCTGTATCTATATACTAGATAGTATATTTCTTTATATTCTTCACATTTATGACAAGGGAGGACTTTATCCAGAGACCCTGCAGCAGAATCCTTCTCACATCTCCCTAACTAGACCTGGATTTCCCACCCACACCTCAATGTATCACCATGAGAGGAAAGGGGAGTCCCCATGATTGACTGGGCTCCATCTGCTTCAGTCTCTGCAGCCACGCAGGCATCCAGGCCACCTCCTCTGATGCACAGGAGAGGAAGGAGAATAGATACCAAAAAAAAAAAAAAAAAAAAAAAAAGCCAGGCACCGTGTAATCCCTGCATTTTGGGATCCCAAGACAAGACGATAGCTTGAGGCCAGGGGTTTCAGACAAGCCTGGGCAACAGAATGAGACCCCATCTCGAAAAAAATTTTTTAAAAAATAGCGAACCATGGTGGCACACACTTGTAGTCCCAGCTACTTGGGAGGCTGAGGTGGGAGGATCGCTTGAGCCTAGGAGTTCAAGGCTGCAGTGAGCCAAGATTGTTCTACTGCACTCTAGAATGGGTAACCCTGTCTCAAAACAAAACAAAACAAAACAAAAAACCAAAATGGGGGTTCTATAAGAAGAAAGAAGAGGCACGTGGCTATTAAGAAGGCAAATAATTATTTTCATTTTACAGTTCAAGAAACTGAGGTTTTGAGAATTTAAGTAACTTGTTCAGGGTCGTACAACTTGTAAGCAGTAGAGTTGGGATTCAAAACAAGCCCATACCCTGGAATATTCCAGATCAGGTCCAACATCACCTCATCCTAAAGCTCTTCTGACCCGCACCTCCAAGTCATTCTTCATTCCAGGGTCACAAGGCTCACCTGCCCCCTTGAGCACTCATGCACATCTACTGTTTGCCCCTCCAGGGCAGGGACTGGGTCTCATTCATCATTCTCTTTCTCTTTGCCCCTATGTCCCCAACATCATATTTATTTGCTTTTTAAATAAGTCTCCATTTACCCTCCTCATTGGATTTTCCTTCTCAGGATAGAGTATATCTCCTTTCTTTTGCCTCTTCCTCACCCTGGCCACTGCCTAAAACTTAGCCTTAACACCTGGGAAAGATTCAGAATAAAGAAGGGCTCAGACTTTGGACCCTGACAGGCCAAAGTTTCCATTCTAGCCCTGCCACTGACTAGCCATATGGCTTCAGGCAAATGACTTAATTTATCTAAACTGTACTCTTGTTATCCATAAAATGAAGATATTTACCACACAGGGTTATGGGTGAGAATTGAATGAGATAACGTGAGTTTAGCATAGCCCTGAATAAATAAGAGTTATTATAGTGTCTTTAATTAACTAAAGTAATAAAAATGAAAACTAATGTTAGCATAGTATGTTGCAGTTTGCAAGGTGCTTGCACGTACACTATATAGTCTGATCCTTATAAAAGCCGTGTTAGATGAAGGATGCTCTCTACCTGTGACTACTGGGGCAACTGAGCCTGAGTGAGTTTCAGAGCCTTGCTCCTTTCAGACTGTTCTGTCACTTCCTGGGGTTCTACTCTCCTACCATGTTTGTGTGTCGCTGACCCTCCTTGTTGGGATTGCCTCTGTTATGGGTTCAATTGTGTTCCTCCCAAAATCCATATGTTGAACCCTCTAGTACCTCAGAATATAACCCTATTTGGAAAAAGTATCGTTGAGATGTAATTTTCTAAGTTAAGATGAAGGCGTACTGAAATAGGTTGGCCCCAAATCCAATGCGACTGGTATCTTTATAAAAAGGGAAAATTAGAATGTAGACATAACACAGGTGGATTGCTATAGCTATAACACAGGTTATAGCTATAACACAGGTTATATGGAATGAAGGCAGAGATATGGATAATGCTTATAAGCCAAGGAATGTCAAAGATTGCCCACAAAGCACTAGAAGCGGAGGAAGAGGCCTGGAACAGATTCTCCCTCATAGCCTTCAGAAGGAACCAATTCCGCTGCCACCTTGACCTCAGAATCCTAGCTTCTAGAATATGAGACAATAACTTTCTGCTGTTTAAGCCACTCCATTTGAAGTGCTTTGTGACAGCAGCCCCGGCAAGCTAATATAGTCTCCTTAGGCAGGGGGCTCTAAATGCAGTTCTGAACCGACTTCAGTCAGGATTGCTTTTTCCTTTGGGAGCCTCATCTGCTTGTGCTGGACACCACTGGATTTTACTAATCCAGTACCAGATTTTACATTAATATCTTAGTTTGGCATGTATGCACTCCCTGTACATGGAGTGTGAATTTGGAGAGGCTTCAGATTCTCATGGGAGCTTTGTTTTATTTTCCACCTGGAGCTCTTAGCAGAGAGTAGTTTCTTTTCTATTTCTTGAGCTGGTCGGAGAAGTTCATCCAGCCTCCCTTACGAAGAAGGGACCCCATTTCCAAATTTCCTAATCCAGCTGTTATGTAGGAATCTGAGCTTTATTTCCTTAAGATCATATCTCCTGTCCCCATTTTTGCATGGAAACCCCAGCTATTAGGACTTATATCTGGGGCCAGTCTCACCCTGCCAGCCACAGGATCAACTCATGAACTTGTCTTCTAGCTATGAGTCACATATTATAGTTCATCACCTGGGGATTTTGGTTTTCTTCTTTAGATCTTGACTAAAAACAATTCTTTTTTTTAAGGCTGTATCTTATTTATTTTATCCAGCAAGTCTTTTCCTGCAGGGGTGGGAGGTGGGGAATTAAATCAGCCAGCCATGTTGCTGAAAATGGAAGTCCTTGGAGTAGGTATTAGAGAAAAGTCTGTTTTCTAGAGAAAGTAAGGGCATTTGAGTTGGGGCAGTTCTCACATCCAGGTGGGTGCTTTGTTTCTTCTTGGGGCATGGTTCAGCCAAGCCATTGTAAGCATGTAGTGGGGAGCGGGTGTTCTACAATATGGAAAGAGCTGCTCCTGGAGGCTAAGGTTCCTCCCACAGGAGGGTCCTTAGTGTGACTCTCTCTCCTCCTCTCCATTCTCATCAGGAACCTTTAATACTCAGGAAAAATCAGAGAACATTGCTGGACTGGAATGGAGTCCTGGGCCACCTGAAAAGGATTTCCATTTCTCCTGTCCTTGGAAGGAGAGACATAAGAGAGCCAAGTACAGAAAATCCAAACTACTTAAGTCAAGGTTAGAGCACGACAAATCACCCATTAAACCCTTTTCAGTGTAAGGTTTAGCCTGCTAAACCCTTTTCAGATTATAAGTAAGAGTACCTGCCCACTCTCATTAGCATTATTTCCACCATGGACTCACACCCATAAAAGACAGCCCAGTTTCTCAGGTGAGGGAAACAGATGAGGGTCTGCTACTTTAAGGCCTCTGAGAACATGAAGTCCCTCCTAGGTGGTCTTACCAGTCCCCCTGCATCAACAAGATTTGGTACTGTGGTGCTTTAGCCAAGTATTAATAGTTACCCAGCCCAAGATGTTCCAGAACAGCCTTGTGCCACACCACATTGAAAATCAGGCCTGGGCCCTGAATATGCCACTGCGAGAGGAAACTTGCTTGAGTTTCCCATCAAGAGAAGTGAGAACTTTCATATTACCCAGAGCAACAATTTGCAGTTATTGGGGTCATTCTGAAAGTTGACTCAGGTGCATCAAAATAACTCTCATCATTTGAATGGTCATAAGAATCAACAGCTTGGCTATGAGAACATCAGGCAAGAGAGTACATAGTTATTTTTCCTGATTTTCTGCCTATGCAGATGTAAAAATTATACATAAACATTTTCACACTCTCTGAGCGGAAGTAATGTTACTCACTTTTTTTTTTTTTGAGGTGGAGTCTCACTCTGTCACCAAGGCTGGAATGCAGTGGCACAATCTTGGCTCACTGTAACCTCTGCCTCTCGAGTTCAAGTGATTCTCATGCCTCAGCCTCCTGAGTAACTGGGATTACAGGTGTGTGCCACCATGCCTGGCTAATTTTTTGTATTTTTGGTGGAGATGGGGTTTCACCATGTTGGCCAAGCTCAGCCACCCAAAGTGCTGAGATTACAGGCGTGAGCCATGGTGTCTGGCCATGTCACTCATTTCTGAAGTGAAAAAACTGGCTTTAGCCCCCAAGACTGTCAGGAAATGGACCCTTCATCATCCACCTCGATTTCCCCTTTTCTCTAAGAATCCCACGGCTAATACAGTCTCAAAATCTGTTGAATAGCCAACCATTCTCAGAAAAGGGAGAGGCATGAATAGTGTTCTTGACGTTGCTATGGTAACAAGTCCCCACCCTTCTTACCCTCCACCTCTCACCCTCATCTACCATGGGGAACTGACTTCATAGCTCCCTAGTGCTGTAGCCCACTGAAATAAAGGGGCTGCCACAGCTTGGTTCCTGCTCAAGCCAGCAGGGGCTTTTTTAGGAGGACAGCTCTCTGAGCGACCACATTCACCCTGAGCCACCTCCAACACCAGTGCTCCTTTCATGGGCCTCAGAGCCTTCTGACCCACTGGATCCCATCAGCTCTTGCTGTTTCCTCTGAGGTCTTGCTCAGAATGAGTGATTGCATCTACTGCCAGCCAAACCCACAGTCTTGTGCCCTTCCCAGTCTCTGGGATTTCTTGCAGGGTGGACTGTTGCTTGCTTTTTAATCTCCTAAAACCCAAAAGGTCCATCCTGACCCTTCTTCAATAGTTTGAGTACTGTACCACCAGAAGGGGCTTGCATTTTAGGGAAAAAACAAAAAACAAAGCAAAACAAAAAAACTGTCTTCTCTCCTGGGTGACTAGAAGGATCCAGACTTCAGGAACACAAAGGCTTATTTGCCACCCTTTTGGTAGACCCAGGACAAGAACTTTCATCCCTTCTTTCTTTTTCTTTTTCAGTTTTCCAGTTTTTCTAAATTAATTTTTTAGCCAGGCACAGTAGCTCATGCCTGTAATCCCAGCACTTTGGGGTGGTCAAGGCAGGCGGATCACCTGAGGTCAGGAGTTCAAGACCAGCCTGGCCAACATGGTAAAAACCTATCTCTACTAAAAATACAAAAATTAGCCAGGCGTGGTGGCAGGCACCTGTAACCCCAGCTACGCGGGAGGCTGAGGCAGGAGAATCGCTTGAACCTGGGAGGCGGAAGTTGCAGTGAGGCAAGATAGTGGCACTGCACTCCAGCCTAGGTGACTGAGGGAGACTCTGTCTCAAAAAGGAAAAAAATAATAATTTTTAAAAAGTATCATACATAGGCCAGGTGTGATTGCTCACACCTTTACTCCCAGCACTTTGGGAAGCCAAGATAGGAGGATGGCTTCAGCCCAGGAGTTCAAGACTAGCCTGGGCAACATGACAAGACCCCATCTCTACAAAAAATAAAAAATTAGCTGGGTGTGGTGGTGCATGCCTGTAGTCCCACCAACTTAGGTGGGAGCATCACTTGAGTCTGGGAAGTCACAGCTGCAGTGAGCTGTGATTGTTCCACTGCACTCTAGCCTGGCTGATAGCACAAGACCCTGTCTCAAAAAAAATTTCATATATAATATACTGTGCCACTTATACTTTGATGGCATAATAGCCATTTCTGCTCAATATTTATTTATTTTTGAAATATCTTGTTGATTTAAAGTTGTGTTTTTGTTGATTTACTTTATTATACCAGAAAATGAGGTATGATGACTTTGAGATTTGAAGCTTTTGCTAGTCCTCTGAGCTTAGTAATCGTTATGCACACGAATCACTTTTTAGTGACAATGAAACTTCAGTTTACCTGCCATCAAATTGTTTAGGAAACTGGAATGAAAATAGTTTTTGGTTTTTTAGTCTTAAAACCATTTTAGACATTAATATTGTTAAAGTGTGTTGAGCCATCTCTGCCATCTTTGATAAAGTATTTTGAATGTACTTAACTTTTAATTGTTTATGGCTCACTTACTTATCCTGTCCCACATCATACAGGAGCACCATGAGCGGTGGGAGAAGGATACAGGGTGAGTGCTGTGATTATTTACACTTAGCCCCAAACTGTTAAGATCTTTTAGGATTTTGTTCTGCTTGTCAGAGTTTATTCTCTTGTCAGACTGCTATCTCGTTCTTTCCACTGTCAATGCGAATTTTCTTCTTCAATTAGTATGTTTCTTATAATCTCCTATTATGTAGGGAATGAATCAGTTAGGCAAACTGGTTAACATTGTGTCTAAAGAAAGTAAATTGGCTCTGAGTAAAGTGGCTCTTTGCATAATTCACTACCCAAGACTTCAGAACATTGATTCTAGCTGAAGTTTTTAAGGGTAATCTTTTGTTCTTTTTTTTTTTTTTTTTTTTTTTTGAGACAGAGTCTTGCTCTGTCGCCTAGGCTGGAATGCAGTGGTGTGATCTTGGCAAACTGCAAACTCTGCCTCCCAGGTTCAGCGATTCTCCTGCCTCAGCCTCCCCAGTAGCTGCAATTACAGGTGCACACCACCACACCCAGCTAATTTAGTAGAGATGGAGTTTCACCATGTTGGCCAGGCTGGTCTCCATTCCTGACCTCAGGTGATCCGCCTGCCTCAGCCTCCCAAAGTGCTGGGATTACAGGCATGAACCACTGTGCCTGGCCTGTCCTTTTTTGAACATTCTCTATATTTTGAATACTTGAAGTTTCTTATATATGATTTTTTAAAAGATAGTGGAGTGCAACTGAATGTGGATTCTCAATGATTCCACGATAACACCTAATTCCATGCACAAAAGTGTCAATCTGGGCACCCTTTCACATTTCCTTCTTGTGTGACATCGAATATTGCCCTGTCCTCTCCTCTCTAAGCATTCATGCTGGCAGCACATTGTAATGAAAAAATTGGCTTTCAAAGTTGGGCCATCCAGTTGAATTCCTAATTTTTCTCGCTACATAAACTTGGAAAGTCACATAGCTACTCTGAACCTCAGAAATCATCATCTATTTTAAAAGACTGATAATTGTACTTAGTCACTAGGGGGCTGTCAAAATTGAGAATAATAATGCTAGTAAGAGTATTTTCTAAAAATATTATCATTATCCAAGGCAACATTTTCACATGTCCATGTTTTATCTATTTTATTCTTTCTTTTTTATCTATTTATCTATTTTATTCTTTAAGCTTTTAGTGCTCCTTTGCCAAGGTTTATTGTGAGTTACTCTGTGACAGATGCTAAGTTAGGTTTTATATGTTTTTTATCATTCAATCTCACAAAAAATCCTAATTTATGTTAATAATAATGCCAGTTAGTATCTTCATTTTGAGAATGAGGAAACTGAAGCTTAGAAAGCCTAAGTAATTAACCCAAAGTTCATGCAGTTAATACACGTTACAGTCAGGGTTTAAGTTCAGGCAGACCAAGTCCAGACCCCAGCCCCAAGTCTCCACACAATGACAGAATTCAGATATCTTGGCTTGGGGTGTTGGGGCTGGGGATCAGGGAAATAGAAGAGGTGATTTAGGGGATGAAATTTGCAAAGGCCCCTCCGATCACACCCCAGAGGCAGTCCTGGCTGCTGGTTCCCATAGTTAACCTTCAGAGTTCCACTTTGAAGAAATTCAAACTCCATTCTAGAAGGAGGTGTCAGACTTTCTTCCCTCATAGGGCACAGTGGGCTTCTATGCCTGCCCATATGGAGCTGACACTGCAGCTTCTCCATGGCAGAATGAAACAAGCAAGGCCATAGCACTCAGGGAAATATATCTGATGTCTAGATAATCCCAGCCAGGGCCTAAGACCTCTTCACAGCCCAGCTACTAACCAGCCTTCAGATTTTTTATTTGCAATAAGAATTTGTAGCTTTAGATATTTCATTCCAAGTCAAACAGGTTTATTTGAAAAGAAAAGTAAAAAACAGTTAATAATCCAATAGAAAGCTATAGTTTTGAGCTACTGATAGAGCCAAAACTCACCAGTTTACAAATATTGTCTTTGCCTACTTGTTCCCTCTGCCCATGCAGCTGCCCAGCCTCTCAGTATCAAAAGCCCCAAGATCAAAGTAGGCTTTATTCCTGGAATGCAAGATTGGTTAAACACACAAATCAATAAATGTGATTCACCACATAACGAGAATTAAAAACAAAATCCATATGATCATCTCAATAGATGCACAAAAAGCTTTCAATAAAATCCAACATTACTTCATGATTAAAAACCCTTAACAAAGTAGGCATTGAAGAAACATATCTCAAAATAATAAGAGCTGTCTATGACAAACCCACAGCCAACACCATACTGAATGGGCAAAAACTGGAAGCATTCCCTTTGAGAAGAAGAACAAGACAACGATGCCCACTCTCATTGCTACTATTCAACATAGTAATGGAAGTCCCAGCCACAGCAATCAGGCAAGAGACAGAAATAAAAGACATTCAAATAGGTAAAGAAGAAGTCAAATTATGTCTCTTCACTGATGATATGAATCTATACCTAGAAAACACTAAAGGCTTTGCCAAAAGGCTCCTAGAACTAATCAAGTTAGTAAAGTTTCAAGGTATAAAATTAGTGTAAAAAATCAGTAGCATTTCTACTTACCAATAATAATCAAGCTGATAGTCAAATCAAGAAAACAATTCCATTTACAATATCTACATACACAAAAAATACCTAGGAATACATCTAACCAAGGAGGTGAAAGATCTCTACAAGAACTACAAAACACTGCTGAAAGAAATCATAGATGACACAAACAAATGGAAAAACGTTCCATGCTCATGAATTGGAATAATCAATATTATTAAGATGGTCATAGCAATCTACAGATTCCAATACTATTTCTATCAAACTACCAATGTCATTTTCCACAGAATTAGAAAAAAATTCAGCCAGGCACAATGGCTCATGCCTGTAATCCCAGCACTTTCAGAGGCTGAGGCAAGAGGGTTGCTTGAGGCCAGTAGTTCAAGACCAGTGTGGGCAACATAGTAAGACTTCATCTCTATTAAAAAAAATTTTTTTTTTTTTGAGACAAAGTTTCACTCTTGTTGTCCAGGCTGGAGTGCAATGGCATGATCTCGGCTCACTGCAACCTCTGCCTCCTGGGTTCAAGCAATTCTACTGCCTCAGCCTCCTGAATAGTTGGGATTACAGGCACCCGCCACCACGCCCAACTAATTTTTTGTATTTTTAGTAGAGGCGGGGGTTCATCATGTTAGTCAGGCTGGTCTTGAACTCCTGACCTCAGATGATCCACCTGCCTCAGCCTCTCAAAGTGCTGGGATTACAGGCTTACAGGCGTGAGCCACCACGCCCAGCTATTAAAATTTTTAAAAATGAAAAAGGTATTCTAAAATCATATGTAACAAAAAAGAACTCAAATAGCCGAAGCAAAATGAACAAAGCTGGAGGTATCACATTACCTGACTTAAAGTTATACTATAAGGCTACAGTAACCAAAACAGACACATAGACCAATGGAACAGAATAGAGAACCGAGGAATAAAGCCACACAGCTGCAATCATCTGACTTTAACAAAGTTGGCAAAAATAAGCAATGGGAAAAGGACTTCTTATTTAATAAATGGTGCTGGGATAGCTGGCTAGCCATATGCAGATGAATGAGACTGGACCCCTACCTTTCACCATATACAAAAATTAACTCAAGATGGCTTAAAGATTTAGATGTAAGACCTCAAACTATAAAAGTCCCAGAAAAAAACCTAGGAAATACAATTCTGGATATTGGCCTTGGCAAAGAATTCCTGACTGAGTCCTCAAAAGCAATGGCAACAAAATCAAAAATTGATAAATGAGACCTAATTAAAGAGCTCCGCACAGCAGAATAAACTATCAACACAGTAAACAGGCAACCTAAAAGATGGGAGAAAATATTTATAAACTATGCATCCAACAAAGGTCTAATATCCAGAATCTATGAGGAAGTTGAACAATTCAACAAGCAGGCTGGGCATGGTGGCTTACGCCTGTAATCCCAGCATTTTGGGAGGCCGAGGTGGGCAGATCACTTGGGGTCAGGAGTTTGAGAACAGCCTGGCCAACATGGTGAAACCTTGTCTCTACTAAAAATACAAAAATATTAGCTGGGCGTGGTGGTTCACTCCTGTAATCCCAGCTACTCAGGAAGCTGAGGCAGAATTGCTTGAACCTGGGAGGCGGAGATTGTGGTGAGCTGAGATTGCACCACTGCACTCCAGCCTGGGTGACAGAGTGAGACCTCTGTCTCAAAAAGAAAAAAAAAATTTGACAAGCAAAAATATAACCCTATTAAAATGTGGACAAAGGACATGAACAGACACTTCCCAAAACAAGACATACATGAGCCAAGAAACGTTTAAAAGAATGCTCAATGTCACTAATCATCAGAGAAATGCAAATCAAAATCACAATGAGATACCATCTCACACCAGTCAGAATGGCTATTGCTGAAAACTAAAAAAATAACAGAAGCTGCTGATGCTGCAGAGAAAAGGGAACACTTATACACTGTTGGGAATGTAAATGAGTTCAGCCACTGTGGAAAGCAGTTTAGAAATTTCTCAAAGAACTTAAAACAGAGCTACCATTTGACCCAGCAATCCCATTACTAGGTATATACCCAAAAGAAAATAAATCATTTTGCCAAAAAGACACATGCACTTGTATGTTCATCACAGCACTATGCGCAATAGCAGAAACGGAATGAACTTAGGTGCCCATCAGTGTGGGCTGGAAAAAGAAAATGTGGTACATATACACCATGGAATACTACACAGCCATAACAAAGAATGAAATTATGTCCTTTGTAGCAACATGGGTTCATCTGGAAGCCATGATCCTAAGCTAATTCATGTAGGCAGAGAAAACTAAATACCATATATTCTCACTTATAAGTAGGAGCTAAACATAGGGAATTCATGGACATAGAGATCAAAACAATAGACAGTGGGGACTACTAGAAGGGGGAGGAAGATAGCGAGACAAAGGCTGAAAAACTACCTATTGGGTACTATGCCCATTCCCATTTAGCGTGACAGGATCACTTGTACCCTAAACCTCAGTGTCACACAATATACCCATGTAACAAACCTGCACATGTACCCTGGAATCTAAAAGTTCAAACAGAATCCCCAAGATCAAAAAGAATATTGAGTCATAGTCTGAAGAATTTCAAAATGATGGCATCCTCCTGTTAGAGCTTTCCTGATAACATGGACCATATGAACAAAATAGGATTGTCAAAGAGTAGACTATCATCTGCAGCTGAGTGGACTTCACCAGGCGGAATTGTCAAGTTTAGGCCAGAAAAACATCAGTGCTTCTCCTGCAGTTGTCCGCTTGCTCCGTCATTTACCAACTGGCCAGAACAGGATGATATTTTTAAAAATTAGCATTGACAAGAAACATTCTTCTTATGCAACAAACACTGTAGATAGTTAATCCTCATAATCAGCATCATTCTTATTTGACATGTAAAGTAATCGAGGCTCAAGAACTTGTCAAAGACCATGCAGCCAGGAGATGGAATCGGGATTCAAAGCCAGGTCCAGCTGGGGCCAATGCCTGGTTTGCTTGTGGCTGTGCCATACTCACTGCCTCTCGGACCCATCCTCACCACTCTATCCTCTGGGTAAATGGACTTCACCAACATGCCTGGCCAATCTCAATACCATATGTGACAAGATGAATTACTGTGCCTCTGAGGTACTCAATTAGGTCTGAGTTTTCACTGTTTTATCACCTGGATCCATGGAAATGGGAGAGGGGCCATTAAGGCATACATGCCCCTGTCTGAGAAACCAGAGCTTGCTGCTGACAGCCAGATGAAAGGACGGTGCCTGGCTTTCTGCACAGTATGTTGTAAAGCCAGCATCCAATGCATTCATTCAGGAGGACCCATTCTCCCCAGCCCACCCTTAAATGCCTAAAGCAAGTTTCTATTTCCTATGACTCTTTATCCCCAGGATTTTACTCCCAAGATTGCCCTAACTCAGAGAAGAAACTGAAGGTTGGAGTTAGCTTAGCATAAAAACATGCACTTCTCATTAGATTGTCCAGAGCATGAGCTGTAACCTGCCCCATTTCAACACTTGGAACAGAAGCACAGCACAGAAAAATAGAACTACGGCTACATTCCCATTATGTCCCTGACTGCTCGAGACCTCTGGCTTGTTTGTTATTGATCAGACGCAACATAAACGCCACAATCAGGCCTTCAAGATCTGTCAGCTGTCTCTCCAGGTCCCTCTATTCAAGCCTTCTGGTCCTCCCACCCCTTCACCTCCCCTTATACCAACCCCCCCTTCCCCCTGCAACTTTGGCAGGCAAGTTGCTCCTCCCCAAACCCCTCTCCCTCCCATATTTGTGCCTTGGCTTATGCTTAAAACTCCCTTTCACCTCTATGTTCCTCCTCTAACAGCATAATTTCTTTTAAAACTCAAATGAAAAGATGCTCCTCCTTTTTACTAATACTTATTCAGTAGGCCCCCAGTTACTGGGCACCTCCTATGGGTCATGGAGCTCCTTTTTGGACAACACTTATTGAGCCTTTTTTATGTCCTAGGCATCAACTGCCTTGCATACCACCTTATTTCTCTGCTCCTCTTTACAGGAAATCTCAGATATGCCGTTTATAGTCATTTCTCAATTCCTGTCTTCCCCTGCTGTTTGAACCAACTTCAAACAGAGTCTTGACCCCACCTCTCCACTGAAATTGTTCAAAGTCGGTAATGATTTCTACACTACTAAACCCAGTGGTCAATTTTTAATCCTATTCTTCGTTAACCTCTCAACAATATTTGATACAAGCATCTGACAACATGTTATTTTAATGAAGAAGTGTTATTTAAGAGAAGTAAGATAATGTTCCAGAAAATATTTTTCTTCATATTTCACCTTATGAACTAAAGGCAGAATAAGTACATTTTTATATATACACAAAATCACTATAATTATATCAGCTATAATTGGAGTCTGATACAAGTGTGGTGATTCAAACAACTGATGTTGCTGCTAGCAATGTATTTTTCCCCCAATGTTGAATAACTTTTGATAGAATTCTGAACAAAACAAAGTACATTTCTTTATTTAAATGATTTAATTTTAAGTGTATATTAAAGCTGTGCTAAGAATACTTTGTAGAGTGGAGACAGGGTGTAGGCTCAGAAATTATAGGTGTTTTGCCTGTAAACCCAGCATGTTGGCAAGCCAAGGAGGGTGGATCACTTGAGGTCAGGTATTCAACACCCACCTGGCCAATATGGTGAAACCCAGTTTCTACCAAAAATTACACAAATTAGCCAGGCACGATGGTATGCACCTGTAGTACCAGCTACTAGGAAGGCTGAGGCGGGAGGATTGCTTGAATCTGGGAGGCGGAGGTTGCAGTGAAATGAGATTGCAACACTGCTCTCCAGCCTGGGCAACAGAGTGAGACCCTGTCTCAAAAAACAGAACATTAAAAAAAAATGGTAAAGTTTATGTTTTCCCCACTTAAGTAAATGCTTACCAGAACATTCAAAACTTGTGTGGCTCATGAGATATTTCATTTTTCTTGATACTCTCTCATACATTGTGGAATATCTAATGTACCTGGCCCTGGCCCATGAAATGACGGTGGCACTGTCAGTCATTGTGAAAATCAAAAATGCCCTTTAAAATTTCCACAGTGCTCCTTAGGAAGGTGATACTTTGTTGAGAGACAATCTCCCACGGATCTGTCTCATTTCTGCATAGCTCATGAGCGGGGCCACTGACTGGCTTTATTCTGGACTGTCTTTTCAAGGATAACTGTACAGCAAAAAGCTTTGGGATATGGAAAGAGTGGATCCATTGGAGCAAAAGGTACGTATGTTTCTTGCTCATTAGAAAAGGTTCAGGCCTCCTAAGCCTGGGTTCCTTTCCTCTAATGCGACTTACTGCATGTGCAGGCATCTTCTGCACTCTTCATGCGGCTTGAGGAATTGAGGCCCTGGGATCTGGGGTAGCAAACTGCAGATACTCTGGCTCCTGCTATTGCTGCAGTAAAGCCCTTTGTCTGTGAGCTGAGAGTCTTGTGTCTTCTGCAGCATCCATGAACCTGTGGCAGGCTAACTTGTTAGCCTGTAAATTGGAGAAAAATCTCACTTTCTTCATAGTTCCTCATACCTACTCCACTGAAAATCACTAGAACTATATGCTAACTCCCAAATCTATCTATACTCTCTTCCTGACCTTTCCTTGAACTTCAGACTTTTATAACCAGCAACGGCCATCAATACTTAAACATCATTCAGGCATCTCAAATTTTTTATTTTTATTTTTTTATCACTCCTACTATTCTGAACAGCTCAAACTTTAAATGCCCCCATGTAAACTCCTAGTCTTTTCCCAAAATTCTTTTCTTCCCAAGGGTGTGCCTTTTATTAAAGTTGTCACTGTTCTCTACCAGCTCCTAAATTGCAGGTATTGGGTCTTGTCTTTGTGGCTCAGACAGCTCCTAATGGTATGGTAGATGACACAAGCTGTGGCTAACGAAATGAGCTCAACCCATCCCAGTGCAGGCTGAAAGCAGTTTATCTTTCTTACTGCAGCCCCCTATAAACCTGCCTTGTGGAACTAATTTTCTTTGCTCTTGGGGAAAAACCTCAGTCACTCAGATAACAAAGGTCCAGTCCAGTATAGTCATCAAATAATTCATCCCAATTCAAGGTAATATCTAAACTATAAACATCTTTCCAACTTAAAACTCCCCTCCCCCTTGCTGGGCTGCTTAAGCTGAGGAGCCTTCAGAGGTTGGAGGTGGCTGTGGCAGGGCCTTGGTCAGCTTCTCTCTTCCTGGCTTCACCTCCTACCCACTCTGTAACTGCCCTCTGCTATCCTGCTCCCCCGGGGCCCAGGGAGGAGAGACTGGGGAAAGAGCACTGTCTTCTGTGGCTGATGCATTTGCTCATGTCCTCTGAGTCATCTCTCTCCAGAGGTGTCTCTGTGGCTGCTGCAGAGATCCTGAGATCAAGCACTGAGGTATCCTTGATGTCTCCAATACCCCTCTTCCAGACAGTGAAATAGAAGGAGGAGCCTTCTACTCCTCCTCTAACTCCAAAGGTCTCTTTTACCCCTCCAGGGTGTCTTCTGGGGGAAGAACCCATGAAGAAGATCCCAATGCTGCTGGCTTCCCTGGGGTTCATATATACACCCTACAGACAACTGCCACTGCCCTTCTCCCATCAGTGGGTGTGTGCTCAACTCCCACTCTGAGCCCCTCCTCCCTCTGACCAGGCAGGCCCAGCCCCACATGAGGGTCAGACACAGCCTCTTGGTCCCTCAGACCCCGAAGAACACACGCCTGCTCTCCACATGGCATCCTTGAAGCCTTTCTCACGTGGTTGAAGGGCAGGGGTGGGTACCCCTCATCTTTCCCACTATCAGGGGAAGGGTGGGCTGCAGAGAGTGCACAGGACACTGACAGTTCTCTGCAGAGAAATCTCCCTTGTCAACCTCTTGCCAACCTCTATTCCTTACATGGGCTAAAGCTGGGGATGACCAAAGACTGATGGCGGCACTGTATTTCAAACTCCTGCATAGGCGCTCCAGCACCATGCCTTGGAATGACTGTGGGACTTCCCACCAACACTTTTATTACTAGCTTCTGCTGAAACTCAGAGACAAGAGGATTGGCTACTGTGAAGATCTTGTTTCAAATGTAGGTTGAAATGAATTCCAAAAATGGAAAATGACAAGATACGGCTCCAAAGGAGGTCTACTGCTCCTGAGCCATACCCAGAAGACCAGTGCTGCCAAGAACAGAGCATCTGATGAATTCTTAAGCACCTTGCTGGGAACATCTTCAGACTGGGGAGGCAGGGAAAGAAATGTCTTTGAAAAAAGAGTTCTTTGGGGATGTGAATGTGGCAGGACACTGGGAATAAAAGATCACACCACTGGGGAAGTTGTAACAAGGAGGGGAACGGTGGGAGCATTCAGTCTGGAGGTTCCAAGCCAGAACTCATTCTCCCTAGGACGCTGAGGTCCTTTTATGACAGAAGGGAACTGCCCCTGCTGGGGGCTGCCTTTGGCAATCCCAAACCTCCTTATTTAAATATCAGTACTTCTCAACTTCTATCTGAAAGTGTATTATTTAAAAATGAATAAATAAATATTAGTGTTGATCTCCACTCTCCTTTTTGCCCCAAAACTCCATATCCCAGTAGAAAGTCTTGGAGATCTGCTTCTTACCAGCTTAAGGACTAGAATAAAGAAGGAGAAACAGAAATACATGTGAGAGACACTAACCACCATTATTTGAGCATATACAATGATCTACCACCCTAGCCTATTACAATACAAATCATTTGACCTTTACAATTCTGAGGAGTGGATGGAACTAGCTTTATTTAACTTATAGGGAAAACGAGGCTCAAACTGATTGAGAGATTTTCCCATGAAAACACAGATGGAAGAAACAGGGTAGGTATAACTTGCTTCTCCCAGAACATTCCCTGGACTTTCCTGCCAGTGCTCACATTGTGTGTTCCACCTAAAGGGCCACTGTTTTTTTTTTTTGACATAGGGTCTCGCTCCATTGCTCAGGCTGGTGTGCAGTGATGTGATCACGGCTCAACCTCAACCTCCTGGGCTCAAATGATCCTCCCACTTCAGCCTTCCAGGTAGCTGGGACTACAGGCATGCATCACCACGCTCACCTGGCTAACTTTTTATTTATTTTTTGTAGAGTAGGGTCTCACTATGTTGCCCCGTTGGTCTCAAACTCCTGGGTTCAAGTGATCCTCCTGCCCCAGCCTCCCAAAATGTTGAGATTACAGGTGTCAGCAACTGCACCCGACCCCCATTATTCTTAAAAGGGCAACTCTCATCTAACTCTTGCATCTGGCCATCTCAGATGACTCCAAGGTGGAAGCAAGCGCATCTTCCTCTATCAGATGGGACTTTTACCTCTTTTATGACATGTCACCGTCTTCTCCTAATGTGGCCACCTATGTACATCTTTTTCCTCTCTTAGAATGTGAAATCCTTAAGAAGAGTAACAGTGTCTCATTCAACTAGGTATGACCCAAAGAATTTCATAGGAGCATTAGAGAAGTTTCTTGCTCACAGTAGGTGTTTGACACATGTTGGTTGCATGAGAAACACAGAGGCATTGCAAAAGATGAAATCTCAGGTATGCTGGTACCACAGCCCCTTGTTTGCAGCTCAGATGAACTAGATCTGAGGGTTCGCTGTCATCAAAAGCAAACGCTGGCCAGTTGCCAGAGGGCATCTACCCCATCCTGGCTTCTGCTTCAAAGTTTCTCCTAAGTCCCAGCCGCAGCTCTCTTGATCTTTCCCTATTTGCTCATTAAAGTTAATTTTGGACATGAAAAGATCCAGAACCAAATATTTCATTAAGGCCAGGTCTTAATGCAGCAACTGCAGACAAAACAGGTAAAAATAGGGCAGAGGTTCTGAGTATGAGGCCAGCAAATGTGGCACCTGTTTAAACCTCAGGCCCTCTGTTCATGGGCTGATATCTTCAGTCAGCTTGGGGGATGCTAAGAATATCAGGGGAAGCCAATTATGTCTCTTTATAGAGATATTTTAAGTATTCAAGGAGCTCCTCAGTTCTCCTTCTTGGGGTATTAAAGAAATAACTGGCCAGGCACAGTGGCTCACACCTGTAATCCCAGCACTTTGGGAGGCCGAGGCGGGCTGATCACTTCAGGTCAGGAGTTCGAGACCTGCCTGGACAACATGGTGAAACCCCGTCTCTAGTAAAAATACAAAAATTAGCCAGGCGTGGTGATGCACCCTTGTAGTCCCAGCTACTCAGGAGGCTGAGGCAGGAGAATCACTTGAACCCAGGAGGCAGAGGTTGCAGTGAGCTGAGATTGTGCCACTGAACTCCAGCCTGGGCGACAGAGTGAGAATCTGTCTCAAAAAAAAAAAAAAAAGAAAGAAAGAAATGACAATTTTTGTAAAAAGTGTCATCTAGAGTCCTGGAAAAGGACTAAGATACCAATTATTAATAATTATTAATATCAGCTACCATTTTCTGAGTTACTACAAAGATTGTGCTGAGTATTTTTACATAAATTATGTCTTCTAATCCATACAGTAACAGTAACCCTCTGAAGTGAGAGAAGTTAAGCTATTGGCCTGAGCTCTTATAACTACTGAATGGCAGAAAACAAGACAAAGGTGAGGCTCCAACCATGGCAGGAGTAGTCCTAGAGTCCGTACCACTAAATGCCTCACTGTGTTGCTTGTTAGGGTATCTCAAAATGTCCTTGTCTTTTTTTTTTTTTTCTTTTGAGACAGAGTCTTACTCTGTCGCCCAGGCTGGAGTGCAGTGGCGCGGCCTCCACTCACTGCAAGCTCTGCCTCCCAGGTTCACGCCATTCTCCTGCCTCAGCCTCCCGAGTAGCTGGGACTACAGGCTAATTTTTTGTATTCTTAGTAGAGACGGGGTTTCACTGTGTTAGCCAGGATGGTCTCGATCTCCTGACCTCGTGATCCGCCCATCTTGGCCTCCCAAAGTGCTGGGATTGCACCTTGTCCTTCTTAACAGGAAGAAAAGACACTAGCCAATAACTGCTGCATTAGATGGTGCTGCTCTGAGTGAGGTACCAGCGAGGTGAGGACTTGATGTTAATTAAATCTTATATATAAAATTCATTTATTTGAGGAATAAAAAAGTAGGGGCTTCACACAAACTATTGGTGCTATGAGAAACCAAGGACATCTTTGCCTGTGACATGCCTCTATGGCATGTCAAGATTCTTAAGATCCAATGGGATTGTTTGTAAAGTTTGACAAAGCTGGAGCTGGAGGAGTCAGGAAAGCTGGAGAACACAGAGACACGGTAAATTGTCCCCAATCTCAGACTTCTCTAATCTTCCATTCTAACATACTTATCTTTGTTTTAGGGGAAATTTTAATTCTAGTAAGTGTAAGTTACTCATTCCTATGGAATTCTTTTTAAAGGAAGAACTGGGGTCCAAAATATATTAGTAAGTCTAAATACATGAATAATCACAATAAATTTAAGTATCTTAAATTCCTTTGTCAAAGTAACACAGATTTTCTGAATACTCTAAGCTATAGTGTTAAACTATATAATATTTAAGACATATTCTTAAACTAAGGGGGTACAGAAAGGCTGAAAAATAGGCATTAAAGTATACTAGATAAATAGTAAAAGAAAGCACATGCTATAATGCTAATATCTAACAAAAGAAAATGAAATGAGAAGCATTAACAATTAAGAGGGACAAAGATATTTTTCTTTCAATTGTATTCAATTCACCAAGAAGATATAAGTTATGAATCTTAATGCATTGACAATGTGGCATTATATTTTTGTATATATAAATATGTGCATTAAATAAATGCTGATGGAAATAAAGAGAAATAATACAGAGCCATGGTCAAAGAACATAATACATTCATTTCAGAAATAATCATATCATATACAAAATTAATAAAAATTATTTTGAATTAATTTTGAAGATTTGAATTATTTTGAAAATTTGCATACTGCACAGGAATATTTATTAAGAAAAAAATACATCCCCTTGCTCCCCCCCGCCCCGCTCAAAACAGAAGTAACATCAACATAAAAAGAACGGTAAAAAGAAAACAAAATAATTTATTTGGAAATTAAGACATTCTTCTAGGTAACTTTTGTGTTAAAGAGAAAATAAAAATAAAAATGGAAAAACTAGTAAGAAGTGAATGGTAACTCCATGTATCAGAGACTCTAGACTGCAGCCAGAGTAGAATCAGAAGAAAAAGGAAGTCTCCTCCAAACCCTCCAGGGATTATGATTAAGGGGTGGCTGAGCTAGTTGCCCCTTATAGGTTCATCCCACATTGCCAATTCCCCTGAGCCTTCAGACTTCTTAAACTAGAGTGGCACTATCCAATACAGTAGCTGCTAGCCCCAAGTGCTAAATTTAAATTAACTAAAGTAACAATAAAATTTAAAATTCAGTGTTTTAGTTGTTCTGGCCACATTTTAAGTACTCAATAGCCACAGGTGGCTGGAAGTTATTGTGCTGGACAGCACAAGCTACAGAACATTCCATCGTAGAAATAGAAAGTTCTGTTTGGCAGTGCTTCTCTAATGTTTGCCAGGGACATTCCAAAATGTCAATTCCACTGACTGTAGGCCACCACTGAGTCCAGGTTTCAACTGGCCAACCTAGCAGACTGTATGTACTACTTCTATTTGCTCAAGCCAACATATTAAATTCAGAATCTCAGGGAAGTAAACTCATATCAAGGAATGTGGTTAAGTCAGCTCTTCAATTTTACTTTAGATGGTCAAATAGCTTTAGGATTCATTCATAGCCATGCTCCCCAAACTCTGGCCAAAACTGATTGGTAAAGTCTCATAATTATTGTAGTGTATCAGTTTCCTCTCCCACCTCAGACCAGGTCTTGTACATCCTTACCTTGGACCTACTCTTGTTATGGTCCTGGAGGTACTTAGAGAAGTGGGAGTGAATCCTACAGAGGTCAGCATCCCACGGGGATGGCATTCTCCCAGGTGCAGTGATTGAAAGGTGTTTATACAGAGAAACGTGCCCATACAGAGAAAGGTGCCCTCTCTGGTGGGAAGAGGAGTTTCCTCAATCAAAAAAGGAGGTCATATGGAATTGGGGAGTTCAAAGTTTTCAGCCTGCCCAGGCGCAGTGGCTCACACCTATAATCCTAGCATTTTGGGAGGCTGAGGCAGGCAGATTGCTTGAGGTCAGGAGTTCAAGACCAGCCTGGCCAACATGGTGAAACCCCGTCTCTACTAAAAATACAAAAATTAGCTAGGCGTGGTTGTGTGGGCCTGTAGTCCCAGCTACTCGGGAGGCTGAGGTGGGAGGATCACTTGAGCCTGGGAGGTGGAGATTGCAGTGAACTGAGATTGTGCCACTGCACTCCAGCCTGGGTGACAGTGAGACCCTGTCTCAAAAAAACAAAACAAAACAAAACAAAAAAACCAAAGTTTTCAGCCTCACCTTTTCTCCCTCTCATATCTCAGGATCTCACTCCTTCTCCCACCAATGCCCTTAACTTAGTCTTAGAGACTGGCAGGGGCAAGCATTTAATTGGTTCTGCCACTGTACAAGCCATACAATACAGCATTTGATGTCATCTTTGCCATATCTGCCATGAAACTATAAGAAATAAGGGATTCCTTTAAAGATGGCATAAAAGTGCTTTCATTTCCCACCCATCTTCTGAATTGAGTATTTAAGGCCTTCAATTTTTCTTTTCACTCTGTACACTCTCTTGGGCAGCACTGTCCAATACAACCTTCTGCAGGGATAAAAATGTTCTCTACCTATGCTGCCCTATAATATAGCAGTCACTAGCCATATGCAGTTTTTGAGCACTTGAAATGTGGCTAGTGTGACTGAAGAACTGAATTTTAAATTTCATTTAATTTTAATTAATCTTAATTTTAATGTAAATAGCCACATGTGGTTAGTGGCTACCAGACTGGACAGCACAGCTCTAGGGCACCAAAAGGAGTTAGCTGACCCAAAATTTTTATACTCATTATTGTCATCATCTTACCAATTTGCCAAAGCCACTTCCTCTCCCAACCCCTTGTCCTCCACTTGCACTTCAGTCCATGCAATAATGGTGTAATTGCGATGCCACCATAACTTGGAAATGAAATGTCTCCTTTTCCCTGGCAAGGAGGTTATCCATGAATTTCTCAAGTGTGAGAGCAACCTAGTCCCAGAATTCTATCTTCAGGGCCACTCTTGATATCTGTTACTCTATCAATCATTGATCTAGAATTGCACACTCAAAAGGGGTAAAACTGTTAAGTGTTAACTAAAGGGGCCATTTAAAACACTGTTGGCAGGAAAGCTAACATACCCAAGGGTTAGCGACAGTAAAGAGCCACTAACCACACCTAGGTACAGGGAAGCAGCTGACCAGACCTGAGGGGTAGCTCTAGCTGTAGGAGCTGGCCTCCTGCTGGAGCTGGGGCCCTCTGTAGGTGATGTAAACAATCTCTGCACTCAGCAGAGAGGCTACCTGGGAATGGATACGTCAGACCCACTCTCCTCCTGCTCACCACCCTCCTTCCTCCTTCCTGTGCCTTCCTTTAACAAACCCAACCAGAAGCCAGAATGTGAAGAAGGTTGTTATTGCCATCCATAAAGTACAGCCTCCAGAGGCATAGAGGGTGGGTAAGGGTGGAGGGTGGTTCTAGAGTAGCAAACAAAACATTTCTCTGTTTGTGCTACTACAGTAGCTCACCCATGTTTGAACTATTAAGAAAAAAGTCTGGACAGATGAGGCCTGGACTCTGACCTTGTGCTGATTCCCCATAGAAATGCCACCTGTGAGTTCCTGATGAAGGCAGCTGGTCTTCCCTCTCCTGGAGCTATTCCCTAATGAAATCAAATGAGTTACAAACATTAACGATGACAAACACAGTGAGGAAAATTTAAGCAACCAAAGTGGGACAAATTAAAAAGGTGATTTTGAAAGAATCTTATAGTAAAAACATAGTAACGGGCAGTTTTCTATGACATGTCTAGAGATGATTACTTGTATCTACCCCACAAACAAATCTTGTTATTGAAATCCTCTAAAATGCATTCTACACATTACTCAGCATGATACTCTGTAATTCTAAATAATTCTTTAATATAGGTTTGTATATGTAGTGTGTGAGTATGTGTACTACACTTTTAGCAATATTGTAAGCTCTGTGAGGACAAGATTACGTCACAATTAGTAAATTCATATTTACTGGATTCCTGAGGACCTTCTTGCTCACTGGAGCATTTCATGATGCTAGACACAGTGGTAAAGGCTGTGCCTGGGGCCCCTTGGGACTGTGGGATGGTGCATTGGGGAGACAGGCGTTGGGGGAGACTCACCATGGAGCAGACAGGCCACAAAGGACCTCCTCGGCTCTTTTGGTCAGTCTGAGTTTCCCCCACAAAACAGCTTTCCCAGTACTCTGTGTTTAGATTCTGGAGCTGTCTTGCAGTTCTGCTAATCATTCACCACCTTTGGCTTCTTTCTCAGCTACTGTGGGCAGTGTGTCTGGTTTGGGATGGGTGATTCCTATCTTCAAAGTCCTGGGATCAGGATGTTCATGTTTTAAATGAACAACATGTAGCTTTGATGCCTGGCCAAGGAGGGGGACGGGACACCACAGATAGAAGGTTATTTTGGGGCTATTTATTCTGCATCCATATCATTTTCAGCCTCAAACATCTGGTGTTCTAGTGCACACTTCTGCCCTTCTCCTCCTCTGACTGTCGACATCCCTGTTCCAGTTTTCAGGAGTTAAATAGGGTAGCCAGAAGATGAATGGTATTTGTTTGTCCCCCACATCCACTGCATCCCTAGACCCACTGCCCCAAAGGCAGTAGAAGTAATATTACTAGTGAACAAATTCAGCCCACCTGCATGCCTGCAGTCCATTCTAGGTAGAACTAGGTTACTCAGAAGCAGGCACTGGTTCTTTGCTGATGGTAAACACTTATAGGAGCATTGGAGTTCACTACACCAGGAGCCACTTTTCCTCAGGGCAGTTCAGTGATTTCCCAGAGCAAAAGCAAGAACCAAAGGGAATCCCAACCATTTCTCCTCCCTGGTCCGCTCCATCACAAAGTCACACCCACAGCTTCCCTTGTACCTCCTCTCCCTAAGCATGCAGCTCTTTGAAGTTTTCTGAATGTTTTGACCACTAGCTAAAAGAAGACAATTGTGGGGTAATAAATACTCCCTTTCTATGCAACAACCCTGTTCTCTCTCTCAATTTAGAAAACACATGTCGAAGTCATTCCTTCCTCTAACGGAAATAAAGGCTTTGCTAATTAAGAGAAAACTGGGACCAAAACCCTGATCTCCTAATTTCCAGTCAATCTTTTTTTTCCATTTCATCACCCTGTCTTCCTAAAGCTGGGTTTCTACAACAAAATGTCAACAGTGGTTATCATCAGGTTATGGGATTGCAAGTGTTTCTTTTTCTCTCAGTTTTGGCTTCTGTATTTTTCCAGATTTTTCTATAAGGGTTATGTATTAGCTTTGCATTAGCTTGGATGAACTAGCTGCACTAACAAACAAATGCAATAATTTCCATTCCTTAATTTTAAAAAAGTTAATTTCTTTTTATATTCATGCATAGTCCAAAATGAGTGTTCATGATCTGCGTATAAGCCTCCTACAATGAGTAATCCAGGAAATCTGTCCCTTATACCTTGGAGCTCCTCCATCCTCAACAAAATATGACTTTTAACTAGGCTGGGATATTCTGTATTAAGCCAGAAGAAAGAAAAGTAGCATAGAAAAGTATGTGAGGGAGGATTTTATGGGTAAGAACAGAAAGTAATATATATCACTTCCTTCACACTTCATTGGCTAGGACTCAGTTATAAGCCTGCATCTAACTGCAAGGAAGGATGGCAAACAAAAGAAGAAAAAGAAACAAATTCTATGAATTGCTAGCCAGTATATGCCACATTTGTATATATGTAAAAAAAAGGTTGAAGTTAAAATGGAATAAGGAAGTCAAGTCCCTCTGGAAAGCAATCTTATGCTCTCTTTCCTACAGTATTTTCACATGCAAATCTCCATTCTCCCACTGGCAAAAAGTGGCCTCCACCCACCAGGGTATAGAGAGATTGGATTTTCCTGATACAATCATGTGTCACTTAATGACGGGGATATGTGCTGAGAAATGTGTCATTAGGTGACTTCATCATTGTGCAAACATCTTAGAGAGTACTTACATAAGCCTAGATGGTATAGCCTCCTACACACCCAGGCTAAAAGGAATAGCCTATTGCTCCTAATCTACAGACCTGTACAGCATGTTACTGTGCTGAATACTGTGAGCAATTGTAACACATGCTAAGTATTTATGTATTTAAACATACCTAAACATAGAAAATATACAGTAAAAATATGGTATAAAAGATTAAGAAAAATAGTATACTTGTATAAGGCACTTACCATGAATGGAGCTTGCAGGACTGGAAGTTGTTCTGGGTGAATCAGTGAGTGGTGAGTGAATGTGAAGGCCTGGGACATTACTGTATGCTTTTATAGGACTGGCAGTGCAGTAGGTTTTTTTATGCCAGCATTACTGTTACAGGACCAACAGGTTCATTTGCCCACTGTGCAGCAACAGATCAATATGCCAAGACAGCAGGGTTTGCAGCAGAGAAAGAGTTTAAGGATTGCAAGGCAGCTGAGTGAGGAGATAGGAGAAACCCTCAAATCTATCTCCCTGAGGAATTTTGGGCTGAAGTTTTAAGGGGATCATGGAGGGCAAGAGGCTGGAAAATTGAGGTAACTGATTGGTTGGGGTAAAGGCGATGAAACCATCAGGATGTTGAGACTGAATTCTTTAGTGAGTCAGTTCTTTGTGGGGTCTTTCGGACTAGCTGACATCAGTAGTTTCACTGATATATAGGACCTGAAAGAATATCTCAAATGAAAAACGTAATGTTTCACAATGCTCAAGTTGTTGCCTATAGAGCAGTTAAGGAGAACTACAATCTAGGCTCTGCATGATTCTGGGGTGATAGACAGCAAAAAACTATGAGGAAGCAGGTCAGAGAGCAAGCTCACCTAATGATTAATGCTGAATGTGCCGCAAGCTTGGTTTATTTTTATTTCTCCCCCTTCCTTCTTCCCTGATTAAATTTATAAAATTTATATGGACGGTTTCATCACCACAAACACGTGAGTAATGTGTTAACCTATGATGTTGGATAGCTATGATGTCACTACATGACAGAAATTTTTCAGCTCCATTATAATCTTATGGGACCATGGTTGAATATGTGGTCCATTATTAGGCAGCACATAATTTTATTAAGTAAGTGTGAGAAATATTTGGATGAGATGGGATTAAGTGGGGACATACTTGGATGGGAGAGAGAGCTCAGAGGCAGTGCTGTGACCTAGGTGTAAACTCTCCTTGTCCCCACTGGGGGTGTCAGCACACAGATGCTGTCTCTTTGCCCTACAGCATTGCTTGTATCATGAGGACAGATGATACAAGATGTGGAGGATCAAAGTTAGCACGGTTTATGTTCTATGATGAACTTCCTCTCCCCTAAGCACACTTATCACCCTCAGAGAAATTCCTATTCCATGTACCCTCTGTAATAAACCCAGAAATATTTGTGTGCCTAGGGATGCCTCACATTCCCTGTACCTTGTTCTCCACACCCTCTAAATGAAGACTTTCACATATTTTGGAAATTTGCCTCTTACCAAATATATGGCATCTTAGTCCATTTCTTGTTGCTTGTAACAGAATACCTGAAACTGAAAAAGAATTTATTTCTTATAGTTGTGGAGACTGGGAAGGCCAACAACAAGGGTCTACATCTGCTGAGTGTCTTCTTGTTGGTGAGGACTCCCTGAAGAGTCCTGAGACAGCACAGGGCATCAAATAATGAGGGAGGTCAGGTCACACGTCCTCTTCTTTTTTTTTTTTTTTGAGACAGAGTCTCACTCTGTCACCCAGACTGGAGTGCAGTGGCACAATCTCGGCTCACTGCAACCTCTGCCTCCCAGGTTCAGGTGATACTCCTGCCTCAGCCTCCCAAGTAGCTGGGACTACAGGCGTGTGCCACCATGCCCGGCTAATTTTTTGTATTTTTAGTAGAGACAGGCTTCACTATGTTGGCCAGGCTGGTCTCGAACTCTGGACCTCAAGTGATCACCCGCCTCAGCCTCCCAAAGTGCTGGGATTACAGGTATGAGCCACCACACCTGACCACCCACTATGTTTCTTATAGGGGTTATGGTTTCAGGTCTTACATTTCAGTTTTTAATCTATTTTGAGTTAATTTTTGTATATGGTATAAGATGAGGGTCCAATTTCATTTTTTTACATGTGAACTTCCAGTTTTCCCTAAGACATTTATTGAAAAGACTATCCTTTCCCCATTGAGTATTCTTAGTTCTCTTGTTGAAGATCAGTTGAACATATATGCATAGGTTTAATTTCTGGGCTCTCTATTCTGTTCCATTGGTCTATGTGTCTGTTTTTATGTCAGACATAAAATGTTTTGATTACTATAGTGTTGGAATATAATTTGAAATCAGAAGTGTGATGCCTCCAACGTGTTCTTCTTTCTCAAGATTGATTTGTCTATTTGGGATATTTTGTGTTTCCATTTGAATTTTAGAATTACTTATTCTACTTCAGTGAAAAATGCCATTGGAATTTTGAGAGAGATTGTATAGAATCTATAGATTGGTTTGAGTGGTATGGACATATTAAACATTTTAATTCTTCCAATCCATGAGTATGGGATATTTTTCCATTTATTTGTGTCTTCTTCTATTTCTTTCTTCAATGTTTTATAATTTTCAGCATACAGATCTTTCGCCTTCTTGGTTAAATGTAGTCCCAACTCAAAACAACAAAACAAATAACCCAGTTTAAAAATGAGTAAAGAACCTGCATTTCTGGACATTTTTCCAAAGAAGACATATAAATGGCCAGTGGGTATGTTAAAATGTGCTCAACATCACCAATCACAGAAAAATGCAAACAAAAATTACAAGGAGATATCACTTCACATCTTAGAAGAGCTATAATAAAAAAGACACAAGATAACGAGTATTTCTGAAGATGTGGAGAGAAGGTAATCCTTGTACAATATGGTGGAAATGTAAATTGGTTCAGCCATTATGAAAAACAGTATGGAAGTTTCTCAAAAAATTAAAAAAGGACTATCATATGATCCAGCAATCCCACTCCTTGGTATATATCCAAATTAAATGAAATCAGTATCTCAAAGAGATATCTGCACTCTTATGTTACAATAATCAAGATACAGAAACAACCTAAGTTGGGGCCAGGTATGGTGGCTCATGCCTGTAATCACAGTACTTTGGGAGGCTGAGGCGGGTGGATCACTTGAGCCCAGATGGATCCACCAACAGATGGATAAGTAAAGAAACATATATATAATGGTATATTATTCAGCCTTAAAAAAGAAGGAGGTCCTGCTGTTTGCAACAATATGGATGAACCTCAGCTGGGCATGGTGGCTCATGGCTGTAATCCCAGCACTTTGAGAGGCCAAGGTGGGTGGATCGCCTGAGGTCAGGAGTTCGAGACCGGCCTGACCAACATGGTGAAACCCCATCTCTACTAAAAATATAGAAAATTTAAGCGGTGTGGTGGCATGCACCTGTAGTCCCGACTATTCGGGAGGCTGAGTCCGGAGAATTGCTTGAACCCAGCAGGCAGAGGTTGCAGTGAGCTGAGATCGTGCCACTGCACTCCAGCCTGGGCAACAGAGACAGACTCAGTCTCAAAACAAAAAACAAACAAACAAAAAATGTGGTACACTTTAAATACAGTAGTCCTCCCTTACCTGCAGTTTCATGTTCTTAGGTTTCAGTTACTCACAGTTAACTGCAGTCTGAAAATATTATAGTATTTTGAGAGAGAGAGAGAGAAATTATATTCACACTTTTATTTCAGCATCATTTTATAATTGTTCTATTTTATTTTGAGTTATTATTGCTAATCTCTTGCTGTGCCTAATTTGTAAACTAAACTTTATTATAGGTATGTATACATGTATGGGGAAACCAGTATATGTAGGGTTCAGTACTAACCTATCCCAGGTTTCAGGCATCCACTGGGAGTCTTAGAAAGTATCACCCATGGATAAGGAGGGGCTATATAGACATTAATTTTTATAAAAAAAATAAATGGGGGCTGCTTTGCCTATAGAGTAGCCATTCTTTTATTCCTTTTTTTCTTAATAAATGTGCTTTCATTTTAAAAAATAAAAAATAATGAATAAATAAATAAATGGGGCCAGGTACGGTGGCTCACGCCTGTAATCCCAGTACTTTGGGAGGCTGAGGTGGGTGGATCACTTGAGCCCAGGAGTTTGAGACCCAGCATGGACAATGTAGTGAGACCTCATCTCTACAAAAAATAGCTGGATGTGGTGGCTCATGTCTGTTGTCCCAGCTACTCAGCAGCTGAGGCAGGAGGATTGATTGAGCTCAGGAGGTTGAGGCTGCAGTGAGCCGTCATCAAGCCACTGCACTGCAACCTGGGCAACAAAGCGAGACACTGTCTAAAAATAAAAATAAAAATAGAAATAAAAATAAATAAATGAAGACTCTTGCCTTGGATGCAACCCCTCATATGCAGCTGGCTGCTACCTAGTGCTTAGAACTCTTTCTGCCTATATGTGTTAGACACATAGTAAATGATAATTAAAGAGAGAATAAAGTTGAGGACCTAATTCACATTAAAATATAAGCAGTTTGTTGGATCTACTTATCTCAACATATCTGCATTTTAATAAAAAATTATACCTTAACATTCCAAAATTGATCTCAAAAGGTGACATTTTACATTCATCTACTGTTCTTTGGAAAGATAATTTGGGGCAATTGAGCTGCTTTCTTTGTGATCCCCAAAAACTGTTACAGAAGAATGAAGAGGACAAGAGCTCAGTATCTATATATATGAGCACACATCCAAACGTTTATAAACTTTTATGTCTAGGAAGAATGTATTTGCTCTCAGTATATGACCCAACATATGAGTAAGGAGTCTTTTTTTTTTTTGAGACAGTCTCGCTCTGTCACCCAGGCTGGAGTGTAGTGAGATGATCCTGGCCCACTGCAACATCCGCCTCCCGGGTTCAAGTAATTCTCCTGCCTCAGCCTTCCAAGTGGCTGGGATTACAGGCACTCTTTACCATGCCCAGCTAGTTTTTGTATTTTTAGTGGAGATGGGATTTCACCATGTTGGCCAGGCTGATCTCGAACTCCTGACCTCGAGATCTGCCTTGGCCTCCCAAAGTGCTGGGATTACAGGCTTGAGCCACCATGCCTGTCCGAGTAAGGAGTCTTAAAGGATGCATTAAGGTTTGTGAGTAACCCGGGTCTTCTCTGGATAATCTCCGTGCTCAGGCACCTCTCTTTTTCTACTCCGAGCATTGAACAGGGGCAGAAGGAAGCAAGCCATGAGAGAGAGGGACAAGTGTAACCAGAAGGTCCTCAAGGGTCCAAAAGCAGAGCTCCTGAGAGCACAAATTCCCACAGGTGCATACTAAAAAATATTTATGTTTCTACTTTGGCAGAACTCAATTAGTTCCCAGTGTACTGGAATGAAATGGAACAATGAGACCCACCTCACTAAAAACCTAGGCTCCTGTCCAGAACTTTCCAGTCTGTGAGAGAGCAGTGGGCAGAAGGAGATGATAAAAGTAGGTAGAACTTAGCTCTGTATATATAGGCCCAGAACTCGAGAGGCCTGTGAGGGAGAGGAGAGCAGAGAGGTCCTGAGTATTGCTCTTCACGCTTCAGTCGGACAGGCCTGTATTCCATGGGAAAGTCCATTGGCCATTTTTAACTGGGGCTATTTCTTTTCTCTTATGGACTATATCAGGCCACAGTGGTCTCCAAGGGCATGATACTCAAAGGTTGTCTCCTGTATCCTTTGTGCTCTCCCAGGAATAAGCAAAGATGTGCCAGGCTGTGGAAAATAGCCTATGGAGGATTACTAAAGATAGTGACTGGCTCCCTCTTAACATTTTATGTGGTTCTCTGTCTTGATGGCGGGATGGTGCTCATGAGGAAGCAAGTGCCATCAAGGTTCATGTACCCCAAAGAGTGGCAGCACCTCACCATGTTCATCCTCCTCACTCTTAATGGCTGTGTGGACTTCATGAGCAAGAATGTGCTGCCTCAGAGGTGTGTGGGCCTAGAAAAAGGTACCCTGGTCCTGATCATCTACGAGCTCCTGCTGCTGATGGTGTCACATGTTAAAGATTCAGAAGGGGTGGAGCTGCACGTTTATTCTCTGCTCATCTTGGTGGTGTTCCTGCTGTTGCTGGTGTTGACTGCAGAGCTGTGGGCTCCCAACATGTGTCATCTCCAGCTGATGGAGACCTTTCTGATTCTGATGATGGGCTCCTGGCTGATGCAGGCAGGCTTTATTCTATACAGACCCGTCTCTGGCTACCCATGGCAGGACGATGACATCAGTGACATCATGTTTGTCACCACCTTCTTCTGCTGGCATGTGATGATCAATGCCTCATTCCTGTTGGGAATCTATGGCTTCTCTTCCTTTTGGTATCATTGTTTCAGACCCAGCTTGAAGCTGACTGGGCCCAAAGAAGCTCCATATTATGCAAGCACTCCAGGACCCCTCTACAAGTTGCTACAGGAAGTGGAGCAGTCAGAGAAAGAGGACCAGGCTCTCCTCCTTCCAAAGAGCTCCCCCTGAGACAGGGCCTACAGTGGCTGGCACATCGTCCACCTCATCTTCCTCCTGTTGGCTCCTCAGCCACGAGCATGGTACCCTCCTTGGTAAAGGTAATGGCCTTGAAGGCTAGCAGTTGGTCCCGTCTGCTGGTTCATTTTCTTTTCTTCTCTTTTCTTTTTTTTTTTTTTTGAGACAGAGTCTCGCTCTGTTGCCCAGCCTGGAGTGCAATGGCACAATCTCAGCTCAGTGCAACCTCCGCCTCCCGAGTTCAAGCGATTCTCCTGCCTCAGCCTCCCGAGTAGCTGCAATTACAGGAGCCTGCCACCATGCCCGTGCTGGTGCATTTTCTGTCCCTGAGCCTCTAATTACTGAGAAGATAAGGGGAGAGGGATTGAGAAAGAGACGCTGATGGGATTTGCGGGAGGGAGGGAAAAGGACGAGGAGAACACTTCTTCTTAGTGTGCAAGAAAAGCCACTGGGGGAAGAGAATGCAACAAAAGGAAGAGCTGTGAAGGGAGGAGAACAGAGTCTAGCAGTTATGCTGTCATTAGCGTCATCAGGCACAAGGGATTGCCTTTTACCTGAGGGAATAAAGACTTCTCACAACTCAAAACTGGACCCATTCAAATCTCATCTTGATAAAGAAAAGTGGGTACTTTACGTGCTCACCAAAGTGGTGCCACCATGTGGAAATAGCATGATAGAATTTATAATTAATTCATACAGGCTGAAATTATGCTCGCTTTGCCTCCTTCTCTCTCCGCAGCTTTCAAGAATTGGCTTCATTTCAAACTTTACATATAAAGTGAGACTTTTTAAATACTTAATAACATTTCAAATTTCCATAATTTAAATTTGTATAGAATTCAACTGCTATAGCATTTTTATAGCATTCAAATGCTTGGTACTTCCCTGACTTCTCATTTTATTACTCTTATTCTAGCCCAAACTTTCCTTTTCACCATGACCACCCTTGCACATGCAATTTAGCAGATACCATTCTTGGGTCTTTGCAAATTTCTTTTCCTTGCAAATCACAGCCAGTCATCCTACAGTCACATATTTACCATGTTATTCGATTCCCAGAATAAACCTACATCCACCCCCACACCGCACCAAGTATCCCCAAGGTGGCCTTCTCCAGAACTCTTACTGATTCCCTTGTTTTGGAACTCTTGGGCACTTACATTAAATCTGCTTTGTTAGTTTGCTCATACAGGTGACCCACTTTCTTTTATACTGCTGCTGAAATCATTTTCTTTCAGAAGGTTCTTCCTCACCCACTAAAGTACAGGCTCCTAAAGGGAAAAGACTTTGCCTTATCCAAGTTACCAAATTTCCTATGTATACTCCAGCTATGGATCATGGTTATGTTTAATAAAGCCTTCTTTGCTTCCAGAGTCTTCCCTAATCCTGTTTCTTCTAAATGTATTGCTGGACAGGTTGGAGGTTTTGTGAATCTCTCTGGGTGACAACAACAGTCCTGAACACTGAGTCACTGCCTTAGTAATGCACCCACTCTCTTCCTTGTTTTGGGGTATAATAAAATCCAGTAACTTGTTTCTGAAGTTGACTCTGTTATTGTTTTTAATCCTCACAAATGTTTCTATAAGGAGTCTCTAGAAAACTGAGACTCCAGCAGGTTGACTTGCCCAAGTCTCACAGTTGGTATGAGGCAACACAGGAATTTAAGTGCAGGTGTGTCTGACGCAAGTGTGACTGTGTCCTCTGGGCCACAGTGACTTTGCTAATGGCAATGGAGAAACAAGTTATCTCAAAATGAAAAAAATGAAATTGTGAAAGAAAGAAGAAAGACGGCTGGGCACTGTGGCTCACGCCTATAATCCCAGCACTTTGCGAGGCCAAGGCGGGCGGATCCCTTGAGGTCAGGAGTTCGAGACCAGCTTGGTCAACATGGTGAAACCCTGTCTCTACTAAATATACAAAAATTAGCTAGGTGTGGTGGCCCACACCTATAATCCCAGATACTTGGGAGGCTAAGGCAGGAGAATCACTTGAACCTGGGAGGCGGAGGTTGCAGTGAGCTGAGATTGCACTACTGCACCCTAGCCTGGGTGACAGAGTGAGACTATGTCTTAAAAAAAAAAGAAAAAAGAAAAGAAGGAAGGAAAGAAAGAAAGAAAGAAAGAAAGAAAGAAAGAAAGAAAGAAAGAAAGAAAGAAAGAAAAGAAAACAAGCCAGAAAGCCCAGGTAAAGCAAACAGCACAGTGTAAACACCCTAGACCTCCCTTAGGAGTGGGTTTATGCAACACTTTCTGTCCCCTACCCTGACCCCCATCTCCCCCGGGGGGTGAGAATCTGGCAGACTCTCAACTTCTGGCTGGGTCTTACATTTCTGGGCTCAGATCCAAAGCAAGAGCTGGGGATAAGACTTGTTTTTGACCAAGGCTTCTAAAGTTTGCCATTTCCCCTTTACTCTTGGTTCCTAGCCTTTTTTCAATTACTTTTCTTTGGGAGCCTTCCTTTTCTCTTTACCTCTCTTACACATTAATGGGAGGTGATGAAAAAGCACAAACACTTAGCTGCCTGTTTCCTGTAATGAGGCTTAATTCTATAACAATAAGCCTCTGGTAATCAAGTGATACCCCCCAACATAATAGCTTTCAAATATTCAGTGTAGGCAATAAGCCTGCATGTTATTAACTTACTAGATTTAAGATGTAACAGAAAGGTCCTCCCACTAAAGGCTACTCAAGAAAAAACTCAAAGCACTCAAGCTTTGGGGGAGTTTGTCATTCTCACAAAATTCCACAAGAGGGCACTAGGTTCACACCACCCCGGCCAAGCTTCTGATTCTCCAACCCCAGTAAACAAGTCTCCGGAGAACGGGTTTAAAAGAAGTGGAAGAGGAGAACGGACAGGAAAAATCCAGAAGCAGACTAAGAATTGCCCAAGCATCCAGAAAACATACCCTAGGGCTGTTTGTTTCCTGTTAAAATTTGGCGAGTCAATGTGAAATAAACAGGGATCCAAATTAACTAATGAGGTGGGAGGGGAGGGAGGAAGGGCTGTGGATCCCATTGAGGATTTCTTTGGGAATGGTACCAACTAAAGCACATACTCTGATCTAAATAATTTTTTGATCAGAATGCTAAATTCTCTAAATTTTTTAATTAGCTTCAATAATGTTCCAATCAATCTACAGAACAACGATCTGTACAGTGTAAATTGAGAATAAAGGACAAAATGTATCTAAAAAAACCCGATTCACAAAACAATGAAACTGGAGGCAGATTATCAGATGTGAAAAATGATCTCCAAAGAGTCCTTCAAAGAGAATCTTTCCTATGGTGTTGTTTTTTTCTGCTAATCTAGTTATTCACAAAGAAAATATATATTGAGTGTCTGCTATACAGAAGTCACTGGGTAAGCATACCCAGGATTGAGAGGTAAATGGTTGCTCCCTGTCCTCTGCACCTCCCTCAGTGAGGACTGTAGGAATTTCAGTATTTTAGAGATGGTGGCCCCGGAACAGATCACCCACAGACCAAAGCGACTAAAGGAAAGGGAACAGAAAAAGAACAGCACCTTGAAAGCTCATTAAGCTCTAAAATACTAACCAAACATGACTTCATCAAGTTACTATGAGTTATCTAAGCCTCAGTTCCTCATCTTTAAGATAGAATGATGTGAAGATCTAATTCTAGAATTGTATGGCTTTAATTTTCTCAATAGGACATTTTCCCCAGGTTGTTAACTAAGATGAACTTGATTCTTCCCAACTTTCCACGTAGTTTCCTGCTAGAGACATGATTCAGGGTAGAGCTCAAACAGACCCAAACCTTCCATCATAACACGCAGTTGGGGAAATGAAGTGTTCCTTGTATTTGACTGATTTCAGCACGCATCCTACAAAACTCAAATCAGGCTACAGATATGGCTGAGACGTGAATTTCCAATTTCCTGTCTTGAACTGAAGAATATCAAACAATCAAAAACTGTAAAGAACAATTCCTCCATTCTTAGTGCTAGTTATTGAACTGAAGTATAATGTAAATGTAGTCTTTCCTTCTCTAATTGTATAAAGTGAAATTTGAAAGCTTGGCCAACTACAGCTTTTCCCTAAATTATGGTTTAAGAATAATGCTATCAACTTCCAGAGCTATTTCTTTTCTTCTTCATTTTTATTATTATTATTTTGATTTGGTTTAAGATTCTACTATGGTCCATTCTTTTGGAAAGAACTGATGTTGGTTTATTACATAATAATAATTTTTAAAAGAATATTTTACAATTCTGGGTTGGGTTTCCAGGGTGTTCCCCAACCCTGAGTCTCAATTGTATCTCTTTAACATGATTTAAAGGTCTCACTGAATGCCTATTGAAATCATTCATACACAGGGAAAACTCCATTTCCTAAACAGAAAAGGTTTGGTCAATGTGAGCCCTACCCTAAATTTTGTGTCTAATGTGTATAAGGCAACCACACAGGCCCTGGGAAGGCACTCCAGATCCCCAGGTAAAGGACTTCATACTTGCAGAGTGAGAATGGATCCTTTAAAAGACAGAGAAAGGGCCGGGCACAGTGGCTCACGCCTGTAATCGCAGCACTTTGGGAGGCCGAGGCAGGCGGATCACAAGGTCAGGAGTTCAAGACAAGTCTGGCCAATATGGTGAAACCTCGTCTCTACTAAAAATACCAAAAAATTAGCTGGGTGTGGTGGCACACGCCTGTAATCCCAGCTCCTTGGGAGGCTGAGGCAGGAGAATTGCTTGAACCCGGGAGGCAGAGGTTACAGTGAGTGGAGGTTGCAGTGAGCCGAGATTGCGCCACTGCATCCAGCCTGAGCAACAGAGTAAGACTCCGTCTCAAAAAAAAAAAAAAAAAAAAAAAAAAAAAAGAGAAAAGTTGTTTCCTAATAGAGATAAGATTTGGGAGTAGAGCAAAATCCTAATACAAAGCTTTTATTTCAGGCAGCAGAACAACATTGAAGAAATACTTTTAATCTCAGGCTATTTCTGCAGATTTGGAACAAAATCTTTCCCTGTAATTGCTCTCCCACTCCACCCACCCCTTGGACATGGCAATTCTACTCTAAGAGAGAAAAATATGACTTCAAAGCACATGCAATGGAACCCCTTGTCAGCACTGATATGGTGTGTACCAAGAAACAGAAAAGTTCATGGGTTCAAGCATTCTAATGCTCTTTTTATGGTGGGGGTGAAGAATGGGGGCGGGTGGCAATTTAGGGAAGAAGGGGAAGGAGAAGAAAGGGCAGCAGACACAGCAAAGTCAAACTGGATGAAACAGGCTGTTTTACTTTTAACTTCTCTAAAAGTACAGTCTGGGTTTCTGCGGGTGAACCAGTTAAGGGTTTTCTTCTGCTTTTACTTCTCGCCTATGCTCAAGCCTCCCTGGTCAGTTCTTGGACTCATCTGCGCCCTAATTTCATCATTTTAAGTAAATGTGGGGCTGGCCAAGGAGGACAAGGCCTCTTGTTCACTCCTGAAAGAGTCAGTGGTCATGTATTATGTTCCTAACCCTTACAAAGCGTGCCCCTGGTCACATGAATGGATCAAAGCAAATCCATTTCCATTCTTGGAAAAGCAGCTCAAAGCACATGTTCTCTTGATGGTGCTGCTGTCACTTCTGTGTGGTTAACAAATATCATTTATTGAACACTCACCGTGGACACTACTGGGGGATATGACAATGAATAAACTGCTCAATGAGGTCAAGACATCTAGGAAGGGAAGCAGGCACTCAAATGGCAGAAATACCATAAGCCTGCAGAACCGCACTCACGCCTTACCATTCCGTTCTCTGTTATGTTTGTCATCCCCACCTCAGGGGCTGGTGGTGTGTGCAGCAGAGGCTCTGGCTTATGGTTCGGTAGTTTGGTATCTGGAAATGATTAATAACATCTTTTAAAATAAAAATATCACTTTTCTCCTCCTTTGCTCCCCTTCCTCGACCATTTAAACTCAAACCTTTACAGAAAGAGATGAAGACAGCTCACTGTGTTACCAAGGTTAAGTCCAGTTTGATATAATGAATGGTAAAGCATTACACTGAGTCAGAAAAGTTGTATTCAAAAGTCGCTATGGGGAAAGAAAGAATCCAATCACCTCAGATTATAGAACTTGGCCTATGATAATTATAATTGCTGTTTTCTAAACATTTACGATGCACCAAGGACTACTCAATCTCTTCTGCATGTGCTATCACAATTAATCCTTTTATGAGGTAAAAATGATTATCCCTCTTTTATTATAGACAAAGAAACAGGCTTCATGTGGCTAAGTGATTTGGCCAACACAAAGCTGGTATGAAGGGAAAGCCCAGATTTGAACCTAGGTTTACCTGACTTGCAGCCGTGCCTTTAGCCACCACAATGTAATGCTTCAAGGGGCAGCACTGAAATTTAACAAGGAATTTGTAAGGCACCTTACCCAATCCAAAATGTCACCAGTCTGAAACATCCCAAAAAACCCTGTTTGAGATGAATGCTGCATCTGTCATGTAAAAGCACTACAGTGTTATACACTCTTAAAGGAAAGGGATGTTGACCAAAGAAGCCAAGTTATGTGTGTGTGGTTGCAGGCAACATTTCTTTTCCACATTTGCGGTACAAAACATAACCAGAACAAACTTCTTCCCTTCCTCTTCCAAAGGCACTGGAAGCATAAATTCTTGCTCTTTAAACTGAAAGAAGCAATAAAATCTGGACACCATCAGGTAGATTTCAGGCACTAAAAATAGAATGATCGAGTAATAGTACGGATAGCAGTATCTACCTACCTACCTACCTACCTACCTATGTTGTGTCTCTAGGTACATTTCAATATTGTGTTCACATACACATTTTCCCAACCATCACGGCAAGCTGAGAGGAGAGGTATGTATTCCCATTTTCCAGATTAACAAGAAGCCGCACTTGATAAAGCAAAATCAGGGAGAATTCGTTAAAGGAATTTCTTGACAATCCCTGGACTTCAAAGGGGGCAAGTGAACACCTCGATTTCCTTTCAGCTGCTCCGGGGGCAGTTTGCACACAGAATTTCAAATCTAGTGGGCGGCTCCACAGGTCATTTTCGATGACCACTTTATTTTGCAGATGAGGAAACTTGGGCCCTGAAAGACCTGCCTAGGGTCTGGCCAGCAGTATGAGACAGGTCTCCAGACTTAGTTTCTACCGCCCTCCAGAATCCTCTCTGTAAAATTAGAGAAACAGCACGTTGATTTCAAATGTGAAATGGCAGAGTTCTGTTTATTTCCCCAGACCCAAGAGAGCCGGAGCGGGCGGCTCTTCCAGGCCTTGGGAACCCCGGCCTGTCCCCAGGCCCGCGCGGCACCCGCCCTAGCCCAGGCCCGCCCAAAGTTCCCTCGGGTCCCGCGCCCCGCGCTCCCTCTCAAGCTAACCCCTGCCCGCAGGAAGCGGGGCTCGGAGGCTCCCTCGCAACAAAAGGCTAAATTCGGTTTCCCTGGTTCCGCATTTCCCCAGGGAGCTCTCCTCGTAAAACTATTCCCCGTGAAGGCGGCAGGGCAGAGGTCCAGGGCGGGCTTTGCTGGGAGCCTCGGGACCCCGGGTTGGGGGCCGTGGGGCGGCACCTGGCGAGCTGGCGGGTGGGCGGCGAGCCGAGGCTTCCCGGCCTGGCGGCAACTCGCCCCTCTGCCCTCAGCCCTCCCGGCTCCGCTCCCTTCCCCCACGCCGCCCTGCCCCTCCCCCACGCCCCTTTCTCTTTCTTTCTTTCTTTCCCAGTTCGCTTGCCCCCACCCCAGCGGCGCCCGCCGGGCTCCTCGCCCAATGGCCGCGGGGCCCGGGACCGCATCAGCTGATCGGCCCGGGCTCCTGGCCGCTGGGAGCCAATCAGGGCACCGGGGGCGGCCCCGGGCCGCGGATAAAGGGTGCGGGGCTGCTGGCGGCTCTGCAGAGTCGAGAGTGGGAGAAGAGCGGAGCGTGTGAGCAGTACTGCGGCCTCCTCTCCTCTCCTAACCTCGCTCTCGCGGCCTAGCTTTACCCGCCCGCCTGCTCGGCGACCAGGTAAGCCCCCGGACGGCCCGGTGTCACGCAAGCGAGGCGCGCCGCCCCTGCTACCCCGCGAGGCGCGCCGCCCAGCCTCTTTTTTCGGCTGCCTGCCCCTCCAGTCCCAGCCCTACGCTGCGGCCTCTCCGGCCCATGCCTGAGATCCGGCATGAGTGCTCCTCCCGCGTGCTTCCGCCGCTGGTGGCTTGGACCCGTCGGGGCTGGCGCTGGTGGGGCGCGCCCTTGGCCAGGCTCTGGGAAGGGCGGGGTGAGTTGTTTTGATCTTCTTTTCACTACTTGCGGCCGAAGCGCCGCCCCTGGAGGCCGTTGGGCCGGCCTGCGCCCTGGGGCTCGCAGTGGTTTGTTTGCGCTGTGGATGGAGTGGCGGTGCGGTCCCCTGTGGAGCGCAAACAAGGCGCTTGGTTGGCGCGGGCGCCTGGCTGCCTTCCTCGTGGTGGGGCCTTCGGAGCAATCGTCCTGGTTCTGGCGATGGTTGAGACGCCTCGATTGCGGCGTGTAACGGTGAGCGTTGTTTGGGCGGCCGGCTCCCGCCTCGGGGTCCCGGGGGCCTTCCAATGTGACCGAACAATGGAGAGCCCGGGCCTCGGCGCAGTCAGTGGAGAAGCCGGTCCGGGCGGAGGCAGCAGCAGCGCGCAGTCCCTACGGCCTGCGCCCCCACCCTCCCCCGGACCCCCCAACCCCTCGGCGGCAGGGTATGGCCACCTCCGTGAGGCCCTGAGATTCGGACGGGGGCCCGAGGGGCAGGGCGCCCACTTTAGGGACATTTCAGTGGGAAGGGGCTGCTCTCAAAGTGGATAATTATAACTCCCTCGGGGGCGGGAAGCGGGGATCCTCCCCCAGCCGCAAGTCCACGAAGAAAGCAACGAATGAAAATTATGAAGACAACGAGAAGTCAGACTCCTCCGGGTCGCGCTCCAGCTGCTTCGGCTTCGTCGCCTACTCTGTGAACTCCGGGGAGAGATCTCGAGTCAAGATTAAGACCTTAACCCACCAACCTGCCTGTTCGGACACCCCCCGGGCCGGCCGCTGTCTGTCCCCTTCTCCATCGCCCTCTCCCAGAAAGCTCCGGTGCTTGGACCAGCTAGAGTCTGAGAAAGAGGAGAGGCGCGAACGCCACTCCAAAAAGAGAAGGGTTAAAGAGGGCAACCCTAACGATACGCTTGACTTTCTGTGGCTGGGGTGAGTGAGGGGGCAGGGAGGACGACCCCGGAGTTGGTGGGAGCTGCAGAAACTGCTGAAAACTTCAGAATCCATTTCCCCCACGTAAACTTGGCACCGCAGCAGCAGCAGTTGATAGAGTGGCACTAGGCTGCTGGCATGCAACTCGGCTCACGGAAAAGAGCAAGAGATCCGAAACTGAGGCTTAGGACAAAGTGTGCATGATATTGGTGGTGTAACATGTTGGAGAGGACAGCCGAGAAATTGGGTTGTAGGTTTTTTTTTTTTGTTTTCCGACAGAGTCTCTATCTGTTACCCAGGTTGGAGTGCAGTGGTGCAATCTCCCGGCTCACTGCAACCTCTGCCTCTGGGGTTCAGGCGATTCTCCTGTGTCAGCCTCCCGAGTAGCTGGGATTACAGGCGTGCACAACCACGCCCGGCTAATTTTTGTATTTTTAGTAGAGACGGGAGTTTCATCGTGTTGGCCAGGCTGGTCTCGAACTTTGTACCTCAGGTGATCTGCCCGCTTCGGTGGGTTGTAGCTTTTAGCGGGAGCTAAAGGGTTCTGGGATGGAGGTGGGAAGTAGGATTTGGCCGGCTGAGTCTTCTAGAGGCAATATTGGGGTGTTGGTCTTCCCCAAGGGGAAGGGTGGTGAGGCTGAGGGAGAAGCAGTTATGTTTTCAGCTGGGCAAACATGGACGGTTGCCCGTAGAAACTTTGCCACTGTACTTCAGAACGTTGCCCTAGTCGTTGGAGGAGAACAATGTGTTCCCTTTCTAGCCACCCTGGTCCACGGAGGGAGGAGGGAGAGAGAGAATGTTTCCTCTTCGGCTGTTGTGGCTTGAGAGTTTCTCTTCTTTCGGAGGTTTTGTGGTAGTGGCTGGCAGTTATTAGTATGCCTCATGGCTTTTAAATTTCCAGATCTTTTTGATTTAGAAGTGGAAATTTCCTAATTACTTGACAAGTCTTGTAGAATTCCATAATGTTGTGATTCTTGCCCACTATCTTAAGTGAGACTTTGCATGAGACCTATGGAAATTATGGCAGCATTCCCCTTAGAATCTGGCTTGAATCAGCTTTTGTGTAGGAAACTGCTAGCCTTCTAAAAAAATATATTGTAACCTTGTTTCATCCTCAAATCTAAATGTGTAATGAGTTTTCTTTTGGTGGGGAGGGGCGGTGGGTTTGAGTTAAGACCACAGCTAGGATGAAAGACAAAGAGAAAAACAAACTGTGGAAGCCAAGCCTGTTCTGTGGCTGGATTTTACTTATATTGGAAGAAGTTCTATGTTTTGTAAATTTGTGTATTGGTTTTGATTTGTTTCCTCTGATAGTTTAGTATTTGGATAGTTTAGTGTTAACCTCAGCTACACTGAAGGAATAGACCTTAGTCCTCACAAGTATAAGTTCTAGCTTGGAAGCCTGGGTTCTGCAGTAGCTGTGGAACTTAAGCCTGTGAGCTCAGGGATGCAGAGGCATTGAGTTACTACCAAGGGCCTGATCTTTTCTTTAGCAGGCATCTGTGTTAATTGTTTCAAAAGGTGGTGATCAGTTTTACAGCCTATTATAAAGGAGATTTTTGCCTACTATAAAACTAATCCCCCTGAAAGAGTGAGTAAACATAACTTTTTGTGTGTTGACTTCCACAAGGGAAGGAGTTGGCACTTACACTCTGACTTTTGATTCAGTCGTCCTTCTTGAGCCATTTTTGCAGGGGATCAGTTTGGAGTGGGCGTTAACAATGTTATTCTTTTTTTCTTCTCCAGAACACCTTCCACCATGACCACCTCAGCAAGTTCCCACTTAAATAAAGGCATCAAGCAGGTGTACATGTCCCTGCCTCAGGGTGAGAAAGTCCAGGCCATGTATATCTGGATCGATGGTACTGGAGAAGGACTGCGCTGCAAGACCCGGACCCTGGACAGTGAGCCCAAGTGTGTGGAAGGTGAGACAGCAATGTGGAGTGGAGCACATGCTGGGTGGGATCTGCAGAGGGGTGGGCAGCAGCCTTTGACTCAGCCTCTGGATTAGGCCTCTTTCTTCTGTTTGTAAAGGTTTTCTAAGGCAGGGCTTTTCAGACTTTATTCAGTCAACATTAAGCTCCTACACTGCCTCAAAGCAGAGCGACGATGGAACCCTTTATTTCAATGGAATTGTGCACGTAGGCCAGTGTATTGAAGAAAAACTAAGTCTGGTTTATGGAGAGTTGGCATGGGGCTTAGAGGTTGCCGACCTGGACATCCCCACTTAGCTGGCTCTAAGGCACCCTCAGAAAACCACTGCTCTAACCTGAGAATGCCATCTAGTTTACAAACTCTTAGAAAACTGTGTTTAATACTCATATCACTGGCTTCTAGATGTGAAGCAAATGCTCTACAATGGTTTTTAAATAGGACTAATTTTTAGTTGATGCCACTTTTGGAAATTCTTAAACTAATTGCGTATCCCTCTAGGAGCTACAGTTAGATTATAGTTGTGACCTTCATTTTTCAGTCTAGAACAAGCCATAGTCTTCCCTCTTCTGGAAAGGGGCCAGAGGAAAGTATCATATCCTACCTAGTTTAGGGTAGTTTACTTTTCCTTTTTGAGTAAGTGAATGATCATAATACAAAGCCTATATTGTGTACTTGCTATGTGGCAGATGATAGTGCACAGACACTGAAGATACAAAGTGAGAGTCTCGTCTCTGCCTTCAGAGAACTCAGTCAGCTAGAGAGACCAAGCAGCCTTCAAAACAGTGGGAAAGGTGGATAGGTGATAAGGGAGCATCCTAGAGTAAGTCATCCTGCTAGTCGTCTGTTCCCTCATCTATAAAATAAGGACATAACTTGCCAGAATACACTGGGGGCATAAGAAGGATGCAACACATTACCTAATGGAAGAATCAGAATCCTTCACTATCTCAATATTTTAAGTGATTGATAGGATGGTAGTGATAACAGAATGCTTCAGCTTGTCTCCTGGAAGACATTTGGGAAGGGAGTATCTGATATATTTCTTTTAAGGAATTGGTACAATGGTCTTACTTGGAACTCAAATAGGAAGGGCTATAAGATCAGGTACAGGTGCCAGGGTATACATATTAATGATGGCATTTATACCTTAATGAATTCCTGGAAAAGAGATATTTAGAGATGGGAAGGTGAGTGAAGGGCTGGCTGTATTTGCATTGCTTGGAAAGCTCCTGTATGTTTTAAATGTAATTTTCCCTCTTTTTGCCCCAGAGTTGCCTGAGTGGAATTTCGATGGCTCTAGTACTTTACAGTCTGAGGGTTCCAACAGTGACATGTATCTCGTGCCTGCTGCCATGTTTCGGGACCCCTTCCGTAAGGACCCTAACAAGCTGGTGTTATGTGAAGTTTTCAAGTACAATCGAAGGCCTGCAGGTGTGTTATAGCACAGCTATGGATACCCCTCCTCAATCTGTGAATGCTGTGAAGGGGAGGGAGAAGACATTCTGAAATCAGCATTGGGAAGACTAGGCAATTTCAGCACTATTTTAAGAATCTGAGTGATTCTTTTCCCTGAACTTCTGCTTTGAGGAAGAGATAATATGGCCCATCTTTCTATGGTCTTCTCTGTTGGTTGCATAAAATAGCATTGGATTTGTCCAGATCTGTTTGCCGGTCTTGGAGTCCCCAGTAACAGCCTTCCTGCCTGGAATGTAGGCCAGGACAAATGTAAACCAATGGACAAATGTTTCTCAAAAATTATAGAATGGCTCCAAGTGCCTGAGAAATGAAGAATAAATCTGACAACCAGAAGCAGCTGTCTTGTGAATAGAGGGTTAAGTGCCTGGCATTTGGTGCTTGGGAGGTGGCCAGAATGCAGATAAGGTGAAAGTTGCCCTGTTCTAAATCCACTCCCATGTGACTTGGTTGTAACTGAGTTTAGTTAAAACTGAAGTCTTTCAGAGTCTTCCTACAGATGTACAATTAACAGCTTCTCTCATTTTTCTGACTCGGTGATCCCAAGAAGGCCTATACTGGGTCAGTTCATACCATAGTGCACACCTCAGTTGTATAGAATCCAAGGACTATTCTCCCATCAGCATCGGTATTCAGCATCTATGTCTTTAGATCCCTGATGGCGTATTATTGACTCTTTTTTCTAGAGACCAATTTGAGGCACACCTGTAAACGGATAATGGACATGGTGAGCAACCAGCACCCCTGGTTTGGCATGGAGCAGGAGTATACCCTCATGGGGACAGATGGGCACCCCTTTGGTTGGCCTTCCAACGGCTTCCCAGGGCCCCAGGGTAAGTCTCCTTGGGTTAGAGGTGAAATTCCCAGAAGTGTCTAACTGTGCAGGAATGCCCCTTCCCAGGGATGGGAATGACTTTCAGAATCAAGAAGCAAAATAATACAGTAAAGGCGAAACAGCCCTCACATCACCAAAGTCCAAAAATGGATATGAATATATAAAGTAAGGTTTTAGGGGGAACGTTTGGCCCCACTGAAGCTGTGGTGAAGAGGAACTCCCCTATTGCCCCTCCCCTGCCCCGCACCTGCAGATGAAGGCAAGGATAGTGATTCAAGAGGGCAAGGCTTAAGGGCCTTCTGATCTCTGACTTTGGGATTCTCTGGATTTCTTGACTCTTAGTGTTTTGTCCTGATGCTTCTGTAGGTCCATATTACTGTGGTGTGGGAGCAGACAGAGCCTATGGCAGGGACATCGTGGAGGCCCATTACCGGGCCTGCTTGTATGCTGGAGTCAAGATTGCGGGGACTAATGCCGAGGTCATGCCTGCCCAGGTAAGTATAGCTCCAATCCATCAATGAAGAAGGGTAGGTAGGTGTACATAGGACTTTTGCTAGTAAGGGCTGCTGATACACCACTCACTAACCCAAAACCTAAGAACGGGTTGGAGTACAGGTGAGAAGAGAACAGGTTTAGGAGATTCTGAGTTGGAGTGAGCAGTTAGCTTTGTTTTAATGGCCAAGCTTCTCGTTTCTAGTGGGAATTTCAGATTGGACCTTGTGAAGGAATCAGCATGGGAGATCATCTCTGGGTGGCCCGTTTCATCTTGCATCGTGTGTGTGAAGACTTTGGAGTGATAGCAACCTTTGATCCTAAGCCCATTCCTGGGAACTGGAATGGTGCAGGCTGCCATACCAACTTCAGCACCAAGGCCATGCGGGAGGAGAATGGTCTGAAGTGAGTACCTTCTGCTGGGGCCATCTTTAATCTCCTGTGGCAGAAAACTTGGGAGGAGACTTAGCAATCTCTCAGCAAAGTCTCCTTTGCAGGATGACTTGCAAATATTTGCCAAAGATGAGTAAACTTGACTTCTCAGTCTGGACGTACTTTAGGTGTTGACACTTGCCTTCACATTCTCTCATTTTGTTCCTATTTGAAAAATACCAAATAATACTTCTGATTCACAGTGATAAATATTTGTTATAATTTATATAATATATATTAGTCATATATCATTATATAAATATATATCGATATATATATTTGTGACATATGTCATGGTGACAGGGAAAAGTTGACAAATTCATGCATTTGAAAATCTTTTAGAACTAAATTAGTAACAATACAGGCATGTGGATAAGCTTAATGCTTATGAGGGGGAGAAAGTTTCAAATGATTAGTCTTTTCAACAAACAGTAACTTTGTACTGCTTGTCGGGCACTGTTCTCACCACTGAGACACACAGGTAAGAAGATGCAGCCACTGCCCTCATGAAGTATTTGTTCTACTGGTATCATATTTTGGTGCACTTCATTCTTGGCTCCATACCTGGAGACAAGGTTGGACTGCCATCTTTTCTGTTTACTCTAGGTACATCGAGGAGGCCATTGAGAAACTAAGCAAGCGGCACCAGTACCACATCCGTGCCTATGATCCCAAGGGAGGCCTGGACAATGCCCGACGTCTAACTGGATTCCATGAAACCTCCAACATCAACGACTTTTCTGCTGGTGTAGCCAATCGTAGCGCCAGCATACGCATTCCCCGGACTGTTGGCCAGGAGAAGAAGGGTTACTTTGAAGATCGTCGCCCCTCTGCCAACTGCGACCCCTTTTCGGTGACAGAAGCCCTCATCCGCACGTGTCTTCTCAATGAAACCGGCGATGAGCCCTTCCAGTACAAAAATTAAGTGGACTAGACCTCCAGCTGTTGAGCCCCTCCTAGTTCTTCATCCCACTCCAACTCTTCCCCCTCTCCCAGTTGTCCCGATTGTAACTCAAAGGGTGGAATATCAAGGTCGTTTTTTTCATTCCATGTGCCCAGTTAATCTTGCTTTCTTTGTTTGGCTGGGATAGAGGGGTCAAGTTATTAATTTCTTCACACCTACCCTCCTTTTTTTCCCTATCACTGAAGCTTTTTAGTGCATTAGTGGGGAGGAGGGTGGGGAGACATAACCACTGCTTCCATTTAATGGGGTGCACCTGTCCAATAGGCGTAGCTATCCGGACAGAGCACGTTTGCAGAAGGGGGTCTCTTCTTCCAGGTAGCTGAAAGGGGAAGACCTGACGTACTCTGGTTAGGTTAGGACTTGCCCTCGTGGTGGAAACTTTTCTTAAAAAGTTATAACCAACTTTTCTATTAAAAGTGGGAATTAGGAGAGAAGGTAGGGGTTGGGAATCAGAGAGAATGGCTTTGGTCTCTTGCTTGTGGGACTAGCCTGGCTTGGGACTAAATGCCCTGCTCTGAACACGAAGCTTAGTATAAACTGATGGATATCCCTACCTTGAAAGAAGAAAAGGTTCTTACTGCTTGGTCCTTGATTTATCACACAAAGCAGAATAGTATTTTTATATTTAAATGTAAAGACAAAAAACTATATGTATGGTTTTGTGGATTATGTGTGTTTTGCTAAAGGAAAAAACCATCCAGGTCACGGGGCACCAAATTTGAGACAAATAGTCGGATTAGAAATAAAGCATCTCATTTTGAGTAGAGAGCAAGGGAAGTGGTTCTTAGATGGTGATCTGGGATTAGGCCCTCAAGACCCTTTTGGGTTTCTGCCCTGCCCACCCTCTGGAGAAGGTGGGCACTGGATTAGTTAACAGACAACACGTTACTAGCAGTCACTTGATCTCCGTGGCTTTGGTTTAAAAGACACACTTGTCCACATAGGTTTAGAGATAAGAGTTGGCTGGTCAACTTGAGCATGTTACTGACAGAGGGGGTATTGGGGTTATTTTCTGGTAGGAATAGCATGTCACTAAAGCAGGCCTTTTGATATTAAATTTTTTAAAAAGCAAAATTATAGAAGTTTAGATTTTAATCAAATTTGTAGGGTTTCTAGGTAATTTTTACAGAATTGCTTGTTTGCTTCAACTGTCTCCTACCTCTGCTCTTGGAGGAGATGGGGACAGGGCTGGAGTCAAAACACTTGTAATTTTGTATCTTGATGTCTTTGTTAAGACTGCTGAAGAATTATTTTTTTTCTTTTATAATAAGGAATAAACCCCACCTTTATTCCTTCATTTCATCTACCATTTTCTGGTTCTTGTGTTGGCTGTGGCAGGCCAGCTGTGGTTTTCTTTTGCCATGACAACTTCTAATTGCCATGTACAGTATGTTCAAAGTCAAATAACTCCTCATTGTAAACAAACTGTGTAACTGCCCAAAGCAGCACTTATAAATCAGCCTAACATAAGATCTCTCTGATGTGTTTGTGATTCTTTCAAATCCCTATGTGCCATTATATTTCTTTATTTCCTAAAACAGGCAAAATAAGCTCAAGTTTATGTACTCTGAGTTTTTAAAACACTGGAGTGATGTTGCTGACCAGCCGTTTCCTGTACCTCTCTAAGTTGGGTATTTGGGACTTAAGGGATTAAGTTTTTCACCTAGACTTAGTTACACACAATCTTGGCATTTCCTAGCCTAGAGGTTTGTAGCAGGGTACAAGCCCCACTCCTCCCCCTTCCTTTGCTCCCCTGAGTTTGGTTTTGGCTTACCATAACATTGTTTTGACCATTCCTAGCCTAATACAATAGCCTAACATAATGTAAGATTAACTGGCTTTACGATTTCTATTCTCTGCTCTCAGTGATAAGAAACAAATATTAGCTACCCTGCTACCCTGGTTGAAGCCTTCCAAGGCTGGCTATGCCCTAGGCATGGGCTCATCCTTGGGTGTATCTTGCCTTGCAGGAAGACCAGTGGACCGATTGTGATTCTCAAAAGCTCTGTGTTGTCACCTGTGCCCTTGCCCCTTGCTCTTATCTTGGTCCGTGTATCTGGGAGTTCTTCCACCTTATCTTGGCCAATTCCTACCTTCGTTCATTCCTCATGAGGTTGGGTAAAAGCTCCCTCCGGCTCCCATGATGCTGTGCATATACCTAGCAAAAAGCAATTATTGGACACATTGGAGTGCAATATTATTAATAGCATTAATACTACTAATAATGTGGGCAATAGTGATTGTTTTTAAAAGGCAGTATACTCTTACCAGTGCGAGGTAGCTGGGGCCTGTGATAGTTTTTAGAGATAAGTTCTTCAGGCAACTGTGTATTTTACACTAGTCAAGTAATCCTAGATATCCGTGGTTTTTCTTAAGAAAGTTGGCTCGTAATATGATTTAATATTCAAAGTAGAGTCATCTACCTATTAGCTTGCTGGCGTGGTCCTAGTTTATGCCTGTTTCAGCATGATTGTTGAGTACCCTGTTTCATCCTTAGCATTTTCTTGATTTTGTTGTTAAATGATGTATACCCTTATTTCCATTGAATCTGTGCTTCCACCCCCCCAACTGAAGTTGTCTTCCCTTTGCTTGGCCACCCTTACAGCCTCTTGGATGGTGTATCCTACAGTGTAAGCACTAAACTGAAGAGGCAGTGACCTGAGCACTTTGGATTTTGTTCATTGTAATCAATTCCATGACAAAATGATTGCATGAGAAGGAATTTTAAATTCATAGGATCAGAATTTAGGTGAAAACAACCAGCATATTTGTTTCTTCACCCTCTCACCTAGAATTAGCTTTGACCTACAGGTCACAGTGCAATCCCCTTGTATTTCTAAGGTGTTTTTTATAGTTCATTTGCAGACAATGGGTTATGTGATAACTTTTATCAGTGATAGATTAAACAGAATAATGACCAAGCTTTCAACCTTAAGGAGTCAGGCCAGTATTTACAAAAGGAGGTCTCCATGAACTCCTTAAATATGAGTTCCCCTAATATCATCTTGCCAGGTACTAAATAACAACTGATAGCACAAGCTATAGGGAATTTGAAAGAATTCCATGGATGGGTGTTGTCTAGGGCCTTTTGTTGTTTTTGAGACGGGGTCTGACTCTCACCCAGGCTGGAGTATAGTGTGGCGCAATCTTGGCTCACTGCAACTTCTGCCTCCCAGATTCAAGCGATTCTCCTGCCTCAGCCTCCCAAGTAGCTGAGACTACAGGTGTGCACCACCATGCTCAGCTAATTTTTGTATTTTTAGTACAGATGGGGTTTCACCATGTTGGCCAGGCTGGTCTTGAACTCCTGATCTCCCAAAGTGAGGTCTTGAACTGGTCTTGAACTCCTCCACCTCCCAAAGTGCTGGGATTACAGGCGTGAGCCACTGCACCCGGCCTAGGGCCATGTAAAAAGCCAGATCTGTGCTGCTGTCTGTGTAGAAGGGTAGACAAGTGGATGAGAAGTTCCTGAACTATTCTTGGCCCTTTTACCACTAAGTGAAAGTAACTTGCTGCCCCAAAGAAAGATGTCTCATCATTCGACAGGACTTTCTAGTTGAACTTCATGAAAGCAAGAGATCCTGTTTTTCTTGCTCACCACTGTATCTTGAGACCTGTTGTAGTGCCTGCAATACTTATTTAATAAGTTATTTTTAAGTATCAGTTTTGTGAGCTTTAACTCTATGAGGTCTTTGTTGTTTGACTGTATTTTAACTCTGGCCATGACAGCAAGACAAAGTTCCATTTTTATTGAGCTTAAAAAGAATCAAGGCCAGGTGAAGTGGCTTACGCCTGTGATCCCAACACTTTGTGAGGCTGCAGCAGGAGGATCTCTTGAGCCCAGGAGTTTGAGACCGTTCTAGGCAATGTAGTGAGGTCCAGACTCCACAAAATAATTTTTTTTTAAATTGCACGCCTGTAGTCTCAGCTATCAGGAGGCTGAGATGGGAGGATGACTTGAGCCCAGGAAATTGAAGCTGCAGTGAATTGTGATTGCACCACTGCACTCCAGCCTGGGTGACAGATCAAGACCTTGCCTAAACAAAACAAAACAAACAAAACCCCAAAAAACAAATTGAAAATGTTGATTCTTTTTACTACAAACATTATGGCAGCACTAAAAACTTCGTGGGAGTGTACTGTGGAAAATAGTGTACTTAATTAATTCTCATTGTAATCAGGCTACCAAGAGCCTTGTGTTGCTTTAAGAGTTATAACTGCCAGGCACAGTGGCTCATGCCTATAATCCCAGCACCTTGAGAGGCCGAGGCAGGTGGATCACCTGAGATCGGGAGTTTGAGACCAGCCGGGCCAATATGGTGAAACAAGCTGTGTCTCTACTAAATACAAAAAATTAGCCGGGCGTGGTGGCACATGCCTGTAATCCCAGCTGCTTGGGAGACTGAGACAGGAGAATTGCTTGAACCTGGAAGGCGGAGGTTGCAGTGAGCTGAGATTGCAACATTGTACTCCAGCCTGGGCAACAAGAGGGAAACTCCATCTCAAAAAAAAAAAAAAAGTTGTAACTGAGGCTGGGCATGGTGGCTCATACCTGTAATCCCAGCACTTTGAAAAGCCGAGGCAGGTAGATCACTTGAGCTCAGAAGTTCGAGACTAGCCTGGGCAACATGACAAAACCCCATCTCTACAAAAAATACGAAAAATTAGCTGGGCGTGGTGGCATGCACCTGTAGTCCTAGCTACCTGGGAGGCTGAGGTGGGAAGATTACTTGAAGCTGCAGTGAGCCATGGTTGTGCCACTGCCCTCCAGTCTGGGCAACAAAGTGAGACCCTGTCTCAAAAAAACAAAAAAAAATTATAACTGATGTAAACTGGCAGTTTAGGCTGGGTGTGGTGGCTCAAGCCTGTAATCCTAGCACTTTGGGAGGCCAAGGCAGGTGGATCACCTGAGTTCAGGAGTTCGAGACCAGCGTGGCCAACATGGTGAAACCTTGTCTCTATTAAAAATACCAAAATTAGCAAGATGTGGTGGTGGGTGCCTATAATTCCAGCTACTCAGGAGGCTGAGGCAGGAGGATCGCTGGAGCCAGGGAGGCAGAGGTTACAGTAAGCAAAGATCACTCCACTTCACTCCAGCCTGGGCAAAAGAGTGAGACATATCAAAAAATAAACAAATAAATAAATAAATAAGTGGCAGTTCATCATTTAACTCCAAAGACTTTGCGTACATTTCTACTGAAAACAATCTGAGCTGATTAGAACCCTGCCATTTTATAGCCTTTAGCTCGATCTCCGACCGTTCATTTAAAAAAATTCTACTTCAGGCCGGGCATGGTGGCTCAAGCCTGTAATCCCATCACTGTAGGAGGCCAAAGTGGGCAGATCACTTAAGGTCAGGAGTTTGAGACCAGCCTGGCCACCATGGTGAAACCCCATCTCTACTAAAAATACAAAAATTAGCCGGGCTTGGTGGTGAGCACCTGTAATCCCACCCTGCCGAGTGGCAGGCTGAGGCAGGAGAATCGCTTGAGCCCAAGAGCCGGAGGTTGCAGTGAGCCAAGCTTGCACCATTGCACTCCAGCCTAGGCAACAGAGTGTGACTCCATCTCAAGAAAAAAAAAATTCTATTTCATTTTACAATATGCAGATATATGTCCATACACATGCATAATATAAATGTATACCATATTTGTGAGAATATGCATATATGTACACATTAGATACACAATACAAGCACAATACATATGTCTTTTGCCCAAGATACAGCATTTTGTAAAGGAGACAGGAATTTAGTAATATATGTTCCAGAAACAGTACACAAGAGAATTCGCCGAGATGAGAAAGTTGTCACTAGGAATGGGGAGTGGTAAGATGTAGAAGGTATAATTGTTCTTAAAGTTCTACTGCCAACTCTTTCCAATTAATTACCCACTCTGCCATGCTTTATGGACAGGAGGTTGTCGGACACTGTCAATTAATAAATATTTGAGCATGATACACTGCTTGGAGCTCCTCTAATATAGGAGAGTGATATCCTAGTGCATGTTACAGAGGGAGTGTCCACACAGTTCCTATTGTCATTTGATGAGTTACTTTTCAGGGGCCTTGTACCTGAGCAAGTTGTCCTCTTTTTGATGGATTTCAGATTGAGTTACCTGCATTGTCTTGAGATTGCAGCGTGTTTCCTCCACTGTACGGCGTAGTCAGCAGATCTATTAGTTAAACTCCAGTGGGCCCTCAGTCACTAAATCTATCCTCTGTGTTGAAGGCTTTCTGCATTTGCCTTTCAATAAAGGTTTAGAATAACTCCTTCTCTGTGACTCTGTTTTACTCCTCTATTGACAGTAAATTGAATCAGCATTTAAGATGTGAAAAAATTAATAATCAAATGAAATGGGGGTCAAATAGGCACTAGTTTGGTGTGTTGGGGAAAGCATATGAATGAGGGGTGGTCAAGTGAATGGTCAAGTCTCCTTTATGACCCTCCTTTTATAGCTAAAGGTTGTCACTGGCAGCACCAAAAGGAAGGGGACTCCTGGGCCCATTGCTATGTATCCCAGTTTATTCTCAAATGATTTTGTGAGCTGTTTTGGTAACTGTTTAAATAAGGCTACAGAATGAAATGTAGTATCACATTGTGGGAGGAGAGGGAAAAGGATTCCTTTTTTCGTTTTTTGGAAGAAGTGAACACTTGCCTGGACTCTGGGAAGGAACCTGTGATCTAATTAGCTAAATTTAGAGAGACAGTACAGTAAGAGAATGCACTTTTCCAGAGCTTCCTTTGCAAGAGAGGATCCATCTCTTCAAACAATCTACCACCAGGCTCATTCCTAGGTGGGCCTAAGATCCAGAAACTACCAATCTATTAACATTTTTATATAAATACTGCTATGGCATAGCACTTAGCCAAGGAAGCCTTCAATAAATGTTTGTTGTTTACATTATCAGAGAAAGGTCACTACTATGTCACTGGCTAAAGAAAGTAGGTAGAAGGCTGGGGTGTGAGGCCTATTAATCATAGTATTAATCATAGGTATTAAAGGTTTGTGTATGAGCTGCCTCACTCCTGCAGTAAATTCCAAATTACTTAGTTCAGAAATATCCTCCTCTTCCTGATGCCAAATGCAGGGCCTTTGGGGTGGTCATCTGAAATGCTATGTCCTGGAAGCTGCTGAGTTTCCAGGTTCTTCCCTTCTCTTGGAAGAGGATGGTTGGGAATATACTTAGATTATCTGTGTCATTAAGTGATTCACTCCTCCAGGAATTGACACCATTCTTTACAAAATCAGCCTGAGATAAGCTATGACATCCCCAAAATTCCTTCCAAATTTGGAATTTTATGCTGTGAACCATCACACCCAATATTGAAGTTAAGCAGTTTTTGGTTAAATGTGCTACCTTAGAGGGTAAAAGAGCTCCTCCAACTTATGACTGGTTATTTGTCATCAAGGTTCACAGCTGAATTCAGTGTTGGAGAAGTTGGAAAAAGATGAACAAGCTGTTTTGTTTTGTTTTGAGACAGAGTATTGCTCTGTCGCCCAGGCTGCAGTGCAGTGTCGTGATCTCGGCTCACTGTAATCTCTGCCTCCTGGGTTCAAGGGATTCTCCTGCCTTAGCTTTCCAAGTAGCTGGGATTACAGGTATGCACCATCACACTCAGCTAATTTTTGCATTTTTAGTAGAGACGGGGTTTTACCATGTTGGCCAGGCTGGTCTTGATCTCCTGACCTCAGGTGATCTGCTCACCTCAGCCTCCCAAAATGCTGGGATTACAGGTGTGAGCCAACATGCCTGGCCATATTTTAACACAGCATTTGGGTGTCATGGAGGGGTAGGGAGGGGCATATGAGGCAGCATTTTATATTAGTAGTGATAGGAATATTTAATCATAAAATGATTTAGCATACATTTATTTCAGGTTAGGAAGAACCATTTCTCTCTGTTCCAGGGCTCTGGCTTCTGTGCTTTAGGAGTCCTAAAGCTATATAACCATCATCCTCAGGTAACTCAGCCCAGCACTTTCTAACCCTGAGGGTTTATATATCATTTAAAAGCATCGGCTGGGTGTGGTGGCTCACACCTGTAATCCCAGCATTTTGGGAGGCCGAGGCAGGCAGATCACCTGAGGTCGGGAGTTCGAGACCAGCCTAGCCAACATGGAGAAACCCTGTGTCTACTAAAACTACAAAATTAGCCAGGTGTGGTGGCGCATGCCTGTAATCCCAGCTACTCAGGAGGCTGAGGCAGGAGAATCGCTTGAACCTGGGAGGTGAGGTTGCAGTGACCCAAGATCACGCCATTGCACTCCAGCCTGGGCAACAAGAGTGAAACTCCACCTCAAAAATAAATAAATAAATAAATAAATAAATAAATAAATAAAAGCATCACAAGTGTACTATCTGTTGCTGCATAACAAATTACCCCAAAATGTAGCAGCTTAAAATAAGAAATATTTATTATCTTATACAATTTTGAAGGATCAGGAATCTGGGAGTGACTTAGCCGAGTGCTTTTGCATTGAGGTTTCTTAGCAGGTTGCAGCCAGACTGTGAGGGCTGCAGTCTCTGAAGATCTGACTGGGTTCAGTTCCTTGCCATGTGGGCCTCTTCATAGCGCTGCCCATGCCATGTCTTTTTCCGGAGTGAGTGATCCAAAGAAGAAAATGAGAGAGAGAAGCCTCAGTTCCTTTATAAGCTAATCTTGGAAGGGACATCCCATTACTTTTACCATACTTCATTTGCTAAAAGTGAATCACTAAATTTCGTCCATATTCAAGGGGAAGGGAAAGCTCCATTTCTTGAAGGAAGAGGTATCAAAGAATTTGTGGAACTATCTTTAAATTACCACAATGAGCAGTTTGGCCCTGAGAAAATAGTCAAAGTTAAAGTGTTATCCTAGGGAGAAAGGTTTTGGTTTCCTTTGATTCCTTTAATATCATAAGTCCTTTAATAATATCTTCTTGGCTGGGTGTGGCAGTTCATGTCTGTAATCCAAGCACTTTGGGAGGCCAAGGTGAGAGGATCACTTAGGCCCAGGAGTTTGAGACCAGCGTGGGCAACATAGTGAGACCCCATCTCTACAAAAATTAAAAATGGGCCGAGTATGGTAGTCCCAGCTACTTAGGAGGCTGAGGCAGGAGAATGGCTTCAGCCTGGGAGATGGAGGCTTCAGTGAGCTGTAATCCCACCACTGTACTACAGTCTGGGCAATAGAGTGAGACTGTGCCTCGAAAAAAAAAATGGCTGGGTGTGGTAGCTCACACCTGTAATCCCAGCACTTTGGGAGGCTGAGGCAGGTGGATCACCTTAGAACTCTAAAAACAACTTAGAGTTCGAGACCAGCCTGGCCAACATGGTGAAACCTCATCTCTACTAAAAATACAAAAATTAGCCAGGTGTGGTGGCAGGCACCTTCAATCCCAGCTACTCAGGGGGCTGAGGCAGGAGAATCGCTTGAACCCAGGAAGTGGAGGTTGCAGTGAGCCGAGATCGTGCCACTGCACTCCAGCCTGAGTGACAGAGTGAGAGTCTGTCTCAAAAAAAAAAAAAAAAAAAAAAAATTGAAATGCTCCCAAATCTGGGTGAGTTAGTCTCAAGAGAGATCTGAAGTTTGGTGCACATGGAACATCTAAGCTCTCTTCAGCTGATCCTCCTCATAGCCCAAAAAAGCCCAGAAGTGCCGCGTACCAGTATTTTCTTTTCATGCTGGGTTTCACCTGGCATGGCAGGCAGCATATTATTTTGCTTTTGCTTTCATAAGCCGTGTTATATAACCAACATCTTGAACAATGATGCTGAGCCAACTTAGAGGTCACAGCAGAAGGGGAGGGGAATGGGGAGGAGAACAAAGAAACAGAGAATTAGGAAGGAGAGAGAAAGACCGGAGAAGTGGAAGGGAAAGAGAAAAAAAATGGAGGCAAGACTGGAGACAGAGTGAGACTATGTAATTTCTACTGCCTGTTCATATGTTCTTGGGCTCTAGTGGACAGGATATGCTACCTGAAAAGTTCTTCTTCCCTCATTTTAGCTGGGCATCAGGTCTTCAGCTCACACTATTGGGAGGAGCTAGCTGAGTGCCAGCATCCTGCAGGAATCCCTATTGGAGGCAGCAGCTGCCTGGCATGGTGTGGCACTGACAGTTCTTGGTGGAAGGCAAACAGACATGAATGACATTGCCTCCATCTGCCCAGCCTTCATCACAACTCCATGCTGACTATATGAGTCTGGAGGCTGGTGAATGGGGAAGCACGAAAGAGCCTGGAGACCTGAGGCCTTTCTCCTATTCTGTATTTCAGAAGAACATAACTCACTATTTAATGTTTCAAGCATATAAAGAATCTTCTTTTCCCACCAGTGCATGCTCAATGGAAATTTCATTGGCTGTTGGTGCTCAAAGATGTTGGTGTGTTAATTTTTTTTTTTTTTTGGACAGAGTTTCGCTCTTATTACCCAGGCTGGAGTGCAGTGGTGTAATCTTGGCTCACTGCAACCTCCGCCTCGCAGGTTCAAGCGATTCTCCTGCCTCAGCCTCCCGAGTAGCTGGGATTGCAGGCACGTGCCACCACGCCCAACAGATTTTTGTATTTTTAGTAGAGATGGGGTTTCACCATGTCGGCCAGGCTGGTCTCAAACTCCTGACCTCAGGTGATCCACCTGCCTCGGCCTCCCAAAGTGCTGGAATTACAGCCACCATGCCCGGCCTGGTGTATGAATTTTAATCCTAGAATCTCAGAATTGAAAGTCATCCTAGGTCAGTCACCCTAAACTTATTTTGGGTTATTCTCCTCTTTGATACTCTGGTTAAAACAAAACAGCCACAAATATTCTCTCTTGAAAATATGCTTTAAATATAATTTCAGTGTGTTTAAAGTCTCCCTGAAGCTCAACCAGGGATTGGGGTTAAGAATCTCTTGTCTCCAGGTCACTCTGTTTGTTTAGGAATCTTTTGTAAAGAATCTTTTGCTGTATAGTGCTGCACTATTAGGTGGTCATCCAATATATGCTCAAACCCTCTAAGGCAGGGAGGTCAATATATAATAAGGAAGCCCTTTCCATTTATGAACTGCTTTATGATTTTCTTTATGATGAGGTCATATGTGTCTCTATGTAGCATTTGCCATTATCCTTATTTTGCCCTCTGAAACTATACAGACCAAGCCTGATGCTTCTTTCACATGGCAATCCTTGAGAGAGTTGAAGACAGGACTCACATCTCCATTGAGTCCTTTTTGTTTTTTCAGATTAAACATTCTCAGTTACTTCTGTTTCATCATGACTTCAAGATCTTTCACCTTCACTGGGAACAGTGGCTCATGCTTGTAATCCCAGCATTTTGGGAGGCTGAGGCAGGAGGATACCAGCCTGAGCAACATAGTAAGACCTCATCTCCATAAAAAAAAAACAAATTAACCAGGTGAGGTGGTGCACACCTGTAGTCTCAGCTACTCAGGAGGCTGAGGTGGGAGGATCGCTTGAGCCCAGGAGATTGAGGTTGCAGCAAGCCATGATTGCACCAGCCTGGGTGACAGAGTGAGACCCTGTCTCAATAACAACAAAAAAAGATCTTTAACCTGCCAGCTCAGCTCTCATTCCTCTAGATATTCTCTGGATTGTCAACCCAGTTCTTTAAAAGGCCAGTTCTCTAAGGCTAAGCAAATGTCTATTCAGAAGTTACACCCATAAGACCAGTCTTAGGGAACTATTCTCCGGATTGATAATCCAAAAAATATCTACAGGAATGAGAGCTGAGCTGGCTGGTGAAAGGTCTTTTTTGCTGTTGTTAAGACAGGGTCTTTTCTGAATAGGCATCAGAAGAAGCAGATGCCTATTCAGAAGACACCAAATTTCTAATTAACATAAAAATGTCACTGACTTATTTGAAGTCTTATCACACCTGTTCCTTTGCAGTCCTATTAAAATCCTGAAAGAAAGGATACATTGCTCTTAAATCCAGCATCTGTCCACTTGCACTCTTGATTTTTGGGACATCATAAGGATCTAAAGTTTATCCTCATAAAATTTTATCCTGCTAATTTGGTACATCTTTTTCAGGCCATTGTGATCTTTCTGAATTTACCTTGGTTCTCTCTCTTTGAGTTACTGATAGATTATTAAGTGCATTATTATAAATTATTCAATCAAGTAAATGACAAAAAGCTGAATGGGGGCACAGGTCAATAGAACATTCTGTTGCAAAACTTCAAAAGTCTTCCTTTCAGGTTAGAATCAATGTTCTATGAATAGTGATTGCTTCACCAGATACCATCTATGTAACTTTCCTTTATCCAGTTCATTTTTTTAGCTTGTTTTGTTTGCTCATAAGAGGTTTTATTTCAAATGTCTTACTGAAATTGATGCATTATGTCAAAATAAAATATTGTCCTTATCTGTTAGTCTGGAGACATTATTTGAAAAAAGAAAAAGAAAATCTGAGTTGTCATAACTTTCTCTTCATTAGCCTATTTGTTCATCATGATCACAATTTTTGTTTCTGATTACCACTTGAAACTTTGCTCTAATAATTTTTCTATAATTTTGCCAGTATTACAAAACTTGTCAGTCTCATTATCAAAATTGTATTTTAAGAAATGTAGGCTGGGCGTGGTGGTTCACATCTGTAATCCCAGCACTTTGGGAGGCTGAGGTGGGTGGATCACTTGAGCCCAGGAGCTCGAGACCAGCCTGGGTAACATGGTGAAACCCCAACTCCACTGAAAAATACAAAAATTAGCCAGGCATGGTGGTGCGCCTATAGTTCCAGCTACTCAGGAGGCTGAGGCATGAGGACCACTTGAACCCAGGAGGTGGAGGCTGCAGTGAGCCAAGATTGTGCCATGGAACTCTAGCCTGGGTGACAGAGTGAGACTTGGTCTCAAAAAAAAAAAAAAAAAAAAGAGAAAGAAAAAGAAAATAAAAAAAAAAGAAAGAAATGTGGGCAACATTCACCCAGCATATAGTATACTTCTGTTCTGAACATTTCTGCGTGTTTACTGAGAATGGTTCCAGGATCTCATTAGCAGGTATTTCTCCTTTTCCCTAGTCCTGGAGGGCCTCACTCCCTGGACCAGAGATTAGCAGGATTTTTGCTTCTTTGACTCAAGGGAGGATTGGGTTACTGGGTGGAAATGCAAAGCTGCTGCAAGGCCACCTCTCCAATAGTCCTTAGTGAAAGCTCAAACACTGAATCTTATGGGGAATGGGAGAGGAGGCTACCCAAGAAAGGGACCCCCCGAGAATCCTTGAAGGAAATATTCCCCAAGACAGAAAAGACATTGACATTGCTTGTGGGAGATGAGGGGATGCTGGGAAGGTGAGAGAACTTTTTAGAAAAATGGAATGGACTATAGGACCTGAAGAGGCTGGTTCAAAGAACTGAGCAGGCCACCTGCTTCCGAGAGACCACAGGATCTTTAACCATATAGCTGCAGCCACTTGCTACCTTTCCCTTGCTTTCTGGGCACTAGGTAATTCTCTTGAATTTATTTCCAAGTCTGGGCAGGGATACGGACCCCAGCAACACTGCAGAATTTCCTGCCAGGCTGACGGGATGAAGGCTCAGAGTTAAGTGAGAGCTTCATTTTTAAAAAGAGAGACAGGGCAGCCCTTTGGGTGTGAGGGCAGCTAGAAGACATATGAGGGAGCTGCGTTTGCATAGCAGGGACACTATTTTTACTTAGTTTGTAAATCTATTTGGAATGGCTGAGTAGGGATTCTAATGGTATTACTAAAGCCACCAGGCCATGTCTCAGCACCACCATTATTGGCTTCAGATTTAATTTGATTAAAGCAAATGAAATAAAGTGACATGGTGTGGGTGCAAATTCAGAACCCTCTAACCTGTTACTGGCATCTGCTTCTGGTGTCTAGCCAAGTTCCTAGAAGATAATCAGTAAATGTTGTTGAAGGAGTGGATGAATTCTTAGGGATCTAAGCTATTTGCTTGTATTCCTCTATCTTTTGAGCTTGTGCTTTAAAAAATTATAAGCTCTACAAAATTCTATATGATAAAAGACTTTATCTGAAAAGTCTATTGTTGGCCGAGCATGGTGTTTCACGCTTGTAATCCCAGCACTTTAGGAGGCTGAAGCGGGTACAAAAATTAGCCAGGCGTGGTGGCATGAGCCTGTGGTCCTAGCTACTGGGGAGGCTGAGGTGGGACAATCACCTGAGCCCAGGAGGTTGAAGCTACAGTGAGCCAAAATTGTGCCACTGCACTCCAGCCTGGGCAATTGGAATGAGATCCTGTCCCCTGCCCCTCACCCAAAAAAAAGGTCTGTTGTTTTTTTTCCCTGCATTGTAGTTGTTGCATGCTAAGTTGTGTTGACTCATTTAATTGAACAATAACTCTATGAGGTAGTGTTACTATTACTATCCCCATTTTATTATTATTATGTGTGTGTGTGTGTGTGTGTGTGTGTGTGTGTGTGTGTGTTTGAGACTGAGTCCCACTCTATTGCCCTTGAGTGCAGTGGCACCATCTCTGTTCACTGCAACTTCTGCCTCCCAGGTTCAAGTGATTCTCTTGCTTCAGCCTCCTGAGTATCTGAGATTATAGGTACCTGCCACCACAACTGGCTAATTTTTGTATTTTTGGTAGAGATGGGGTTTCACCATATTGGCCAGGCTGGTCGCGAACTCCTGACCTCAAGTGATCTGCCTGCCTCAGTCTCCCAAAGGGCTGGGATTACAGGCATGAGCCACTGTGCTTGGCCTTACTATCCTCATTTTATAGAGAAGAAAATTGAGGTACTTAAAGGTTAAATGACTTGCCAATGACCAAACACTGGTAAGAAGCAGTAAGGATCTGATCCCAGGTAGTGTAGCCCTGCAGTTTGCTAGGACTCAGAGTCTTTTTTTCTCATCCTTAAAATGGCAGTGAGAACTTCCCTATGTATACCATTGTATGAATGCGACAACAGCGTGTGTTTATTTTAGTTGCAAGAGTTACGGATCTCTTTCTGTTTTAATTTTTTGTGACATGGCACCGTTTTATTTTAGAAACTATATTCTTCTGCCAGACAACATGACTCGTGCCCGTAATTTCAGCACTTTGGGAGGCTGAAGTGGGAGGATCCCTTGAGCCCAGGAGTTTGAGACTAGCCTGGGCAACATAGAAAGACCCCATGTCTAATAAATAAATAAATAAATAAATAAATAAATAGCCAGGTATGGTGGTGCACGTTTGTCATCCCAGCTACTCAGGAGGCTGGGGTGGGAGAATCACTTGAGCTCAGGAGTTTGGGCTGTAGTGAGCTATGATCATGTCACTTCAGCCTAAGCAAGAGTGACACTGTGACTCAAAAAGAAGAAGAACAACAAAAAAGAAACTGTATTCTTGGTGCGTGGTCCTTTGCTTTCATGTCACAGAAAAGGCACATTTATAACTCAGGGAAGTTTGACTTCTTGGTGCCTCCGTGTTCTGTCTTCTCCCTTGCAAAGCAGAGCCGTCCAGTTTTTAATGAACACTGACTGGGAGGTGACTTTCTGCTGGGATAGAGAAGGGAGAGAACAAGAGAAGATCCTGAAGGAAATATGTCATATCCTTTTTCGCTTTCCTTTGTGATCTGAAAAGACTTAAGCGTAACAAAGATGGCTCTAATATATTTTTAAAGTACTGCAGTGGGAGATAAAATAAACAGATGGGAGGGAACACAAACAGCTTGAATTTTCCCCTATGATTCTCACTGTTCACTGGGCTCCCTCCATCTAAGTACTACGGGATAGCAAACCTGTCGCAGCTTCAGGATATTCCTATAAGGCAGGTAGAGGGGAGATTCGAGTAAAGAAAGGAACACAGCATTTAAGGGTGGTGTCCCTGAAGTCTCTAAAATGCTTTCTCAATATGAAAGTGGCAATTAGTATGCAGCGAGTATATTCTTTGGCCACATATGTTTTGCTTTTCAAAAAGCAAAGCACTTATTTGCATGCTATTTGTTTTTAACTGTCAGGGAGACACTAGACTAAGCTAGAAATAAACTTTCACCTTCCTTCCACCTTTTCCTCAAACATCACAACCATAGAAGAGTCAGTCCTCTGAAATTCCAAACTACCCAAGCCAAAGACTTCTGTGTTCTTAGCACCATTTCCTTTCTATACCTGCAGTATGAGATAATTGTAAACTTTAAAAATCACTCTAGACCTAACTCCAGAGGAGGGAGAGAGGGAGTATGTATTTTTATGAACCATCTCAAATGGTTCTTATTAGTTCAGTTCAGGAAATACCTAACAGCCGGCTTTAGAGTGCTGAGCAAAACCTTGATTTTGGACTCCAAGGACTTTTGGTCACTCTCCATCTGGCACTGATTTACTTAAATTCATCCAGATTAATTTTTTTATACTTGTAGAGTGGGAATTATAATACTCTAAACTGCAGATGAGAGCTTGTTGCTAAAAGCCTAGTCCCCTCCTCCGTACATTAAGACTATTCTGGACCATACTTTGAGCTGATTACCCAAGACCAATTCCATCAAGCCCCCTTCCCTGTTTTTCTGTTTTGTTTGGTTTTTTTTTTTGTTTTTGAGATGGAGTCTCGCTTTGTCACCCAGGCTGGAGTGCAATGGCATGATCTTGACTTACTGCAACCTCTGCCTCCCAGGTTCAAACGATTCTCCTGCCTCAGCCTCCCAAGTAGCTGGGACTACATGTGCGCACCACCATGCCCAGCTAATTTTGTATTTTTTAGTAGAGACGGGGTTTCACCATACTGGACGGACTGGTCTCAAACTCCTGACCTTGTGATCCACCTGCCTCGGCCTCCCAAAGTGCTGGGATTACAGGCATGAGCCACCACACCTGGCCTTCCCTGTTTTTCTGAATTCAGCAGAGCTTCAAACCTCAAATTTTATCACAGGGTCTTCACACCTACACTGCTCCACACAGTCCTTAATGCGGACCAATGTACTCTTCTCTTCCTCATATCACACCTTTCTAACTGTGCTCCCTGGGGCCCCTGGTTTGTGGCTTTGTTTAAAGTCCTAACTTATTCTCTGCACATTCCCCCCATCTCATTGTCTTAACAGACAAGGCTTTCCTTCACGGCCAGCTGGACGTATGAGTCCAGAGCTCTTGGCTTCCCAGATATCTCCATGGGTTCTTGGCTCTTCCTCATCCTCCACACCACATCTGGCCTTTCCTTTTCAATCTCTTTACCTGGCTTCTCCTCCTTTGACTGGCTCCAACCTCTAAATTTTTGAGATTTTCCAGAGCTCTGTTCTAGACTGTTTTTAATGTACTTCTCTCCATAAGTAATCTCATTCCGTTTACATGTCCCAATCTTTAGTTTCAGTCCATATCTCTCTCTTGGGCTCTGACTTGTACATCCCACTACCTACTTGACAACCCCACTTGGATTTCTCCCTTTTTTCATTTTTTATGACACCACACCATTGAATGGATTTCTAATAAGAATCTAAAACTTGAATATGTCCAATATGGAACTACTGATTTCAGAGCCCTTACCTTCCTTCCTTCCTTCCTTCCTTTATTACTTTCTTCCTTCCTCCCTCCCTCCCTTCCTCCCTTTCTCTCTCTCTCTCTTTCTTTCTTTTTGAGGCGAGGTCTTGCTCTGTCACCCAGGCTGGAGTACATGCAGTGATGCAATCATGCCTCACGCCAGCCTTGACCTCCTGGGCTCAAGCAATTCTCTTACCTCAACCTCTTGAGTAGCTGGGACCACAGGCATGTATCACCATGCCCTGCCAATTTTTAAACTTTTGTGGCAACAGAGTCTCACTATGTGGCCAGGCTGATCTCAAACTCCTAGACTCAAGCAATCCTCCAGCCTCAGCCTCCCACAGTCTTGGGATTACAGGTGTCAGCCACCACACTTGGCCTCAGACCCTCTTTCTAAGACTCTTCTTCCTTATCTCTCTGGCACCTTCCATTGTTACCCTACACCTGGTGATGAACCTTGATTTCTCCTTTCCACTTATGGCATGCTTTCTCCCCATCTTGTCCATCAGCAAATAGTGCACATTTTATTGACAATTATATTTTGAATCCTTCCATTTTTATCCTCTCTACCATCAATTTCTAGTCCAAGTCACCATCATCTCTCAGTCGTAATTATATTATACCTCATAAATGGTCTTTCTTCTTCAACTGTAATCTTTAATTAATTCCCCAACAGCAACCAGAGTAATCTTTTAGAAACCTAAATCAGATTATGTCCCATCTTTCCTCAAAATTTTTTTTTTTTTTTGAGACAGAGTCTTGCTCTGTTGCCCAGGCTGGAGCTCAGTGGTGTGATCTTGGCTCACTGCAACCTCTGCCTCCCAGGTTGAAGCGATTCTCGTGCCTCAGCCTCCCGAGTAGCTGAGATTACAGGCATGCACCACTACTCCTGGCTAATTTTTGTATTTTAAGTAAAGATGAAGTTTCGCCATGTTGATTCAGGCTGGTCTTGAACTCCTGGCCTCAAGTAATCCACCCGCCTTGGGCTCCCAAAGTGCTGGGATAACAGGTGTGAGCCACTGTGCCCAGCCTCCTCAAGCTTTCTAATGGCTCTCCGCCATTGTTGTAATGAAGTTCAAACTCCATTCTCTCATCTCTTAGACCCTGTACTGATCTGGACCCTCCCTGCTTCTCCAGCTTCATGTCAGAGCAGGGTGCACTTGCTCCTTGTATTCAGCTCCACTGTCCTGCTTTCAGTTCTCAGGCCACTCCAAGACAATGACCTTTGAATTTGCTGCTTCTTCAGGCCCAAGAGGATCATCCTGAAGTTCCAAGAAGAGCTGTCTGATTCTCACAGGTCTCAGAGAAGCCTTCTATCATCACATCATCTAACACCTCTACTCTTTCCTCTGTTAGGTTCCATCACATCAACTTTAGGATTTCTTTTAGGACAAGTATTATAATTAGCACAATGTTATCATCCTTCTTATTCATTTCTGCGTTTGTTATCTGTATTCTTTAGAATAATTATTATTTCCAGTATGATATACTAGAAAGAGTTTGGGACTTGTAATCTAGATTAATTTTAGGTGTCATTATCTATTACAAGATCTTGGCAATTTACTGTCTCTGTGCCTTGCTTTTCTCATCAGTAGAATAAGGTTAATGTAGAATTGTAAGGTTGTTGTTAGGATTGATGACATAACATCTATAAAATATTGCTAAAGATAATTTTTCCTACTACTGAACACTGGGTGTGGCATTTCTAAAGATGTTCACATTCACAAAATTACGTCCCAATAAGGTTATTTTAAGAATGATTTAAGAAGCCTTTATGGAATGTTTTTGCTATAGTTTCCTTCCCAACATAATGGCATGAATGAAGAAATGCTCTACGCACCTTCAATGTTCTGGGCAAACTAGTAGAATGGACAAGAAAGGAAGAAAAAGCTTTCTTTTTTTTTTTTTTTTTTTTTTGGAGACAGGATCTCACTCTGTTGCCCAGGGTGGAGTGCAGTGGTACGATCTCGGCTCACTGCAACCTCTGCCTCCTGGGTTCAAGTGGTTCTCTTGCCTCAGCCTCCCTAGTAGCTGGGATTACAGGCACCTACCATCGCGCCCAGCTAATTTTTTCATTTTTAGTAGAGACCGGTTTCACCTTGTTGGCCAGGCTGGTCTCAAACTCCTGACCTCAAGTGATCTACCCGCCTCAGCCTCCCAAAGTGCTGGGATTACAGGTATGAGCCACTGTGCCCAGCCTCAAAAAAAGCTGTCTTGACCCACATAGTGAAAACCCAGTGAGGCTCAGGGAGAGCATCAGGAGATCCAGTGCAGTCGAGGTAGCATTTTAAAGCAGCTCCATGCAAACTCCTGACTTGGGATGTTCAAAATAAGACTGGCCATTGGAGTTTTGGTTCCTTAGTGACTTTTATTCAAAAGTGTGCTTTCTTTTCTTTTCTCTCTTTTTAAAAAATTTTTTATTTTATTTTATTTTATTTTTTTCTTGAGACAGGGTCTCACTCTGTCACCCAGGCTGTTGTGCAGTGGCACAATCATGGCTCACTGCAGCCTCGACCTCCTGAGCTCAAGTGATCCTCCCATCTCAGCCTCCTAAGTAGCTGGGACCACAGGTGTACACCACCGTGTCTGGCTAATTTTCAATTTTTTGTAGAGATGGGCATCTCATTTTGTTGCCCAGGCTGGTCTCAAACTGCTGGACTCAAGCAGTCTGTCTGCTTTGGCCTCCCAAAGTGCTGGGATTACAGGTCTGAGCCACAGTGCCTGGCCTAAGAATTTGCTTTCTTTACTCCTAGAAGTTAAGCTCCAAGAGTAAAGACGCTACTCCTTCTATTTCATTTAAATTCTAACTTTCTCCCAGCTCCTTTAAATCATGTATGTGTGGAAGGGAACTTTTGTATAAAAGGAAAAATAAACAAACACTAGATTTAAAAACAAGTTTTGGGTCTGGGCACTGGTTCTGCTAGACACAATTTAGGTAGAGAAGGCTCCAAACCTTTCTGGCAGGTTGAAGTCACTGGCAGCCTCTCAAGTATGGTTAACGTAAATTGGGACATCTTTTGGGGAGCGTAGTTTTGCAATTTTAATCATTATTTCCAATGGACATGTCATTTTGACCCAGGAACTCTCCTTCCAGGAATTTATCTACAGATGTACTTGCATATGTGCACAACGGCATATGTACAGGAAAGTTCATTGCCCCATTGTTTATATTAGCAAACTACTGGAAGAAACAACTGATTAGATAATATGGCCCATCTACATATAAACATTATGCAGTTGTTAACAAGAATGAAACAGATCTATGTGCATTGGTAAGGAAATTGAAGCTATGCCGTTCAGTGAACAAAACAGGTGCAAAACAGCATATTGCATCCCACCATTTGTGTGTGTGTATATATGCATATATATAAAAGCACACACACACACTCCAGACGCATATACTATCCCTGGAAAGTCTACAATTACTGATATCAGTGACTTATTCTAGGAAGGGAACCTGGAGGCAGGGTTAGGAGAGAAATTTGTGTTGATGTTTTTCTCCAAGCTTAAAGTGTTTTTTTTTTAAACAATGCATTTATGATCTTTTCATAAGATCATAAGATCTTATGAAAAGATTTCAGTGAAGGAGCAGTATCTGATCTTATTGCCTTTGGCAAGTCAGTTAATCTGAGATTCAGTTTCATCGTCTATAAAATGGTTACAGTGATGTACAGCCCTCAGGATGAAGTAAGGCTGCTGCATTTACGTGACAAAGCACACTGTAGGGAACACAGCAGACATCTCCCTTTTTGTCCCCCCACCGGGGGTAGAGCCAGTGGAGCGTCATCTCTCACAGCTTGGGTTTCCTTTCTGAGGCCAGGAAAGTTGCTGTAGATGCTGTAGCTATTTAAATCGACTGACCTTTCCTTCTAGGGCTCCAGGACACCTCTATCTTAGGCTGGCAGTGACTAAGGTTACTGATGACAGAGGTTGCTGGGGGTGTGTTGGGAGGTGGGGCAGGGGTGGGAGTGAGCATTCATCAGATACGTATGACCCACTGGCTCACAGGCTTTGCAACTTTCTCTTGATAGAGATGCCTGCCTGGAGACTGGTAATCTCAGAGAAGATAGAAATAGCAGGGCTCTTGACTCTAAGTCCCTGCCTCTTCTAGGCCTGAAGTCTCTCCAACGCTGTCAGAGCTTTCTTCTACTTCATTGCCTTGGCTGCCTGAATCTCTCTCCTGAGGGTAATAGAGCTTTGTCAGAGGAGCAGGGTTGGGCTGACAGGCCTTCCAGAGGACAGGATAGGGAAACGGATAAGAATGTTTCATTGCTGGGTGTGGTGGCTCACGCCTGTAATCCCAGCACTTTGGGAGGCAGAGGCAGGTGGATCACCAGAGATCAGCCTGACCAACATGGCAAAACCCCCTCTACTAAAAATACAAAAATAAGCTGGGCGTGGTGGTGCATGTCTGTAGTCCCAGCTACTCAGGAGGTGGAAGTTGCAGTGAGCCAATATCGCCCCACTGTACTCCAGCCTGGGTGACAGAGTGAGACTCTGTCTCAAAAAAAAAAAAAAAAAAAAAAAAAGAAGAAGAAGGACATATCTCCTTAAGAGGCACTGACAGTATATCATTGTCCCACCTGGTTTCTTCAAGCCCAGTGATACCACCAAGGGAAGGTCTAGGGGACTTTAACCCCCATCATGATCTTCATCAGCTCCCCTCACCCCCATCCCTATCATACAATCTAAACAACACAGTGTGCTTGGCAGCTCCAGACAGTAAACTCATGCCACATAGACTACCATGGCTTACTGGAAAACAAGTGCCTCCTAGAGTTAAGCTCAACCTGCTCAAGGTTGAACATCTGAACTGCTTTCTACAAAGCTTTATGCAAATATTGTTCTGGTATGAGAAAACTCACACAGAGCTCCATAGCTTTTATTTATAAAAAGCTCTCATGAAGTGTTAGATATTTGATCAAATTTTACTCTGGATCTTCCTTCCTTCCTTCCCCCCCTTCCTTCCTTCCTACCTTCCTTCCTTTCTTTCTTTCCTTTCTTTTTTTTTTCTTGAAATGGAGTTTCACTCTTGTCGCCCAGGCTGGAGTGCAATGGCATGATCTCGGCTCATGCAACATCCCCCTCTCAGGTTCAAGCAATTCTCCTACCTCAGCCCGTGTAGCTGGAATTACAAGGACCCGCCACCACGCCCAGCTAATTTTTATATTTTTAGTAGAGACGGGTTTTGCCTCGTTGGCCAGGCTGGCCTTGAACTCCTGACCTCAGGTGATCTACCTGTCTCAGCCTCCAAAAGTGCTAGGATTATAGGCGTGAGCCACCACAACAGCCCACCCTGGATATTTCTGAGACGTGGTCTTAGATGAGATTAACATTTAAATAAGTGAACTCTGAGCAAAGCATTTACCCTCCCTAATGTGAGTGGGCCTCATAAAATCAGTTGAAAGTCTTAGAACAAAAGACTTGATAAAGACTTAGAACAAAGGATTTGCTCCCTTGAGCAAGAAGAAATTCTGCCTGCAGAATGCTTTGGTACTCAAACTGCAACTCTTCCCTGAGTCTCCAGCCTGTTGGCCTACCCCACCAGATTTTGGACTCCTTAAACTTCCACGACTGCATGAACCAATGCCTTAAAATAAGTTTTTTTATTTCTCTTTTTCTCTCTTTCATTTTACCCATTTATGCAGATATAGATATAGATAATCTCTTGTTGGTTCTGTTTCTCTGAAGAACCCTGACTAATACAGGGAGTATAATTTTGTCCTATGATCAAATAAAACCTAATTAGATGATTTTTATCAATTATCTTACCAAAGTCAAAATAAAGAAGAAGCATGCATTGAAAAAGCTGGCAAAAATATATTAAATGTTAAAATTAAATGGTGGAACTATGGCTGATTTTCCCAATTTTTTTTTCTTCCCAGAAAAAGGAAGCCTCTTACATTTTCTAAATGTTTAGTAATGAGAATTTGCTTTTTTATAGAGACAGGGTCTTACTCTGTCGCCCAGGCATGAGTGCAATGGTGCAATCTCAGCTCACTGCAGCCTTGACCTCCTAGGCTCAAGTGATCCTCCTGCCTCAGCCTTCTGAGTAGCTGGGACTATAGGCACGCACCACCACAGCCGTCTGATTTTTAAATTTTCTGTAGAGACAGGGTCGCACAATGTTGCCCAAGCTTGTCTCAAACTCCTGGGCTCAATAGGTTCTCCAGCCTTGGATTCCCAAAGTGTTGGGATTACAGGCATCAGCCACCATGCCCAGCTGAGAATGTATTACTTCCTAATGAAAACATTTAAAGGCACACTCACCCTCAGCTGGATTTCATCTGATTCCCACAACTCCTCTGCATGAGAGGTAGATTATCCTCACTTAAATATCAAGGAACTGAGTCTCCAGGAAATAGTGTGATTTGCTCAAGGCCACACAGCCGGGTAAGAGGCAGAGCCAGGATTTCAGCGCTGGTTTTCTAACTCCAACCTCAGTGCTCTTGCCTCTACATAATGGCTGCATTTTATGGGATCCTAGACCTGAGAGAGGGCAGCATCAAGGGTATGGTTCTTTCTAGACTAGCTTTTATGTTGGACAGAGGAAAATGGAGAAAAATGCACATGTTCAAAATTATTTTCTTAAAAACATTTTTTATATATATATATATATATATATTTCTCCAAAAAAGAGAAATGGTTTTGTTTGTTTGGTTGGTTGGTTGTTTTAGATATGGGGTCTCATTGTTGTTCAGGCTGGAGTGCAGTGCAGTGACTATTCACCAGCTTGATCATTGTACACTAAAGCCTTGGACTCCTGGGCTCAAGCAATCCTCCTGCTTCAGCCTCCTGAGCAGCTGGGATGACAGGGGTGTACATGATGAAAATTTTGCATACCATTTCTTGGGGCTCACTGTCCCCACCTCACCAAGTATCTGTGAATCCCACATTATACTCCCTGCTTAGACTAAGAGAACGGGAGATGTGGCCACTTCATCCCCTCCCCCTCTTCCTTGCGCTCAGCAGACACTGTAGACTCTGACCCTCTTTGGCCCATGCTCAGCCCCTTCCTGGTTCCCATGGTGTTCACACGGAAATCTGCATCTCCCTTTTGTTCTTCCTCTGCCGTTATTTTCACCCCTAAAAAAACTAAACTTCTCATCTGCCCCTATCAGAGCACAGGAGCAAGGCAAGGATGACCTGTTGACCCTGAGAGGAGGAGGCGGGGATAGAGGACAGTCGGGGGTTGGTGGGAGGAAGTAGCTTGGGACAATGGAGACAAAGCGCTAAGGGATGAAAAAGGAGTTGGTGAAGAGCACAGACTCTCTGAAGGCAGGATTATGTGAGTTCAAATCTCAGCTCTGCCCCAGGGTGTCTATATGACCACAGGTGAACGATTTAGCCTGTCAGAATATCTACCTCACAGGGTTGATGTAAAAATCAAATGAAGTAAAGATATAAACAGTAAATTTCCTGGTATATGCAGTCCATGTTTACTTTTATAATCCCTAAACTAGCTGTGTGACTTGGACCACTTATTTCCTCTCTCTGACCTTCAGTTTTCTCATTGATAAAGTAAGGGGTTTGGACACAAGTTCTTTTTCACTTTCAAGTTCAAGTCTCCTGACCTTCTTTTAGCCATTGGAGAATACACCCAAGTTTCTATCCAAGTGCTGGCTCTATGAATAGACAGCTGCCTATAGAGTGTAGTTTAAATGGTCACATTGCCCTTGCCACTTGGCATCTACAATTATAACTTTATGCTTTTGGATATTACAAATGCTCCACATTTTTAAGAGTGTCCAGGCCAGGCATGGTGGCTTACGCCTGTAATCCCAGCACCTTGGGAGTCTAAGGCAGACAGATCACTTTAAGGCCAGGAGTTCAAGACCAGCCTGGGCAAGCCTAGCGAAACCCCATCTCTACTACAATAAAAAAATTATCCGGGTGTGGTGATGTGCACCTGAAGTCCTAGCTCCTCAGGTGGCTGAAGCAGGAGGATCCCTTGAGCCCAGAAGTTCGACGCTGCAGTAGCCATGATAGCGCCACTGCACTCTTGTCTCACAGAAAGAAAAAAAATAAATAACAACAACAACAACAAACATAAACAGTGTCCAGTGAAGTTTATATCCTCTGGGAGATCCTAAAAGTAAAAAAGATGGAAGGACACTAACAGCAAAAAAGAGGCAATAGGTCCCCTGGGAGGTGGCCGAGGAGCATGACTGTAGCCTGTCACAATCTAAAATTCTCACTCAGCTTGCTCCTTCAGTCTTACCAGATATTTCTTTGGCCTAGACAGGCGTATCTTCCTTTTTTCCTTGACTCCATCACTTATCAAGATATTACCATATTTTTTTTCTTCTGCTTACTGCTAGATTTTAAGAAAGAATGGTCAACCCCAGCCACCTCCACTGGCAAGCCAGCTGGTCACACCCCCAACCTCCCTGCCTCTCTGAAAAGCTTGGCCCAGTTTTCTTCTCAAAATCTTCTTCCCCTTAGTGTCAGTGACCTGGCACTCTTGTCTCTTCTGACTGCTTTTGACTTTCAAACAGCCTCTAACTCTAGTCTAGCCAAGCCCAGGCCCAAAGGATTGCAAGGCTCAGGGAATCATGTTGGGGGATATTTGGCCCGTCCAAAAACATCAAGATTACCTTGGGGAAATGTGACCCTCATAAGAGTTTAGACCCTGCAATTCCATTTCGAACGTGTGTGCCATTCTTTTTCTTCTTTCTTCCAAGCTCTGTTCCTGCATCCCCATCCCAACTCTACTCTTCCCTCTTCTGCTTTTTAAGCAAATGTTCAGGGAGCTGCCTTGGCAGGTTCAAAACAAACAGCTGCCAAGAGCACCACTCCCTCCTCCTGCCCACCTGCTGGTGCTATAAATAGAATGGGATCTATACCCCCAAACACTGGAGTCAAGTTGCCAACGCTCAACCCTCTAGCAGGCCGTTCTGCTGCCCTACTCTTGCTTGGGGGATCTTAGGGGAATCTGAAGCCCCATAAATCCCCTGGCTCCATTTCATGATTCCCTCTGTCTTTGAGGGCTGTGGCTCCTTCTGGGCTGGCACATGCCCTGGGCCTCAGGGTATCCTAGGGTAAGTTAGGGTGGAAGAGCAATTCTTTCCTATTTTCAAAGCCAGGCTAGGCAAGCTAACTCCTTTCAGGTATCTCTATTCCTTCCTAAGGATGAGGTTTCCTAAACCCCAGTGAGTTCATTAAATTGCATTTGTCAGCATGGAATGAAAACTGACTGTGTGCTTAACAAAAAATGTTTGTTTTTCTCATGTAACTAGGTTAGGAGTAGTTACCAGGACTGTGCAACAGCACCCAGATGTCATGATGTCCAAACTTTTTCTTTTTTCTTAATTTTTTAAATTCTCTCCCCCAGATTGCTCAGCAGAAGTTTTTTTTCCAAACACTTTACATGTTTTTGCTTTGCCATCCTTAGAAAGTGGCTCTTCTCCTTATGGTCTATAGATGGCCTTTTGAATCTCCCAGCATCATTTCTGTAATCTAGGCAAGAAAAAGGCATGAATGGTAAAGGGCAAAAGGCCAGGTGGCACTTACTAGCTGAGGTTGCCCCCATCCCCCGTTGCTTTTGTTCTTCTGCCTCTGTAATTACAGAAAGGGTCTGCCCCTTTGACAAGCCCTTTCCTGGATGCAGCCCCTGTTTGCATCTCATTGGCCAGAACTGTCACCTGGTTGCCCCTAACATGCAAAGGAGGCTGAGGGTTTTTTGATTTAGGGACTTTGCCACTGAACACCAAGTCAGGGTTCTCTTAGAGAAAAGGAAAGGGAAAATGGATACTTCGTAGGTAGTTAGCCCTGTCTGCCATAAATAGGACTTTTTCTTTTTTTCTTTTTTCCTTTTTTTTTTTTTGAGATAGTCTTGCTCTGTCGCCCAGGCTGGAGTGCAGTGGCACGATCTCTGCTCACTGCAACCTCCACCTCCCGGGTTCAAGTGATTCTCTTGCCTCAGCCTCCCAAGTAGCTGGCATTACAGGCACCTGCCACCACGCCTGGCTAATTTTTTATATTTTTGGTAGAGATGGGGTTTCACCATGTTGACCAGGCTGGTCTTGAACTCCTGACCTCCAGTGATCCGCATGCCTTGGTCTCCTAAAGTGCTGAGATTACAGGCGTGAGCCACCATGCCTGGCCAAATAGAACTTTTTCCACAGTACCCACAATAAGTTCACAAATATTTCCAAGCCCTGACTCTGCCACCGTAGATCATCCATGCTCTCTCTATATTTGGGCAATACAGCATAATAGTTAAGTCTAGACTCCGGAGTCAGAAATGTGTTCCAATCCCTATTCTACCACCCATTAGCTTTGGGGGCTTGGTCAAGTCACTCAAGGCCCCAGTTTTCATACCTGTAAAGTGGGGATAACAATTGTTCCTACCTCCTATGGTTGTGGTCAAGATTAAACAATTTAATAGATACATAGCACATGCTATATAATAAGAATTCAACAAATATTAGCTATTATTCAGTTGTTGTACAGATCATACTGAATTATATTTTAACTTATATCATTTAAAAGATGGTGAGCTCCTTGAGCAAGGTTGCTACTTCTCTCCTCCTCCACTTTTAAGTGTTGAAAGCAAATATTTTTAACTACACAAGTGAGACATAAATTCATCTGCCTTGTAAAAATTTAAAACATCACAGAAAAGGCTAAAGTCCTCTTTGACAATCCTACCCTTTACCATCCCTTTCCCCAACCCCTGGAAGTACACATTGTTACCAATTTACTGTTTTTCCTTCTGACCGCTTCCTATGTATTTAATATGCATATATATACCCACAGAAAATAAGTGTTTTTTTTTTACCCCCTCTGTGGACATGAAGGTTTTAAAAAATGTCACTTGTATCACATTGTTTGAATCATCCTTTAACTCCCTATTAAAAAAAGAAAGTTCAACCATATAGCTTGGCAACCATGGCAAAAGTAAAAAACACGTGGTTTCCCAAGTTTTCTTTACTTTTCCCAGACTGCTTTCTGGTATTTCCTAGTATGGATAATACTATAGGTTATTTAGCCAATTCACTATTAATTGACAAATAGATTATTTTCAACTTATGCTATTGTGAAATAACTGCACAAAGAATATCTGTATACATATGCCTCTGATGCCTATGTAAATACCATAAAATGAAATGTCTGCGTTTCAGAATGTGAGCATCTTAAACATTTAAAGATATTGCCAAATAATCTTCTCCTCTCTCCCAGAGATAGATGTATCTAAGAAAGTTTTTTTCATCTTTAACTCAGGAATACCTTTGGGTCTAGCAGTCTAAGCTCAATAAATGTTTGTTAAATTGCACGCCCCACCAAGATTTTATCTGGTGATTACATACAGAATTTGCTATAATACATCCTGAGGTCTCCTTAGATTGTTTTCTGTGTTTGAAAATTCTGTTGAGTCTAATGTTATCTCCCTCTAACAGCATACTCTGGTCTTTTTCTGCCCCTTAGGTCAGGGAGGACAAATCTAATTCCTGTTTCACATGATGTGCCCAGCCTGTAACAGACTGAAATTCCTACCTCTTCCCCTACTACCCTCATTTTTAATTTTTCAAGGTTTTTGTGAAGATAAAGGGGATAATCTTTGTGAAACCAGTATCCAGTTCTGTTCAAGGCTGGAATGTAAGTATAGCACCAGTATGTCCCAGTTTTTTAAGACAGATTTCTCTTTCTTTCTTTCTTTCTTTCTTTCTTTCTTTCTTTCTTTCTTTCTTTCTTTCTTTCTTTTCTTTCTTCTTCCTTCCTTCCTTTCCCTCTTTCTTTTCTTTCTTTTTTTTTTGAGATGAAGTTTCACTCTTGTTGCCCAGACTGGAGTGCAGTGGCGCGATCTCGGCTCACTGCAACTCTGCCTCCCAGGTTCAAGTGATTCTCCTGTCTCAGCCTCTCGAGTAGTTGGGATTACAGGCGCCCACCACCATGCTGGCTAATTATTTGTATTTTTAGTAAAGACAGGGTTTCACCATGTTGGCCAGGCTGGTCTTGAACTTCTGACCTCAGGTGATCCACCCACCTCGGCCTCCCAAAGTGCTGGGATTACAGGTGTGAGCCACCGTGCCCAGCCCAAGGACAGATTGCTTTTTATGTAATGCACTTTTACTTATTTGAGGTTTTTGGATACGCATACAATCACGTGGTTAAAAATACGAAAAGGTATATGTTGAAAAGTCTTACTCCCATGCTTACCCCTCATCCTTTTGGTTCCCAACTCCTTTATCCATGTCCCAGGTAACCACTTTAATCAATTTCTTGAATGTTATTTGAGAATTTATTCAAGTACTGGTACATATGAAAAGACATTTTTCTCTCTCCTCTCTGAGCCCTGCTGAGCCCCACCTGTGTTCTACCCCTTGGTTCTTTCGATTCACATTATATCTCAAAGATATTTCCACATGAAAACACAGAGAGCTTCTCTATTAGAGGAAATTCCTGACAGCTTATCATTTCACCAATAAATATTTCCATAAAAATTTTCTTCTTTTTTTTTTTCGAGACAGAGTCTCTGTCACTCAGTCTGGCGTGCAGCATTGCGATCTAGGCTCACTGCAACCTCCACCTCCCAGACCTAAGCGATTCCCCCACCTCAGCCTCCCAAGTATCTGGGACCACAGACATGTGCCACCATGCCTGGCTAATTTTTTTGTTAGCTTGAATTACTGAGCTCAGGCTACCCGTCTACCTCAGCCTCCAAAAGTGCTGGGATTACAGGCATGAGCTACTGCACCCACCATTATTTTTAATATATATTAAAAATAATATATATTAAATTATATATATATATAATATACAATTTGGTAAGTGGGAATAATATGTATAATTTGATAAGTGGGAAATTTTGATAAGTGGGAATTGCTATAGGTATATGTATATATAGATAAAGATGTAAATATACATATACATACACGTTACTTTTTTTGTTATTTAAATATTTTATAGAAATAAATCCATTAATCAGAAAAACAACCCATGGTTTTAATTTTTTTTAATTTTTAATTTTTTAAATCTTTTGTGAGATGAAGTCTCACTCTGTAGCCCAGGCTGGAGTGCAGTGGAACGATCTCTGCTCACTGCAACCTCCGCCTCCCAGGTTCAAGCAATTATCTTGCCTCAGCCTCCCAAGTAGCTGGGATTACAGGCGTCCACCACCACGTCTGGCTAACTTTCGGTTTTTGTTTGTTTGTTTGTTTAGTAGAGATGGGGTTTCACTATGTTGGCCAGGCTGGTCTCGAACTCCTGACCTCAAATGTTCAGCCAGCCTCGGCCTCCCAAAGTGCTGGGATTACAGGCATGAGCCACCATGCCCAGGCCCCATGGTTTTAATCTGGAGTTCATTAAATCTAATCACTGCAAGCAGGGGCTGAGCAGCACTGTGAAGGCTGCCCTCTGGGAAGCAGTGCTGGCCTCTTTCCTTTGGGTCTTCTCAAATTGCTGTAGATTTTATTTATGTATCTATTTTGTAATATTGTTTTTTTCCTGGGAGCATAGATTCAAGTTTCCCTGAATACATACTTTCTTGATTTTAAATACCTGCTTATATTAATATTCTCACATTTTCATGATTAAGAAAGCCATTAATTTTCTGAATCCTATCCTTGGTTTTCATTTTACAAGATTTTTCTTACCTTACCCAGATTTCACTCCGTGGGTTTCAGCCCCAGCACTATTGGCATACTGGGGAATAACTTTTGGCTCTGGGGCTGTCCTGTGCATGGTAGGATGTTCAGCAGCATCCTTGGCCTTTACCCACTAGATGCCAACAGCATTCCTCTCCCCACATGAAGGCACGGACACGACTCACTGCAGCCTTGACCTCCTGGGTTCAAGTGATCCCCCCTGCCTTGGCTTCCTGTGTAGCTGGGACCACAGGTGCATGCCACCCCACTCAGCTATTTTTTTTATTTTATTTTTTGTACAGACAGGGTCCCACTATGTTGCCCAGCTGGTCTTGGATTCCTGGGCTCAAGTCAGCTAATTTTTAAAAAATGTATTTACCTTTTTACATTTTCTTTTTCTCATTTTAAGTTTAATTCTAAATATGGGACTCTGCTTGGTAAGGCTGACTAATTTTTTGATTGTTTGTAGAGATGGGGTCTCACTTTGTTGCCCAGGTTGGCCTGGAACTCCTGGGCTCAAGCAGTCCTTCTGCCTCAGCCTCCCAAAGTGTTAGAATTACAGATGTGAGCCACTGTTCCAGGCCTCCCCAACTTCCATATTAATAATCAAATATGTCTGCAGACATTGCCAAGTGTTTTTTAGGAAGCAATCTCCCCACCTTGAGAAATACTGCTGCAGCCTTAGAGCAAAAGAAGGAAAAATAGAAACACCTCATAGTCTACTAGCTAATATCCAAACAGAAAGAACTATTAGACTGAAGTATGCTTCTGTTTCATTTTCCGTTCCAGAGCCAAGTACTTGTTCACCTAACCAAGAAGCTCTAACTTATTAGTTTAAAGAAGATTTGAGAATAGAGGTGGAAGCCAAAGGATAATGAATAAATTTGTTAATTTATCTTTCCAGCCAGTGACTTTGGTTGATATTTCTTCGCAGTCACATATCTCAAGTACTGTTTGTCTTTTTACTTTTGATAAATCGTATTTTATATATGTATGTTGTGAATCAATGCCTTGTTTTCCATTAAATGTCTCAAAGTTAACTTGATGAAGTTGAAAGTTTTTTATATGTGACAAATTTATATCCAAGTCTTGATTAATTTCTGCATCAAAAGTTCTGTTTCCTTTTCAGTGTTTCTCAGAATGTGCATTCAGTTTTAGAGTTGGCTACTGGCTTTGGATGAGAAAGTGGAAGAGAAGTATGAAAGAGTGTCCTCTGTCCTCCTTCTTGAGACACAACTTGTTCTTCTTTTCAGAGGGAAGAATAGAACAGAATTTCCCAGCCTAGAACATAAACATGCTGTCAGATGCCTGGAAATCCTGCTTGGCTGTCAAAGACCAGTTCACTTGCCTGCTCTTCTATGAGGTTCCTGAACCGGCTAAGCAAAACAAGTCTGTCTCATCCTTTCTTTCTGGTAATGTTTCAACACTGCCTGACATCATGCTGAAGTGGGGACACATGTCCCCCTTTAACCTGGCCCCTCCATTTGGCTGTGAGCACTTTATGGTCATGAACTTTTTTATATGTATCCCTGGAATCTCCAGTGCCTATGATGGCACTTGGCACATACTAATTGCTAAACAAATGTCGTTTAGTTTGGATTGTTTAAATCATTGAACCTTCTCCTCTCAAACCTTATGACTGCTTTAGAAGTATTTATTGTTTCTTCCTTTTGGAGTTCATGTCTTTGGAATATTCCTTCCATGCCCAGAGATCAGCATTGCTTTCTTACATTCAGTGAAAGATAAATTTCATCATCACGATCATCATCATCATCACTATTAATAAGTAACTTTTATGTGCCAGACACTTTAACATAATCTTATCCAATATTTTGCAATTACATTGCAAAGCAGGCATTGTTATACCCACTTCTCAGATGAATTAGAAAGCTGAAGCTCAGAGAGGTTGAGTAACTTACCCAAAGTCACCAAATAATAAGCAAACTAGAATATAAAATCAGATCTCTAATTTCTAAATATTTACTCTTTCCACTGTGTCATTCCAGTATGTCACACAGGGTAGTCTCAGGGGAAGCTCCAATGTGGAATGGAGTAAAAGCTTTGGTCAAAGACATTTTTATTTTCTTCCCTGAGAGACATTCAAACCCCTAGTGGTTGCTTAGATTTCTCCTGTACAGAAGAGAATGCTTTACCTGTTAGGGTTGGAAGGACACACCTGGAAAATTAGTGTGTTTGTGGTGATTCAGGGACCCCTTAGAAGGGTCGCCTAGGGTAGTAAGAACTCTCTGGCATGGTCCAACCTCATTTCCTCCTGTTCAGTAGGTCATATCTCTGGGATTGTGCAAGGAAGGGAACATTTGAGGCAAGGCCAGCAGGAGAATGTAGAGTGGGGCAAGCCTGGAGAACATCACAGCTCTAACCAGAACTTTCTCATGCTGACTTCTGAGTGACCACTTGAGCAATTCATTGTGTAGTTTTTCCCACTCTTTTGCTCCCAGTGTATATTGGATAGTGACTAAGACAATTTCGAGAAGAGGGCACTACCAATAATTACACTGGGATATCAGATTGCAACTAGAACTTTCCTGGCGAGACCAGGATATACGTTCTCCCTATTTGGAAGTCCTGTTTTCATGGTTTCTCAAAAGCCCAGAGTGCGAATGCCTCTGAGACACTTTGGGTTTTGTTTGTTTGTTTTGTTTTGAGATGGAGTCTCACTCTGTTGCCCAGGCTGGAAGGCGGTGGCACGATCTCAGCTCACTGCAACCTCTGCCTCCCGGGTTCAAGTGATTCTCATACCTCAGCCTCCAGAGTAGCTGGGATTACAGGCACGTGCCACCATGCGCAGCTAATTTTTGTATTTCTAGTAGAGACGGGGTTTTGCCATGTTGGCCAGGCTAGTCTTGAACTCCTGACCTCAAAAAATCTGCCTGCCTCGGCCTTCCAAAGTGTGGGGATTACAGGCATGAGCCACTGCACCCGGCCCGCTGAGACCCTTTGAACTGGCTGGGAGACCTCACAAGGTAGTACAAATTGATGGGGCCTTACCCAAGCTGGATAGCTTTGGATAAGCCATGCAACCTCTCTGCATTCAGTTTCCTCACCTATAAAATGGGTACAGTGGTATTTATCTCAGGAGCTCACATGGAGCAAATGAAATATAATATATACCATGTCTAGTACATAGCAGTCCCTTTCTTAGCTGGATTGGGGGACCCCAGCAGGTACTGGTGGTGATGGGGATCATTGGATATTGGTCCAGGTTCAGGAAAACTCTGGAAACCCTGAGTAATGACTGGAGGTTTAGATTCCTCTGATTTGAGGATTCTTGGCTTACTCTCAGTTGATCAACATGGACCCCACTCATTCTGACTGGCTAAGGAATATCTATCCACCAGATGTCAATAAGGGGCAGGGGGACAGGTGGGAAGAAGAGAAGAAAGGGCTTTGAAATGTGCTTCTTGGACTACCCTGGAAATGGGTGGTGGGGGAGAAAGCCCTGACATAGTCCTGCCCAGTGACAACCTGGGAGAATATGGGAGCTAATCTTGGTTGCTGTTTGCAATTTCCACCCAAACAAAAAGGAACCAAAGGAAAGAGATAAGCACCTTAAGTCCAGGGCTGGAAAAGCCCTCAAGTTTTTCCTGTTTTTTTTGGGTGGGGGGAGGGGCAAGGGGCTGGCAATATGCTTTCAACCTCCTGACTGGACAATGATTATTTGGGCATCCAAGCTCAGGGAGCATTTTCCAAGACTCATTAGAGTTTAGAAGAAAATGTTTGGTGCAAGGCCCCCTCTTAAAGTAGCCTCCACCTTAGCCTTCCTTGCCCTGAGGGAAGGGGAGAAGGGGGCCCGCCTCTCTGCGATTCACTAGGTTTGCTCAGAAGGTAAAACTGTTGAGCCCTGTGCTTGCTTAGTCAGTCTTGGTTAGTTATGCCAGAACAGCTAGAAGATGGGCAATGTGACGTCTGTTCCCTGAGACCTCACTGGCAACACCAAGTAAGTAATAGGCAGGCCTTCCAAAGGGGCAAGGACAAAATTGACTCAGGTTACAGGCCTCCCATGAGGTAAGCACACAGCTGGGCCTGGGCTGGCACCAGGCAGGGAAACTGACATGCAAAGCAGTGCATTCTCATCTTCTGCCCTATCTTTGAGGCTCTTCCTGAGGCCTGGAGTTGTTTTCAGCCTTCCACGCTCCTCTTTGCCATTCCAGTGGGAGGAGAAGCTGATGTGCAGAAATACTAGAAGGCACATGGCTGGGTGCTATTTCTGGCCTGGGCTGAACTCACGAGTCCTAGAAAGAATGTTTCTGACACTGTTTGCCTTCCGAGAATCCATGAAGCCCAGGGACAAACCCTGCCTGGCTCTGTACTGACTCAGACCCATGGGCTTGCCAACCATGGCATCCTGAGGGGCTGGAGAAAGAGGGTGATGAAAACAGTGACACTGCATGGAAAGAGCCCCCAGCGGCTGGCTCAGAGCACACTGCACCCTTGGCTGCTCCTTTTATTCATTCATGCATTTATTAAGCAATTGTACCTATCAGAGGTTCTTCTAGGTGCTTGATATACACAAGAGAACAAAACAGACATTTCTGTTTTCAAAGATTTTACATTCTAGCAAGGAGAAGGCAGATAATTAAAAGTGAACATAATAAATCAGTAACATTTTGTTTGTTTGGTTTTTATTCGAGACAGAGTCTCGCTCTGTTGCCCAGGCTGGAGTGCAGTGGTGTGATCTCGGCTCACCATAACCTCTGCCTCCTGGGTTCAAGTGATTCTCTTGCCTCAACCTCCCAAATAACTGGGATTACAGGCACATGGCACTGCACCTGACTAATTTTTGTATTTTTAGTAGAGACAGGGTTTCACCATGTTGGCCAGGCTGGTCTCAAACACCTGACCTCAAGTGATCCACCAGCCTCAGCATCCCAAAGTTCTTGGATTACAGGCATGAGCCACCACACCCAGCCTAAAATGTTTAATATGTTAAACGGCATTAAATGTTAAGGAAACAAGAGAAAGCAGAGTAGAGTAAAGGAAATCTGTGCTGGATGGGGAGGCTGTAGCTTTAGATGGGGTGGTCAGGCTGGACGTCATTGACCTAGAGAGCTGCAAAGACGTGAAGGAAGTGGTTAACTTAGCCAGGCTCACAGCTGGGGGAAGAGTGATCAGGGTAGGGAAAACTGCTAAAGCAAAGGCCCAGGGATGGGAAGACGTGTGCTACATCAAGGAACAGCATAGAAGCCAGTGTAGCTAGAGCAGAGGAAGCAAAGAGGAGAAAAGTAGAAGCTTCAGAGAGGTGATGGGCACTGAGGAAATAACAGATCCTATGGTGCTTTGTAAGTCCTTTGTAAGGACATTGGCCTCTACTTTGAGTGAAATGGGGATTCACTTCAAGATTTTTGAACAGAGAAGCAGCATGATCTGACATTTTTGGAAAGAATCACTCTGGAAAGATGGCAACAGCAGTGTTAGCCTAGTTTTTGGATATTTCTGAATCCTCACATAAAAACAGAAAATAGAATGAGAACCAAAGCTGGGATCCATGGCTCATGCCTGTAATCCCAGTACTTTGGGAGGCTGTGGCAGAAGGATCATTTGAGCCCAGGATCTGGAGACCAGCCTGGGAAACATGGTGAAGCCTCATCTCTACAAAAAATACAAAAATTAGCCAAGCGTGATGGCATGTGCCTGCAGTCCCAACTACTTGGGAGGTTGAGGCAGGAGGATTGCTTGAGCCTGGGAGGTCAAGGATGCAGTGACTCAAGAAGGCACCACTGTGTGCTCCCATCCCCCTAAAAAATAAAAAATAGAATGAGAATGAAAACCCTTGGACAACATTTAGCTCAAAACTAGGTGATGAAGTATCCTTATGAACCCCAAAATAGAAGTGGAGAGAAACAAATTACTTATAGCCACAGACCTGGACAGGTATCAGCATCAAGGCAGAGGAAAGGGACAGAGTATTTGGTGGGCCTGAGAACAGGAGAGCCACAAAATAGCCAATAGTTATTGTATGGAAAGCACAGGAGGGTAGTTTGAAACACACTCTACTGGCAGGTGGTGCAACGACCTGCAGCAAGGTCTGCAGGTAGGGGCTGAAGTGCAGTACCCGGACCTGGGGAGCTGACCATCGCAGGAATCCTGGACACCATCTTATGTGAAGAGGAACTGCTGGGTGTGGAGTGAAGAACAAACAGGACAGCACAATAAAGAAACGGAAAGAGAAGGTCAGAGCAAAGTGGTGGAAGAGAACAGAACCCGGAAATCTCAGAAAACAAAAGCCTATGGGCTTTTGTTTGGTTTTGTTTTTTCAATATGACCCAAAAATAATACAGGAGGAAGCTCTGTGAAATTAGAGAAGCTAACTGAATCAAGGCTCCTTCTAGCAGTTCTAGAAAATTTACTTTCCATAAAAATGAGCAACAGAAATGTGTCAAATTCAAATTCAAACAGAATGTTTATAAGGAAAACAGTAATAATAATGTCCCCACAGATCATGAAATCATGACAGGAAGATATGCTAAAAGAAAAAAAAAAAACAGAAATATCCAAAATACCTGATCAAAATAATAGTATTCTTTTTTCAAAATGAAGTAAAAGACACTAAGAAAATGTCTTAAATTAGCTGGGCATGTTGGTGCACCTGTAGTCCTAGCTACTCAGGAGTGGGGCTGAGGCAGGAGGGTCATTTGAGCCCCGGAATTCTAGGATACAGTAAGCTATGATCACGACACTGCACTCCAGCCTGGGCAGCAAAACGAGACCTCATCTTTTAAAAAAATTATATAAAAAAAAGAGGCTGGACACAGCGGCTCACGCCTGTAATCCTAGCACTTTGGGAGGCCAAGGAGGATCATTTGAGCCCAGGAGTTTGATACCAGCCTGAGCAACATAGTGAGATGCCATCTCTAGTTTTAAAATAAAATTTTAAAAAATTAAAAATTAAAAATAAATAAATAATGTCATATCAGAATTAGATAATATACATCAGAATTAAATAAGCTCAGAAAGGAGGTGACAAAACTTAGGAAATAGAAAGAAAAGGAAAAAAATCAAAATAAAGATCAAACTAGAATGAATACAAAACCAAACAAATATAACAAATATAACAACAGAAATAGAAAGTCAAAAGGCAGAGAATTATAAGAATCAAAAAGGAATGCAGAAAGATTAAAAAGGATTTGAGAAAAATGACAAATATTTAAGACAGGCAAAAAGATATGATACAAAGATAATGAGAGTTCTGAAGAAGAAACCAAAACAAAGAAACAGAATGAATACTCAACACTATAACTCAAGAAAACTTTCCTGTCCCAGCTACTCGGGAGGCTGAGAGGGGAGGAAAACTTGAGTGCAAGAAGTCGAGGCTGCAGTGAGCTGTGATGGCACCACAGCCTGGATGACAGGGTGAGACTCTGTGTTAGAAAACAAAAAACAAAAAGCAAAAAAGAAAACTTTCTAAAATTGAAAAAAAAGATAGAAAAAAATATTTTTTTTGAGATGGAGCCTCGCTCTTATTGCCCAGGCTGGAGTGCAATGGCGCGATCTTGGCTCACTGCAACCTCCGCCTCCCAGGTTCAAGAGATTCTCCTGCCTCAAGGAAAAGATTCGAAACTACATATTGCAAGAGCACATAATGTGCTTGAGAATAAACATATATTAGTAAAGTTTTTGACATGATCTAACAGTTCTAGAAAATTTAGGATCATGAACAAAAAAAAGCCAAAAACATATATTAGTAAAATTTTTAGACTTTAAAGGAAACGAAGGAATCCATTTGGCATCTCAGTAAAAAGTGCATGTTACTTGTAAGGGAAAGAAAATTAGTTTATCATTAGACTTTTCAACAATAATGCTTAATAAGCAAATGGAGTAACATATTTAAGGTGCTCAAGGAAGGAAAATGTAAACTAAAGATTTTAAATCTGGCCAAACTTAACCTTAAAGCAGAAAGGACACTGATAAATTTATCAACATGTAAGAAGAACTTAAGGAATATCACTCCCATGAGCCCTTCTTAAGGAATTTATTAAACAATATGCATTAGACAACCCAAATGACTTGAGAACAATCAGCATAGAGATGACTGGTGAGCATTAAATATATAATCACTGGTAGAATTAGATTAACTGAAGGTTAAAAGACAGAGGGTATAGTATATGTAATAGTTATATGCTCTGACAATGCAAATTTAGTATAACCAGAGAATGTGTATAGGATCAGCAAAATTTTTTAAGCTGTTTTCAATAATCATAATGACTTGTGGTAGTATTAATATGGTCATTCTGAGACTATTGTATTTATAATGCAGGATAAAGCAGATGAGAAACTGTAGAATATTCTATTATCCTTAGGTCCTTGAGAAACAGGATTTTCAGAATTTGAATCAGAAATACCAGCCCTGATTCGAATTGGAAACATCACTATGAACTCATGAAGTATTTCATCTTGACATATATATATATATTTTTCCCCTACTCTGTCTATTAAAATCAGCCAAGAAACACTGCAGGCCTGGGTCACAAACTATTCAAGATGAGCCTGAAACACGTTTTCATACCACGTAGTGAAAAAGTTATCAAAGATTATGAATGGGTTTTCTAGGGCTGTTATAAGTGCCACAAACTTGAGTGTTTAAAACAACAGAAATTAGGCGGGGCACAGTGGCTCACGCCTGTAATCCCAGCACTTTGGGAGGCCAAGGCGGGTGGATCACTGGAGTTCAGGAGTTTGAGATCAGCCTGGCCAACATGGCGAAACCCTGTCTCTACTAAAAATACAAAAATAAGTCGGGCGTGGTGGTGCGCATCTGTAGTCCCAGCTACTTGGGAGGCTGAGGCAAGAGAATAGCTTGAACAAGGAGGTAGAGGTTGCAGTCAGCCAAGATCACACCATTGTACTCCAGCCTAGGCAAGCGTGAGACTCCGCCTAAAAAACAAACAAACAAATAAAAAACAAAACAAAACAAATTTATTCCCCCTCAGGCCTGGAGACTAGAAATCTGGAATGTAAAATCAAGCTGTTGGCAAGATTATCCCCTCTGGAAGCTCTAAAAAAGAATCTGTTTCATGCCCCCCTCCTAGCTTTTGGGGGTTGTTGGCAATTCTTGGATTCAGCTTGTAGATGCACCACCCTAATCACTCCCTCCATTGTTACATGACAAATGTCCCTCTTCTTTGTTTTTTTGAGATGGAGTCTTGTTCTGTCACCCAGACTGGAGTGCAGTGGCACAATCTTGGCTCACTGCAACTTCTGCCTCTCGGGTTCAAGCGATTTTCTAGCCTCAGCCACCTGAGTAGCTGGGATTACAGGAGCATGCCTCCATGCCTGGCTAATTTTTGTATTTTTATAGAGATGGGGGTTTTGCCATGTTGGCCAGACTGGTCTCGAATGCCTAACCTCGGGTGATCCTCTCACCTCGGTCTCCCAAAGTGCTGGGATTTCAGACATAAACCACTGTGCCCAGTCCCTCTTCCTTTAAGAACACCAGTCAGATTGGATTTAGGGCCCATGTGAATTCAATATGACCTCTTCTTAGTTTCATTACATCTGCAAAGACCCTATTTCCAAATAAAATCAGTCATAGGCTCCAGGTGAACAGGAGTCTTGGGAAATCCTATTCAACTTAGTACTGACTGCTAGGGTCAGGTCAAAAGAACAAAAAGAAGCTCACCCAGCTCACCTCTCCTGGGCAGCATTCCATGGCCCAGATTGTGCCCACCATCCTGATTTACCTATCCTGTGTCTCATTTTCTTAAACCCCTGTTTCCTGCTAGTTTGTCTGATAGATGATATCAAATCCATTAATGTTGAACAGGAGCTGTTTAGACATGGTCCACTTACATCTTCACAAATGTATTTTAAGCCATGACTGAGAGAAGGAAATCACGAAGCAATATCTGGCACTCAGCAGACATGGTGGACCTCACCGTTATGTAGGAAGCTCAATGCTCTGACAAAAAGAGGCCTCTCTTGGTTCTTGCCCTAAGAGTGAGGTCCTGATGATCACCCTGCTGGGTGCAGAGTACTTGCTCTAGTTGGATCTTACCCATACCTCTCTCGATTTCTCTTAGCCTCTGGAGGTTGAGCTCAGTTACCTAAGAGCTTGCAGTCACATGTTAGCTGCTGAGCACTGTTCAGCCCAGGGTGAAGGAGAAAAGGACATGGAGTCCACTTTCTGAAGGATTTTTCAGGTTAGAGGCTCTGAGTCCTAAGTTTTGAATCTGCTTATTAACACAGTGGGTCTCATCACTCCACTCAAGGCCAGTCTGGGCCCAGGGTTCAAAGTCATGGTTGTGTGAGGAGAACTCATTGCACACCACAATTTCTGTATTGTGCTTCAAAGAAAGGAGAGCAAAGGCATCTGGGCATCTGGTGTTGGAAAAATGGCCTGTATTTTCTTTCTTTTTTCTTTTTTCTTTTTTTTTTGAGACGGAATCTTGCTCTGTCGCCTAGGCTGGAGTGCAGTGGCATGACTTCGGCTCACTGCAACCTCTGCCTCCCGGGTTCCAGTGAGTCTCCTGCCTCAGCTTCACAAGTAGCTGGGATTACAGGTGCCCACCACCACGCCTGGCTAATTTTTTGTATTTTTAGTAGAGACAGGGTTTTGCCATGTTGGCCAGGCTGGTCTCGAACTCCTGACCTCAGGTGATTCGCCTGCCTTGGCCTCCCAAAGTGTTGGGATTACAGGCATGAGCCACCATACCCGGCCTGTATTTTCTCTACTCCCTCTTTGGCGTTCAGCCTTAGTTCTCTCAGCCTCACTGTGCATGGAGCTTGGCTCCTCAGCACCCACAGGTCCTGACAGACCCTCCTGTCAATGGGCTAGAAGGCATGTCCAGCCAGGGAGCCCTGATCTGGGAGCAGTGAACACTCCCATTCCAGCTCCAGCCTTTCACTAAGCAAACAAAGCAAACAACCCACTTTCAGTCCCCAAAAGTCATCTTTGGCCTCTGTTAAAAAAAAAAAAAAAAAGCGTGTTAGAGTATTTGTCCCCTAGGGGTGACCTATTTGTGTCACAAGATTTTCAGTGATGACTTCTTCTCTTCCTCCTTGTTCCCTGAAGATGCCCAAGAGGCAGGCATGGACTTATTATGGGCACAAATCCTTTACATAATAGGACTTTTATTTTCAGATCCCTAGTGACCCTCAGAGTACCCATGATCCCTCTGAAATTGTATGGGCATTTGAAAAATATCTTTTTTTTCCCCCATTGGAGAGTTTGGCTATGGCTTTAATCAGATTCTTTTTGTGTTTGTCAGACAAGAAAAAAAAAAACAGTCAGTAAAAACAAAAACACTGTCCTTTTATTATCCCTGCAAGATAAAACATAATCTCCTTTTCACTTTCTGATACCTTCTTCACAATTTTATTTAGAAATAATTTTAATATTTCCAACTGTTAAAATAACCCAGCCAGGCATGGTGGTGTGTGCCTAGAGTCCCAGCTACTCTGGAGGCTGAGGCAGGAGGATCACTTGAGCCTGGGAGGTCAAGGCTGTAGTAAGCCATGATAGCACCACTGCACTCCAGCCTGGGCAACAGAGTAAGACCCGGTCTCAAAAACAAAAACAAGCACACAAACAAAAACCCTTGTAAACTTATAAATATTTGTCCAGGGCTTTTGAGTATCCAAAGATCTCAATCTCCTTTAGCTTTCAGAGACCCTGTGAAGTTACATACTACAATCACCCCATTTTACAGAGGAGGAAATAGGCTCAAGGAGGCAGGTAGGGCCGGGTGTGGTGGCTCATGCCTGTAATCCCAGCATTTTGGGAGGCTGAGGTGGGCAGATCACTTGAGGTCAGGAGTTTGAGACCAGCCTGACCAACATGACAAACCCCATCTCTACTAAAAATACAAAAATCAGCCAGGTGTGGTGGTGCACACCTGTAGTCCCAGCTACTCAGGAGGCTGAGGCAGAAGAATCACTTGAACCTGGGAGGTGGAGGTTGCAGTGAGCCAAGATTGTGCCACTGCACTCCACAGAGTGAGACTCTGTCTCAAAAGAAAAAAAAAAAAAAAAAGGAGGCAAGTAGATGACCCAGGGTGATCTAGAATTCTGATTGAAATCTCTCCCTCTAGAGAAGAAAGCACTTCTCACTCTACGCAGAGCAGAAATAGTACAACAGCCTATCACTTCCTTTGTGCCAAGAGGCTGAGAAATTGTATGCACATTAAAAAATATACATGAAAGAAATAGTTTTTGGATGGGAAAGAAGGGCTTATTTTATTTGTAGACAACTTCTCTAGGCCATGTTACCGAAGTATGTGTGGGGTAGGGGGGTTTGGGGGTTGCTTTCTTGGAAGTGATTGGATCACTGGAACCCAGGAGGCAGAGGTTGCAGATAAAAAAAGCTAGGGTGGAAAAAGACTTGAAAGGAAGGATGCCCCCTTTCCACCAATTCCCAGGAAAGTCTCCTAACATGGCCTGTCTCCTCATTTTCATCTGTAAAGGGTCATGTCTGAAAAGAGCTTTGCAGTGAAGTTCAAACAGCTGCCCACTCACATTTTTCTAGCCCACAGACTGTTTCCCTACCCAACAAACATCGTTCCAATGTCACTGTGATTGCTATCTCTGTGGCAGTAACAATACCCTGAAGACAAATCTTAGTCCAGGAGTTCAGGTTTTTACTAAGTCTCTTACTCATTTGCCTCCCGTGTTTCTTTTTACTTGGCTATTTAACATTCCCCAGCCTTGAGGACAGGGTGCATGAGAATTGTGTAATACTGATTTAAAGCTAATGTTCTATGTTGTTCTCTTCAGTCTGTATCTGTAATCTCTAGGGGCTCTGCCACGTCAGGTGCCCTCTCACAGTCTCCTGAGTCCACAGCGACTTCCTGGCACAGACAGATGCAGCACCAGGGTGCTCAAAACCACCTCCCATTCCCTCCTGTGGTCCCCAAGCTCACCCTTTTCCTGACTGCCCCGTAGCCTGAGCCTGATGTACAAACACGTGGAATCCATCTTGTTATGTAAGCTTCCTGGTTGCTGAGCTGGGTGACTCAGTGCCGAGATTGTCCCTCACTCTTTCCCAGCCTCGGGCAGCATGCTAGCCCGCACCAGGTCAGCGGCAAACTGGAATGGAAATCTAGGCCTGCTAATGGGGTCCAGCTGAGTGGCCTTCATTTCCCAGTGGAGCCTGGTGAGCCCAGCAAGCCCATGGGAACTGTCCTGGAACTGTTGTAAACTAACCCATGGGTAGAATTCTCCATCTTCCTTGCTCATTTCCTTTTACCTCCCCTTCTCAGCTTTGGCTGAAGATCACAGAAGGTTCACATTCAGCAACCCTTTGCTCTGGGGCTGCCACCTTCTGGGTCCCTGTTATGGAGTGAATGTTTCTGTCCCCCTCCAAATTCGTATGTTAAAGCCCCAACCCGCAATGTGATTGTGTTGGATGGTGGGACCTTTGGGAGGTGATTAGGTTTAGATAAGGTTATGAAGGCGAGGCCCCATGACGGGATTAGTGCCCTCTACGAGGATAAGAGACATCTTCCAAAGAGGAAGATGTATGGTGACAAGGCAGCTGTCTGCAAGTCAGGAAGAGAGCCCTCACCCGTACCTGACCATGCTGGCCCCTGGTCTCGGACTTCTCACCTCCAGAACTGTGGGAGATAAATGTCTGTTATTAAAGCTGCCCATCCCATATTTTGTTGTAGCAGCCTGAGCAGACTAAGACAGTCCCACTGACCCGAGTCCTCACCTCTGGGTTCTGGCAAGGCTCAGGCAGTGAGTGGTACTGGTGTAAGAGGATGTGCTCAAAGGTTTTAACTCAATGGTAATACAAATTCTGTCTCCTTGGCTTGAGGTTCTCATCACACAGTAGGAAACCCATGGGTTGGGGATACTGTCTATAGAGAGGACAGACAGGCTGATTTTGGTGTCTTGCTGTCTCTCATTTCCCTCCCCTGTAGGTATGCGATTGTCTCTCCTCTCCCTTCCAGGACAGGGGCAGCATCCTCCTGACTATGGTACTAGGGGCCAGAAGGCCCCAAATTCTAGCACAGGTTCTGCCACTAACCTGGCATTAGGGGTTAGGCAGCTCACTCTTTCTCTCTGTGCCTCAGGGACTCGACTGACTATCATCTGCTTTTGAATTGTTAGGCAGCTCACTCTTTCTCTCTGTGCCTCGGGGACTCGACTGACTATCACCTGCTTTTGAATTGTTACTCGTTCCATTCATTAATGGAACCAGCTCTTCCTAGTGGTGGGGTATGGTGCTGAACAAGATGGCAGTAATCCCTGCCCTTACGGAGCCTCCCCATTCCACAGTGGGGAGATAGTCAACGAGGAAACGGTTAAATAAGATAGCCACCAACTATGATGCGTGCTCTGAGGGAGATAAGCAGAATGATGAAACAGATTAACTTGGAGGAAGTGATAATTATTTAAGACTCCTTAGGCTAGGCCCAGTGGCTCATGCCTGTAATCCCAGCACTTTGGGATGCCGAGGCGGGCGGATCACCTGAGGTCAGGAGTTCGTCATCAGCCTGGCCAACTTGGTGAAATCCTGTCTCTACTAAAAATACAAAAATTAGTCTGGCGTGGTGGTGGGCATCTGTAAGCCCAGCTACTTGGGAGGTTGAGGCAGGATAATCACTTGAACCTGGGAGGCAGTGAGCCGAGATTGTATCACTGCACTCCAGCCTGGGCAACAGAGTGAGACTCCATCTCAAAAAATAAAAATAATAATAATAATAAAAGCTTCCTTCTGTAAGCTGAGAAAGCACCAGCCCATCAAACAGGGAAGAGCTTTCCAGGCAGAATTATGAGCTAATAGAAGCAAAAATGCTTGAAAAATTATACAGTGCAACACAGTTAGCAAACTTAATCTAAGTAAAAGTGCCTTCATTCTCTGCAGCTTTGTCTCATTCTTTGATTACACCCTAGAATTGGCACAGCTGCCTAGCACCTGGAAAACAGTGTTAGGGACCATGAAATCACACAAGAGGCTAATGCTAAGGCTCTTGCTGGGCACGTGTGGTGGAAAGGTGGGTGGACTAAGTGTTCTGTTCTCTTTGAGGACCTGACGATCTAATCTACACAGAGAAACCCTTTACCTCTCACAGTCCCGCATACCCAACTGCTTCAGTCCTTTGTTAATCCTTCTTTCAACATTCAACTGCCGTTTATGGAGCATCTGCCAAGAGATAGGGATCCTCCCCTGCTCTGAGCAGGAACTCAGGAAGTGATACCCTCCTCCCCATGTCACAGTCCAGGCCGAGGCTACTCCCCCAGCTTGTTCAAATTTAGGTCCACGTTGGCTATGGTCCACTTTGCTTGCTGTTTTGCTCTCCAGCTAGATCTCTTTGGGGAGCCAGAGGGGTCATCTAGGGATCACAATGTTTAGCACGCATGTTCTCTCTCTGGACAAATGTCTGCAGGCGTGTGGGGTGTGGACACACAGTGAATCTCCCTCAGGGAAGCCCAGTAGCAAACTTCACTGACTGACCAACTGAGGAAATCCCGCAAGGTTGGGCCCAGTGCTGATCTCTGGGCACATTTTCTTAGTGACAAGGGCACTGGACAGAGTCCATAATATCAGGTTTCCACTTGCTAAGCATGAAGCCTGATCTGCAGTTTTACATGTCTTAGTTGTGCTGCCCCTTCGGCTCTGACATGCTATAGCTGTGTGACTTTAGGGGGACAGTGGTTTTCTTTCTTTTCTTTTCTTTTCTTTCTTTTTTTTTTTTTTTGAGACTGAGTTTCGCTCTATCGCCCAGGCTGGAGTGCAGTGGAGCTATCTCGGCTCACTGCAACCTCTGCCTCCTGGGCTCAAACAATTCTCGTGTCTCAGCCTCCTGAGTAGCTGGGATTACAGACATCTGCCACCACGCCCAGCTAATTTTCGTATTTCTGTAAAGACGGGGTTTCACCATGTTGGCCAGGCTGGTCTCAAATTTCTGACCTCAGACCATCTGCCCCCCTTGGCCTCCCAAAGTGCTGGGATTACAGGCGTGAGCCACTGTGCCCGGCCAGGACAGTGGCTTTCAAATTTCAGTGGGCATCAGAATTTCTTAAGAGCTTGTGAAAATGCAGATTCTTGAACCTGCTGAATAAATAGCTCATTGGATGGGGTGTGTGGGAATCTGCATCTTCCAGACTAATTTATTCCTACTCTCTGGCCTGTCTCTCATCCTCCAATACCTTCGACCCTTTCTCATCTCAGGGGCTTTGACACTGCTGTTCTTCCCATCTGAATGCCTTTTCTCCCGCTCCTTAAAAGGATGGCTCGTTCTGCTTCTTCAGGTCTCAGCTCAGATGTCACCTCCTCTGAGAAGCTCTCATGGACTTCTCTATTTAAATTGTCCTCCCTCATTCATTTTGCCTACCACCCTAACTTTAACAATCTCATTTCGGTGTTTGTTTATTGTTTATTGTTTAGTTCCTTTGGTTAAGGACCTTGTTTGTCTTGAACACTACTCTAGCCTCAGTCTTCAGCAAATATTTGCAGAATGAATAAATGAAAATGTAAAAGAGGATTTCTCAAGGCCAGGGGCTCTCAAGCTTTAACATGCAACAGAATCACCTGGAAGGCTTTTTAAAATAAGATTGCTCAGTCTTTGTTCCCAGAGTTTCAGATTCTTCTTATCTGGGAGTAGGGCAGTTCTAACAAGTTTCCAGGTGCTGCTGATGCTTCTTGTCTGGGAACTGCACTTTGAGAGCCACTGCATAAAATTAAAACCCCATCTGTATCCCATTAAAGTATATCCACTGGTAAGTTGTAGAGAGAAGTTGTAGAGAGGAGTCCGAGAGGAGGAAGTTCAAATGAGTTGGTCTCAAAGGTACTTGGAAAAAGTAACGGGCTTCAGGACAATGCTAAGGTCTCTTTCCTCTTGGAGATCTTGGGTTTCTGAGATAAAAGACTGCTCCCCGACACTTTTTTTTTGGCTCTTTTCAGTTTATTGCATGAAGGAGTTACACTAGTCCAAGTTAAGAGCAGACCCCAAACGGTTACATTACATAAGCTGTGGAGGTTTTCCAAGTTGTGACAAGGGACAGAAGGGAAATTCTACTCAGTGCAAGGAAATCCTCACTTAAGCTTCAGTGAGCCACAGGCACTTAAAACACATGAACCTTCAGCTGATCGTCCTTAGCCAGTCCAAGCTCTACGAGGAACTGGCATATGTTATTGCATTGGTCACCCTGAGGCTGAATTACTTCTCCATACTCTGGATGCTCAATTACAGTACCATTGCAGGCAAAATTCTTAAATGCCTTCACTAGTTTCTTTTTATCATAATCATCAGCAATCCCTTGGACAGTAGTAAGGGTCTTCCTGCCATTTCTCTGTTGAATTCTTATATGGATATAATCCTCAGTGCCAGCAGGAAGCAGGTCATCACCCTTACTTGCATCAGCAAAGGGGTCGAAAGAGTGGAGGTTCTGGATAGCGAACTTACAATACGATTCCTTTTCCTCGGTGGAAACGGCCTGCGGAAGGCAGCGGTGGCGGGAGAAGGCAGGCAGCCGGGACGGAATGTCAGGAAGTGAGGGGGCTCAAAAGGGAGGCTGCTGAGTCCTCGGTGGTGGCTCAGTGACTGGACCCCCCTGCTTTTTTTTTTTTTTTTTCTTGTAGAGATGAGATCTCATTATGTTGCCCAGACTGGTCTCGAACTCCTGGCCTCAAGCAATCCTTCTGCCTGGGCCTCCCAACATGTTGAGATTATAGGTATGAGCCACCACATCCAGCTCAAAGGCTGCTTTTCTGATGAGGAAGTTGTGGACAAATAAGTCTATTCTTCTTCAGCTACCAGAATAAGAAAAGCTTAGAAAATGATTCTTAGGCTCCCAAACTGAACATCCAACAGATTCTCAAGTTGCTGTGGTGACCTGTGTTTCTAAATCAAGTCCTGCTTCCACAATTCCAAAAGAGTAATTAATAAATCAGAGATTAGGAAATGGGAAAAGAAGAAATTCTTATCCTCATCCAAAGACAGCTTTTCCCAGAGTATATTCTGAAGAGCATTAGTTCCATAATTAACAGCAAGATGAAAGCGTTCCATGGTCCAGTGAAATTCAGTGATACCGAAAGCCGTATCCATTACTTGGAGGCTCACAGTACATACCTGCAAAGTCTCATAGTCCAGAAATCAGTTTAAGACAGTTAAGCTCCATCCTGGGCAACATAGTGAGACCCTGTCTCTACAAATAATAAAAAATTAGCTGGACATAGTGGTGAGCACCTTCCAGCTACTTGGGAGGCTGAGGCAAGAAGATTGCTTGAGCCCAGGAAGTCGAGGCTTCAGTAAACCATGATCATGCCACAGCACTCAGCTCGGGCAACAGAGTGAGTCCCTCAAAAAGAAAAATGCTGTTAAGCTCCTCCTTCCTTCTTTCCCTCCTTCCTTCCTTCCTTCCTTCCTCTGTCTCTTTCTCTCTCTCTCTTTTTCTCTCTTTCTTTCTTTTTTCTTTCTTTTTTGAGACAGGATCTCACTCTGTCACCCAGGCTGGAGTGCAGTGGCATGATCACAGCTCACTGCAGCCTCAATCTCCCCAGGCTCAGGTGATCCTTCCACCTCAACCTCTGAGTAGTTGAGATTTTTTTTTTTATTTTTTGTAGAAACAGGGTCTTGCCATGCTGCCCAGGCTGGTCTCGAACTGCTGGACTCAAGTGATCCACCGCCTTAGCCTCCCAAAGTGTTGGGATTAAGGCGTGAGCCCTAAACTGTCTTTTGATATAAAACCAAAGAGCATTTTTGCTCATCACATATCCTGAGGCACATATTTAGAGAAGCACTGCCTTTGGGGACCTTTTCTCTTTAATGGGAGAAATTTTGTTTTGTTTTGGATGGAAACTTCATGTAAACATGAAAAACACTCTGATACACACACACACACACACACACACACACACACACACACACACACACACACACATTGCCTTAGTCCCCAGATAGGCAGGAAAGACAATATCCGGAATGACCGTTCCAGTTTTCGTCCCTTCCAGATGTGAAGCTGCCCTGAGGTGTGTGACATGGGATGTTGTCTCTACCTGGGTGGGGACCTGAGGTTGCTCTTTGATTGGGCAGTTAGGGTGAGTGGAGGAGGAAGCTCTGGGGGTGAGTGATAGGCAGCCAGGAAAGTGATGGCTTGGGGAGTAGACAGTGGAATTTTCCCCTGAAAATCCTTTTGAACTGAAGCGGATTTGAATGTTGCACCCATGGTCACCTAGATCCCAGGGCTAAATGATTTTTCTCTTCATTTTCCAGTAATAATTAACATTGCTGTAGTGATCACAGGCAGTTTGGAGACAGTTTGTCTGGCTGTAGTGATGGAAACAAGAAGGAAACTCCTCCCCAAACCCCTCAGGGAAACTTTCTTTTCTCTTCTGACAGTTGGTGGGAAGAGGGGGACACTGAAACATTCCTTAATTGGCAAGGATTGCTCTGCCTTTTTTTTTTTTTGAGAGGGAGTCTCTCACTGTCGCCCAGGCTGGAGTGCAGTGGCATGATCTCGGCTCACTGCAAGCTCCACTTCCCAGGTTCATGCCATTCTCCTGCCTCAGCCTCCTGAGTAGCTGGGACTACAGGCACCCGCCACCACGCCCGGATAATTTTTTTGTATTTTAAGTAGAGATGGGGTTTCACCGTGTTAGCCAGGATGGTCTCGATCTCCTGACCTGCCTTTTCTTAAAATGCTTTTCAGCCAAGCATAGTGGCTCACACCTGTAATCCCAGCACTTTGGGAGGCCAAGGCGAGTGGATCACCTGAGGTTAAGAGTTCAAGAACAGCCTGGCCAACATGGTGAAACACCATCTCTACTAAAAATACAAAAATCAGCTGGGCGTGGTGGTGCACATCTGTAAGCCCAACTACTCGGGAAGCTGAGGCAGGAGAATTGCTTGAACCCAGAAGGTGGAGGTTGCAGTGAGCTGAGATCCTGCCACTGTACTCCAGCCTGGGCGATAGAATGAGACTCCGTCTCAAAAAAAAAAAAAAAAAAACAGTTTTCAGGATCTTATATTCTTTTAGCAAAACACTCATTTTCGGTAAATGAATGATGTTTTCATTAATCATCCAAGTGACACTCCAGAGGTGGTTTTAGATTAGGAAACAGAGGCTGAGAAGCCAGGAAATCTTTCTGGGGCAGGAGCAGGGAGGAATGTGGTGTCTTGTTTTCTAGCTCACTGGAGACCTCTGAGCCTCCAGGCATGTTGTCAGTGGCATCCTGCATTTCACTTTGAATATACAAGTTGGATTTGATAACCAGGTGAGGTCAGAGTCATGGCCATGGGATAGAATGCCCCTTTTTTTATTTTTATTTTTTTGAGACGGAGTCTTACTCTGTCACCCAGGCTGGAGTGCAGTGCTGCAATCTCGGCTCACTGCAACCTCCGCCTCCTGGGTTCAAGCAATTCTTCTGCCTCAACCTCCCGAGTAGCTGGGACTACAGGCACGTGCCACCATGCCTGGCTAATTTTTGTATTTTCAGTAGACACAAGGTTTCACCATATTGCCCAGGCTGGTCTCCAAGTCCTGACCTTGTGATCCGCCCACCTCGGCCTCCCAAAATGCTGGGATTACAGGCGTGAGCCACGGCGCCTGGCCTTAGAATGCCTCTTCTACAGCCTCTTGCATTGCAGAGGAGCTGCTTTATTCCTGCCCCAGCAGCTGAGCAACTCTAAAAAGCATGGCTTTGTGTTTTATGGTTTTAATTTTGTTGATTTCTAAAGGCTTTTCTCTCTCTGTCCTTCCTTCTTTTCTCCCAAGGAAAAAGGAAACGATAACAAAATATTAACATACTTGAGAGAGCCATCAGAATCTGCATCTGGGAGTGAAGAGAGGGCTTTCTTTTCCACGAGGCAGTGCACGCCATAGAATGTCCAAACAATGAGGGACCTCAGGGATTATCCTGCTCACCTCTTATAAGAAGGTGGAGGCCCAAAGTTAAGCTCTTGCACAGGACTCTTAATCGCAGCTCCACCTCTTTCTGCTACTCCAGGCTGGAAGGGAGAGAGCATTATTTGTTATGTAATTTCATGAGTTCTGCTGGAGCTCTGATGGGATCTCTGCAGCATGACTTGACGTGACACTATTTGGAACCATTAAGCTGGGTTATCTTCTGGTGTGCTGTAAAGCTGGGGTATCTTCTGGTGTGCTGAGGATCTGGCGAGCTTGCTTATATTTGTGGGCTGACTGGCTGAGTAAGAATGAGAGGACTTCGGCCTGCAAAGAAAGGCTGATTATCTATCCTAAAACCGGCTTGATGCTTTTCTTTTTTATTTTTTGAGAAGGAGTTTCACTCTTGTTGCCCAGGCTGGAGTGCAATGGCGTGATCTCGGCTCACTGTAACCTCTGCCTCCTGCGTTCCAGCAATTCTCCTGCCTCAGCCTCCAGAGTAGCTGGGATTACAGGCATGCGCCACCATGCCTGGCTAATTTTTTTGTATTTTTAGTAGAGATGGGGTTTCACCATGTTGGCCAGGCTGGTCTTGAACTCCTGACCTCAGGTGATGCACCCACCTCGGCCTCCCAAAGTGCTGGGATTACAGGCGTGTGCCACGGCGCCTGGCCAGCTTGATGCTTTTCTGAGCACTCAACCAAATTAGTTCGGAAATGTCTGAGGCTCCTATAATGGAGAAAGAGTGAAACTGAGCAAGGTGTGCAATTACCCCCCTGGTGAAAACCCACCAGATGCTGACATCACTGGAAGCCCCTGTGTAGCTCCAACTCTCAATTCTGTCACTTCTTTACTCCTCCTGAGTGACGGCTGAGTTTAAATTCTGGGTCTCTCTGCCATGCTGTGAAAAATTGTCTTCTGAAGAATGGCCACCATGTAATTCAGGGCCTGCAGCTGCACCAACACCTACCCATCTAGTTCCTCCTTCAAGGAGTTTCAGATCATTTTATGCTATGGAGCCACTGATGCAGAGTATGGTAATGTCTGTTTTGGATACTTTATTTCTTATTCTGGTGACAGGCTTTTTTTTTATTATGTAAACTTTTTTTCCCCCTGATTGGCAATATCATCATTATTTGTCAATCATATTCTTTTTGTTTGTTTGTTTTTGTTTTTGAGACGGAGTCTCGCTCTGTTGCCCAGGCTGGAGGGCAGTGATGTGTTCTTGGCTCACTGAAACCTTTGCCTCCCAGGCTTAAGCGAGTCTTGTGCCTCAGCCTCCCGAGTAGCTGGGACTACAGGTGTGTGCCACCATACCCGGATAATTTTTGTAGAGTGGGGTTTAGCCATGTTGCTGAGGCTGGTCTTCAACTCCTGGGCTCAAGTGATCCGCCCCCCCTTGGCTTCCCAAAGTGCTGGGATTAGAGGTGTGAGCCACCACACCTGGCCTCACATTCTTAAAATTAATGTGTTTTGACAGTAATTGCCTGTTAGTTGGACCTGTGACTACATTAACAAAAATAATCTTTCATGTAGCATATAGGGGTAGAGTGATAGGGAGGGCAGGAAGAAAAAAAGAAAAAGGATAGAGAGAGAGAGTTCTGTACGTTAAAGAGTGTGTTGCTCTTGGAGTCTCTGAGATCTTGGCCAGGCCCGCAACTAATTATGCATGTTGTTTTCTCTGGATCCTCAGTGACAATTTGAGCTATGAATAAGACTTAGAAAGAATAGGACATTGTATTTTCCAGAGCAGAAATATAAATACATGTTTTACAGCCTCAGAGTAATCCCCATAACTGAACTCACACTGTAGAACATAATTTGACACCTCCCTCAGTCATAGCCACTAAGAGTGACCGCCATTAGGAACCTAATGTTACTCAGAAAATAAGGACCATCAAATCCTAGGGTTGGGAGGATCTTGGAGGTCATCTTGTCCCTTTTATGCCTTCTAGCTCTTGAGCAATAAGGGAATCTGGAGCAGTGAGGGATGGGAGGGGCCAGGGGTGGGGAGCCTCTGCCTCTGACTTTGTCTTAAATATTCCAGAAATGAGGATGCATTCTTGGTCACCAAGATGCTATGTATCTATTCTAGCATTTAGTTTTAAGAAACCCCAGTGCATGGGTAAGAGTGATTAGTACTATCAAGAGCACATCATGTTGTGCCTGGCACCATGCCAAGCACTTACAACACATCTTACCTCATTTACTACAACAGCCCCATGAAGGTAGGCACTTTATTTATAAAGAGAGCAACACATAAAAAGGTTAGTAAGTTACTCTAGACTTAGCAAGTGGCAGAGCTGGGGTTCAAACTAAAGTTTGACTGGTTTCACACCTCAACCTTTTTTTTTTTTTTTGAGATGGGGGTCTGTCTCTATTGTCCTGGCTTGTCTTGAACTCCTGGGTTCAAGTGGTCCTCCTGCCTCAGCCTCCCCAGTAGCTGGAACTATAGGTGCACACCACCATTCCAAGCTCCTGTACCTCCAACTTTTCTGGTATTATTCTGCTCTGCCATTTGCAAGAAAGTCTTACTATTATAAAATGGTTCTTTTTATGTGCTGTATAATTCGTTTTGACTTACAAGCCAAAAGACATTTTCTTTGAAATTAACAAGAAGTTCATAATTAGGGTTGCCAGGCTTGGCAAATAAAAATACAGGGTACCCAGTACAGTCAAATTTCAGATAGACAACAAATAATTTTTTAGTTCGTGTGTCTCAAACATTTTTAGCATAACTATGTCCAAAATATTACATGGGACATACTTAAAACTAAAAAAAAAATTATTCTTTGTTTGATATTCAAATTTCCTGGTCATCCTATATCTTATCTGACATCTGTATTCACAATGAATGAGACCAAGTTGCTAAATTTAGTCCCTTTGTAGGCCACAGTGTTGCTCTGTTCCACGGCTGATGACTCTCTAGTGGGAACCTCTTCATCTAGGGCCTTCTGTAAACCCTTCAGTCCCATCCCTCAGTCCCATCCCTCAGTGTCTTTCTTTTTTTTTTTTTTTTTTTTTTTTTTTTTGTTCTGAGCCCTTTGTGTATTCCAGATTCTACTACTTCATTGGTTATGTGTGTGGCAAGTATCTTCTTCCAGTTTGTGTCTAGCCTTTTCATTTTCTTTTCTTTTTTTTTTTTTCTTTCTTTCAGCATCTGATATGGTTTGGCTGTGCCCTCACCCAGTTCTCATCTTGAATTCCCACGTGTTGTGGGAGGGACCTGGTGGGAGATAATTGAATCATGGGTGGGCGGGGGGGTCTTTCCCTTGCTGTTCTTGTGATAGTGAATAAATCTCACGAGATCTGATGGTTTTAAAAAGGGGAGTTTCTCTGCACAAGCTCTCTTCTCTTGTCCACCACCATGTGAGATATGCCTTCCACCTTCCACCATGATGGTGAGGCCTCCCCAGCCACGTGGAACTGTAAGTCCAATAAACCTCTTTCTTTTGTAAATTGCCCAGTCCCGGGTATGTCTTTATTAGCGGGGTAAAACGAACTAATAGAGCATCCAAAATGTTTTTAATAAGAGAGTAGGATCAGGGTTCGTTTTTATAGTGCGGCTGGCCCATGGGGCCCTGGCACAGTGAAAATTTCGGCCCTTGGAACCCACGTAGGGTTTGGTGTAGCTGTGTGGGGTTCCCGGGGTAAATGCCAGTGTCCCTATGGGCCCTTTCGAGGGCCAAAAAGCAAGATGGTGCCACAGCTCTTGCGGGAGTCCAGGGCCAGCTGCTCAAAGGTACGGATCTTGCCCCAGCCGTGGGGATGCGGCTGGGCCCTGGCCGCTCACACGCAGTGCGAGGCTTTACTCTGGGCACCTCCTGAACCCACACAGCCGCAGCTGTGGGCCTGAAACCACAGCCGTTTTGTTTTCCGGGCCTGGAAGCTTCATTTTCCGGTCAGGATCAGAGGTGGCTGGTTGGTGCGATTCACAAAAAGCCTCTTCAGTATAACCTGGCTGAAGGTGGACAGCTTGACCAACAGCCGTAGGTAGATGTCCAGCTCTTGGGCTCCCTGCACCCAACCTTTCTGTCCTTGCTGTGGTGGATGTTGACTCCCACGATGGCGCCTCCTGCTCCACCAGGTCGGGAAGGAGCCATTTCACTTTCTTTACGGGATCTTTTGATAAACACATATTCTTCAATTAAGGATAGTCAAATTAATCAGTATTTTCCTTTATTATCTATGTATTTATTTTGAGATGGGCTCTGGCTTTGTTGCCTAGCCTGGAATCCAGGGGCACGATATCACCTCACTCTAGCCTCCACCTCCCAGGTTCAAACAATCCTCCCACCTCAGCCTCCTGAGTAGCTGGGACCATAGGTGCGCATCACCATGCCCAGCTAATTTTTTGTGTTTTGTAGATACGGGGTCTTCCTACATTGCCCGGGCTGGTCTTGAACTCCTGGCCTCAAGCAAATGTTTTCCTTTATAGTTAGTACTTTTGTGTCTTGTTTAAGAAACTTGGCCGGGCATGGTGGCTCACACCCTGTAATTCCAGCACTTTGGGAGGCTGAGGTGGGCAGATCACTTGAGGCCAGGAGTTAAAGACCAGCCTGACCAACATAGTGAAACCCTGTCTCTACTAAAAACACAAAAAAATTAGCTGGGCGTGGTGGCGCACACCTGTAATCCCAGCTACTCAGGAGGCTGAGGCATGATAATCGATTGCATCTGGGAGGCAGAAGTGGTAGTGAGCCAAGATCATGCCACTGCACTCCAGCCTGGGTGACAGAATGAGACCCTACCTCAACAAAAATAAATTTTTTTTCCCTACTCTGTGAATATAGACGTGTTCTCTTATTTCATTATTATTTATTTTATTTTTTTACTTTTTATATTTAAGTCTTTTTTTTGTTTGTTTGTTTTTGAGACAGAGTCTTACTCTGTTGCCCAGGCTGGAGTGCAGTGGCATGATCTTGGCTCATTGCAACCTCTGCTTCCCAGGTTCAAGTGATTCTCCTGCCTCAACCTCCTGAGTAGCTGGGATTACAGGCACCTGCTACCACACCCAGCTAATTTTTTTGTATTTTTAGTAAAGGTGGGGTTTTACCATGTTGGCCAGGCTGGTTTCGAATTCCTGACCTCAGGTGATCCACCCGCTTCAGCCACCCAAAGTGCTGGAATTACAGGCGTGAGCCACTGAGCCTGGCCATATTTAAGTCTTTAATCTGCCTAGTATTTCTGCTTGTGTGCAATATGTTGGTGGGTCCTCCATTGTCCCAGCACTATTTATGAGTGATCCATCTTTCCTCGATGATCAACAATTTTTAAAAAAATCTTAAAAAAATATGGAATGTTGAGTTTACAATGAACTGTGATTGTGACACTGCACTCCAGTCTGAACAACAGCGCGAGACTGTCTCTTAAAAAAAAAAGAAAAAGAAACAAAGAACTCTTCACGAATTGGTGTGCCATCCTGGTGAAGGGGCCATGCTAATAGTCTCTGTATAGTTCCAATTTTAGTATATGTGCTGCTGAAGTGAGCACTAATCAAAAATTTTAATATTTCTTTCTGTGACTATTCCCACTGCTGGACTATGAGCTACTTTTATCTCTATATTACTAGAGTCTAGCATATAGGATTTGTCTCTGAGAGTGGGCTAAATAATTGTTGAACTGTGGTTTTTTTTGTTTTTGTTTTTTTTTTTTTTTGAGATGGAGTCTCGTTCTGTCGTCCAGGCTGGAGTGCAGTGGTGCAGTCTTGGCTCACTGAAACCTCTGCCTCCCAGGTTCAAGTGATTCTCATGCCTCAGCCTTCCGAGTAGCTAGGATTACAGGCATGCACCACCATGCCTGGCTAATTTTTGTATTTTTAGTAGAGATGGAGTTTCACCGTTTTGACAAGGCTGGTCTTGAACTCCTGACCTCAGGTGATCCGCCTGCCTCGGCCTGCCAAAGTGCTGGTATTACAGGTGTGAGCCACTGTACCTGGCCTGAACTACGTTCTTAATCCTGGGCACCATCTTGCAAAAATCTGGTAATATAAGTTAAGTAGTGGCTTAAGCAAAGGAAGATTTCTGCTCATGAAGAATTTTATCTAAAGTAGCTGTTGAATTTACTAAATGAGTTGCTGAGTCTTGTTATTGGAATAATAATTGTATTAGTTCTCGAATAGCTATAAAGAAATACTTGAGACTGGGCTGGACGCGGTGGCTCACACCTGTAATCCCAGTACTTTGGGAGGCTGAGGTGGGTGGATCCGCTGAGGTCAGGAGTTCGAGACCAGCCTGATGAACATGGCAAAACCCCATCTCTACTAAAAATACAAAAATTAGCCGGGCATGGTGGCAGGCGCCTGTAATCCCAACTACTCGGGAGGCTGAGGCAGGAGAATTGCTTGAACCTGGGAGGTGGAGGTTGCAGTGAGCCGAGATCATGCCATTGCACTCCAGCGTGGGTGACAGAGCAATACTCTGTCACAAACAAACAAACAAACAAACACCCGAGACTGGGTAATTTATAAAGAAAAGAGATTTAGTTGGCTTAGGGTTCTGCTGGCTGTACAGAAAATGTAGAGGCTGCTTCTGGGGAGGCCTCAGGGAACTTATAATCATGGCAGAAGGCAAAGGGAAAGCAGGCATGTCTTACATGGCTAGAGCAGGAGGAAGAGAGAGTGGGCCGGGGATGCCACACACCTCTAAACAAACAGATTTCAGGATACCTCACTCACTATCACCAGAACAGCTCCAAGGGGATGGTGCTACACCATTCATGAAAAACTGCCCCCATGTCCCAATCACCTCCCACCAGGCCCCATCTCCAACACTGGGGATTACAATTGAACATGAGATTTGGGTGGGAAATACAGATTCAAACCATATCAATAATAATATTTCAATAATAATTCAATAGATACCTTTCACTGAGATTTGACCAAGGCCAGGTGAGGCTTTACTCACATCCTCACTTTTCATCCTCACACGACACAGTCAGGAAGAAAATGTCAGCATCCCTATTCACAGAGGAAGAAGTTATGGCTCAGGGTCACCTGGTGTTCTGGAGGTCACACAGAGCAGGATGCAGGCTGGGACTATGCGCAGCTCTGTAATGACAGCTCAGAAAGCCTCTAACACAAACTTGACCTCATTCTGCCTCTTTAGCATCACCAGATGCCTAGAAATAGGGCACAGCTCTCCAGCTAGGACATTTCTATACAGGACCTGTAGTATCTATACAAAAGGGATCCTAGGTGAGAGTCTACATGTAAAGGTTAGTGGGGCTTACATTTTGGCCCAACTCCAGAAGAAACTTTCTAAACTAGAATTGTTTGAAGTGGAACCACTCCCAGCAGTGTTAGAAGCTTTGCACCATCCAGCTAGACTGTGCAACATCCACCAGGCATTGGAACAGGTCCTGACAGAGTAGTACCCACTCTCCACAGATCTCACTTCCAGGTCTCCATTCTCCCATTGTCCTGAGGTCCCCATTTCTCTCAGAGCTTCTGTATCTTGAGTATTCGATAAACATTGCTCGAACCCCTCTTAGTTGTCAGGTACTGTACCAGGTGCCAGGGGTGCAGACATGGATAAAAGAGAGTTATCCTCAGGATGGTCCACTGAGGCAGAGAGATTCATTAACATTATTTTATTATAATCTGGTAAATGTTAAGATGTGCACTGGCTCCTATAGGATCCCAGAGAAGGGCCCCGGTCCTAACAGGAGGATGTCTAGAAAAGATGCCTTTTGAGATGAATGCCTCTGGAAGGATGAGGAGATGTAAGTCAGGCAAAGAAAGGCCATAGTGATGGGGCTGGGGGTGATGGAGAACCCTTGCCACTCTAAGAACCAAAGAGTAGTGACTGGACGCAGCGGTTCATGCCTGTAATCCCAGCGCTTTGGGAGGCTGAGGTGGGCAGATCACCTGAGGTCAAGAGTTCGAGATCAGCCTGGCCAACACGATGAAACCCTGTCTCTACTAAAAATACAAAAATAAGCCGGGCGTGGTGGTGGGTGCCTGTAATTCCAGCTACTCGGGAGGCTGAGACAGGAGAATCACTTGAACCTCAGAGGCGGAGGTTGGAGTGAGCCAAGATCGTGCCACTGCACTCCAGCCTGGGCAACAAGAGTGAAACTCCATCTCAAAAAAAAAAAAAAAAAAAAAAGAACAAAAAAACAGAACCAATGAGCATCTTTGAATCCCAGCATAGACTGCTTCCCTATCCCTCAGCTTTTCCCCTTTCCCTTCTCCCTGGGACTTTTCCCAATCTTTTCCCGGGATAGAAAGCCTTGGAGTTCTCCCATTACCTGTAATTCTTACCTGTCTCCAGAAAGTCATTTATCTCTTGACCTCTGTTTTATTTTATTTATTATTAATTTCTTTTTTTGTTTTGTTTTGTTTTTTAAACTGAGTCTCGCATTGTTGCCCAGCTGGAAGTAGAGTGGCATGATCTTGGCTCACTGCAACCTCTACCTCCTGGGTTCAAGCGATCCTGCCTCAGCGTCCCTAGTAGCTGGGACTATAGGCGTGTGCCACCACGCCTGGCTAATTTTTGTATTTTTAGTAGAGATGGGGTTTTACTATGTTGGCCAGGCTGGTCTTGAACTCCTGACCTCAGGTGATCTGCCGGCCTTGGCCTCCCAAAGTGCTGGGATTACAGGCATGAGCCACCATGCCCCACCTTGACCTCTGTTTTAATTCTGATTATGTGCTGGAGTCTAAAAGTTCATTGTAAGGGAAACGCTCAGAGATAGTAACTCAGGAAAGGAGTGGAGAAGGCTCCAGACCCAGCATCTGCAGTGTACACTGGCCTGCGGGGAGAAGAGTGAGTGAACTGTGCATGGTGCACAGCACCACTTGAGGCCCAGAAACCCCTTGGCTGCCTAAACACCACTTAGCTCCTCCCTGGTGGCAACCAGGTGTGTGGAAAGAGCTTCCACTCCAGAAAGACCTGGAGTTAAATTCTGGCCCCATTTCCTAGCTTGTTCGCAGAAAGTGACTTGACTTGTCTGAGTCTCAGTTTCCTTATCTGTAAAATTGGTAGGAAATAAGTGCCCTTCAGGGTTGCTCTAGAATTAAACAAGATGGCCCATGGAAAGAACTGCCGGGGAGGTGCCCAATCAATGTCGCTTTCGTCTAGATTTCTTTGTGTGAAAGAACTGACTAGAAGAAAATACCCCACGGCAATCAATACTTTTTCCCAAAGCATTAGAATAAATGTAGAAATTTTTCACTTAAAGTCTTATTTGTGGTGGCCAGGCGCAATGGCTCACGCCTGTAATCCCAGCACTTTAGGAGGCTGATGCGGGCGGACCACTTGAGGTCAGGAGTTCGAGACCAGCCTGGCCAACATGGTGACACCCCATTTCTACGAAAAACACAAGAATTAGCCAGGCGTGGTGATGCACACCTGTAATCCCAGCTACTGAGGACGCTGAGGCAGGAGAATCACTTGAACCCGAGAGGCAGAGGTTGCAGTGAGCCAAGATTGCACCATTGCACTCCAGCCAGGGCAACAGAGTGAGACGCCGTCTCAAATAATAAAATAAAATCTTATTTGTGGAAAACGTAAGCCTAGGGATATTCCTAGGGTCAGAGAGTGGGCAGATTTAAAATTTTTTTAAAAAGCTGTAATATTTTCTACAGATGGGATCACACTATGTTGCCCAGGCTGGTCTTAAACTCCTGGCGTCAGGTGATCCTCCCACTTTGGCCTCCCAAAGTGCTGGGATTACAGGCGTGAGCCACCATGCCTGACCCAAAGAGTGGGTGGATTTTGGAGGCAACTGGACTTGAGGATCTTTTTCCAGCAAATACTAGAACAGATCATCTGAGAGATGAATGTTGGCCCTCATCCCACTACACCTTCTGAGGGATATTCTGCAAGCACCCACATGTCTGACTCTGTCTCACAGTCCTTATATTATTGAGAGTCCTTTCTGTTATCTTACTTAAAGTTTCTTGTGCTTCAGCATAAGTCATGCTCTCTTTTCATAGCAAGGGAGCACTGCTACAAAATGGACATTTTAACTACATAGTAACATCCTGTTTCATCTGAAGCTCTGTCGCTCCTTCATTTGCCTGGTTTAGAAGTTATGATACTGTAATGTGGAATGCTGGGCCTAGGCCAGACCTCTTCATTCACATGAGGAAACTGAGGCTCAGAGAAGTCCATTACCTAGCTATGATTCTACAGCCAGTATGGCACAAGAGCTGAGTTAGAACTCAAGTTTTCTGAGTCCAAATTTAGAGTTTTTTTTCTCTTCCCTTTCACCGAAGGGCTCCTTTTACTGGTCACATGTCTGGAATGACCCAGGACCTTTCATATGTCTCTAAGAGCCAATGTCAGATGTTTTATCCTGGGAGTCAGAAGACCCAAAAGTCCCAGTCTTAAGCCTCTTCAGAATTGCTCCTCTGGGCTGGGGCGTGGTGGCTCATGCCTGTAATCCTATTTTGGTAAGTCAAGGCTGGGGGATTGCTTGAAGCCAGGACTTTGAGACAAGCCTGGGCAACAGAGGGAAACCCAGTCTCTACCAAAAAAAAAAAAGGATTTTTTCCAAGGAGAATGACAGCAGAGCTTTTGTTTATGTGCTTTTTAGGGATAACAGATACCATTGGTGAAGCAGGAATGTCTTTTGCAAACTGGGACCTTTGCATGAGAAGATTCAATTAGAGATAGATAGATAGATAGATATAAAAATGTAATAATATGTATTGTAATTATATATGTATAAATTATGTAATATAATAACATATATTTTACATTTTTGAATATATGTATTTTGGGGATAAGGTAAGAATCATAACTTCCACCGATTTTTTTTTTTTTTGAGATGGAGTCTCCCTCTGTCGGCCAGGTTGGAGTACAGTGGCACAATCTCAGCTCACTGCAACCTCCACCTCCCGGGTTCAAGCGATTCTCCTGCCTCAGCCTCTTGAGTAGCTGGAATTACAGGCGCCCACCATCATGCCCAGCTAATTTTTGTATTTTTAATAGAGACAGTGTTTCACCACGTTGGTCAGGCTGGCCTTGAACTGCTGACCTCAGGTGATCCACCTGCCTTGGCCTCCCAAAGTGCTGGGATAACAGGCATGAGCCACCGTGCCCAGCCACTTCCACTGATTTTTTAAAAAGGGGTCTAGGACGTGAAAAAGTCTGAATCATTCATTCATTATTCATTCATTCAACAATTTTTTTTTGAATGCTTATTTTATGGAAGGCACTCTACTAGGGCCAGGTAATGTAATGGAAATATGGAAATAAAATACACATGTTCCTACCCTCATAGCACTTACATTCTAGTGAGAGAACTAAATGATAAACAATAAACAAATAACACACAAAATGTCACCTTAGGACAGACTGCAAAAAAAAAAAATAAGCTAAGAATTACTGATCTGACTATACTTTGTATTTCTCTCTGGATTTTATATTTTTCACTTTCCTTCTGAGAAAGTCAAATTTCTCTAAAAACATACCCAATTTAACTTCTCAGTTATAATTTAAAGGATAGTTAAGTCTCTAAGTCCTCCAAACCTCCACTTCAATGGTTTTTTTTGTTTGTTTGTTTGTTTGTTTTGAGACAGAGTCTCATTCTGTTGCCCAGGCTGGAGTGCAGTGGCATCATGTCGGCTCACTGCAACCTCCGTCTCCTGGGTTCAAGCAATTCTCCTGCCTCAGCCTCACAAGTAGCTGGGATTACAGGCACCCACCACGATGCCCAGCTAATTTTTGTATTTTTAGTAGAGATGGGGGTTTCACCATGTTGGCCAGGCTGGTCTTGAACTCCTGACCTCAGGTGATCTGCCCACCTCTGCCTCCCAAAGTGTTGGGATTACAGGCGTGAGCCGCCACACCTGGCAATGGGGTTGTTTTATCCACCAGGCTATTGAATAGATGAATGCTGCTTTCCTCCCTGCCTTGCAGCCAGGCAGGCAGGATCATTCCAGGTCTCTAGAAATGACAGGTCTGTTTGCCCAGCATGAGCAATGTGGTTTCCCATTGCAGAATCTCCCTCCCGGTAGATTGCAGCTGCTGCTTGTGCAAGACTGAATGATCTGAAAGACTCAGAAAAACAGACCACCAAGATGTACCAGTGAATTTTTAAGATTTGTGGGCCGGGCGCGGTGGCTCACGCCTGTAATCCCAGCACTTTGGGAGGCCGAGGCGGGCGAATCACGAGGTCAGGAGATCGAGACCATCCCGGCTAAAACGGTGAAACCCCGTCTCTACTAAAAATACAAAAAATTAGCCGGGCGTAGTGGCGGGCGCCTGTAGTCCCAGCTACCTGGGAGGCTGAGGCAGGAGAATGGCATGAACCCGGGAGGCGGAGCTTGCAGTGAGCCGAGATCCCGCCACTGCACTCCAGCCTGGGCGACAGAGCGAGACTCCGCCTCAAAAAAAAAAAAAAAAAAAAAAAGATTTGTGAACTGTCAGGATATTGTTCAAAATTGTATCAGAGATTAAATCTTTGCTTATTGCTAAGTGAATTTTTCATATGTGCATATCTGTTTTATTCAAATGCAAGTGATTTACACAAACCCCCATCTGCAATCCTTAAGACACTCACAGAATGATGCAGTGTTAGGTAACTAGAATTGTGTCTATTTTTTTGTTGTTGTTGCCTCCCCTGCCATACCTTTTTTTTGAGACGGAGTCTGTCTGTCACCAGGTTGGAGTGCAGTGGTGCAATCTCGGCTCACTGCAGCCCCTGCCATCCAGGTTCTACAGGTTCTCGTGCCTCAGCCTCCCGAGTAGCTGGGACTATAGGCGCACACCACCATGCCTGGCTAATTTTTGTATTTTTAGTAGAGATGGTGTTTCACCATGTTGGCAGGCTGTTCTCGAACTCGTGACCTCAAGTGATCCATTCGCCTCAGCCTCCCAAAGTGCTGGGATTACAGGTGTGAGCCACTGCACCTGGCCATCGTACCTGTTTTCGAACTGGTTGTTCTAAATTCATCTATGTGAGTGGGCAGTAAAAAGAAGGGGTGACCTGTCAAAAGTCTTACAACTCAAAGAAAACAAAAAATAAATAAAACAAAGAAAATAAAGTCCTACAACTCAATGGCAAAGGTGAAATTCAAATCTAAGACATGATTTCTAGATCTCTGCTCTCCAGGCACGAGATTAGATCCGACAGCCTGACTCAGATTACACCTGTTATGTGCATACGATATTATCAGAATGCTGTGGGGCTCCAGCCTATTAGAATTTTCTGTTTTAGCTGGGAGTGGAGACTCACGCCCCTCAGCATTTTCGAGGCTGAGGTGGGAGGATCTCTTGAGCCTAGGTAGTCTAGGGTGCAGTGAACTATATGACAGTGCCACTATACTCCAGCTTGGGTGACAGAATGGGACCCAGTCTCTAAAAAAAAAAAATTAAATTTAAAATCAAATTTTCTGTCCGGTGCTGTGGCTGCTCACGCCTGTAATCCCAGCACTTTGGGAGGCCACAGTGACAGGATCGCTTGAGCCCAGGAGTACAAGACCAGCCTGGGCAGCCTAGTGAGACCCCATCTCTCCCCGCCAAAAATAAAATATTTGCTGGGCATGGGAATGTGTACCTGTAGTCCTAGCTACTTAAGAGGCTGAGGAGGGAGGATCGCTTGAGTCTGGGAGTTCGAGGCTACAGTGAGTTGTGATCACACCACTGCACTCTAGCCTGGGCGACAGAGTGAGATCCTGTCTCTTTGGTTTGTTGTTATTGTTGTTGTTTTCTTTTGAGACAGAGTCTCTTTGTCAACACTGTCTCTTAAAAAAAATTTTTTTTCTTGTCCTTACTAGTTTTAGGGAAGTTGTCACGCCATTGACTGAAAGGCCAGTTCTGATTTAGAAAAAAATAAACCTTTTCAATTAAATATGAAGATGTAGTTGTAACACTTTGGTCCCAAAACACAAGTAAATGACACTTAAAAGATGTTGGTGAAGGGCATGGACATCACTTGGAAAGTGAGTCATGTAAGGTTAGCAATGAGATACCATCAGGTTCCCAGGTGAGTGTCTGAAGTCCCACTGGTTGTCCAAAGAGGGTCTGAATTGGTTTGAACTCAGCTGTTGACTTCTCTTTTTCATAACCTTTCTCCCTACATCCATCTTCACTGAGATTCTCCCTGCCATTTCTTAATATATTGGATTTGATGAGGAGATGACATTCCCTTCCTCTGAGAGTCTCTTTGGAGACAGGCTTCAGGTCATGGTATTCCAGCATTTAGGCTACATGGCAGCCCTCCAGTGAAGGCATTGGAAAGTGTCAGAAAAGGAAATGGGCCTGAACTGGAGAGACAGTCCAGCTTCCTTCCCAAGGAGCCATCGGATATTTATAGAGAGCCAGGCCTAGGATGTATGCCCATTGCTGAGAAGGTTTTGTGGCCCGATCTGGTATACATTAGAGGCTCTATCTTTCCATCTCCTCAGTTCATGAAGCGTTGATTCCTGGCCTAGGAGAGACTGAAAGCCAAACCAAACAGGGGATTTTTCTTCCTTCATAGTTATTGTGAGCCAGCCAATTCCAGGATTTAAGCTCAGGCTTGTTAGGCTTTAGTCCTTCTGGGAAATGCCATCTGTTCAGAGAATGGCTTTCTGGGCAGCACAAGTGCTATTAATTCTATTCTAGTGTAGTTGCTGAATGGCAAGGCTCATATTATCCTTCACCCTGGGGGCAGGGAGAAAGGGTTAGGATCAGGCATTTGCCACCATTAAATCCACCCTCTTTTTTGTACGGTCTGCCTGTTGCCCCAGTTCACTGCCACACCCTCACCCCACACATACACAACAGACCTCTCCTTTAGTTTTCAAGCCACTAGGCAATTGAAATGTTTGTGTGAATTTTCACATAAAGTCTAGTCTTTGTGTCAAATGTGCAATAAGCCTCAACATTTGCATAGAGCAAACAAGGAAGTCTTGTTAGGAAATTTGTTCCTTAGGAGCTTATGTCTTAAATTGGACTGGTGCCTTTTGTTGTCACAGTTGTTTTTATAATGACATGCACATAGGTTTGCCTTTCTGAATTCTTATGTTGAATCTACTGTTGGTTGGCACCTGCCACTAGCATAAATTTCTACTCTTTCAATCAGTGGGACAAATTCACATGCCAGTCGAGGCTGATTCACCTGTTTAGGGCTGTGAGTGATTTGAAGAGGACTACCTTCTCAGCACTTCTTTGGCCCAGAGTCACAGGAACCCTCTTCTCAAGAATGTGGTCCTGGTAAGAGAACTTGCAAAATACTTACAGATTTCAGGAGTCCACAGTCCCAGGCAGAAGGAGAAGAGATATATCTGCTGGTTTGAAATCCTGGAGACAAATTTTTGTCCAATGCCCAGGAAAATTGGTTTTCTGACCAAAGACTCAGGGAGACTGGAAACTCTTGGGATGTGGATGACAGAGGAAGGGGTTAGGGATGGAGAAGGGAGTAGAGATGCATGTGTTCGGGACAGAATCAAAGACAGCATTCTTGATTTCTCTCTCCTTCTTACTCTTCATAATCTATTAGCAGGCCCTGTCAGTCCCACTTTCAGATCATGTCCTTGATGTCATTCACATCTCCCTACCTTCACTATCATCACCCTAGCCAAGCCTCTGCCATCTCTCACCTGGTCAACCCCAATACCTCCTCTGACTAGTTTCTGTGTATCTTCTCTTGCTGCATTCTAATTCATTCTCCATGTAGAAGACAGGGAAATCTTTTGCAATTGCAAATTAGATCACAAGGCTTTCCTGCTGGCATCCCTTGGGCCACTCTCCTTTGTTCCTGGAATTCCATCAAGCCACCTACCATGGCCTACAGAGTCCCCGGTGTTCTGGCTCCTGCTCACCTCTTTTAAGTCTTCTCATTCCTCTCTCCCACAGCCACACTGCTCCAGTCACATGGCCTCCACTCTATTTCTGGCCAAGCATTTCGGTTTTTTGTTTGTCGTCTTCTTTTTCTTCTTCTCCTTCTCCTTCTTCTCCTTCTCCTTCTCCTTTCTTTTCCTCTTCTTCTTCTTCCTCTTCTTCTTCTTCTTCTTCTTCTTCTTCTTCTTCTTCTTCTTCTTCTTCTTCTTCTTCTTCTTCTTCTTCTTTTCTTCTTCTTTTCTTCTTCTTTTCTTCTTCTTTTCTTCTTCTTCTTCTTTTCTTCTTCTTCTTTCTTCTTCTTTTCTTCTTCCTCTTCCTCTTCTTCTTCCTCTTCTTCCTCCTCTTCCTCTACCTCTTCTTCTTCTCTTCTTCTGCTTCTGCTTCTTTCTTTCTTTTTTTAATAGGGAGTCACTCTGTTGCCTAGGCTGGAGTGCAGTGCAGTGTCCCAATCACAGCTTACAGCAGCCTCAACCTCCCAGGCTCAAGAGATCCTGCCACCTCAGCCTCCTGAGTAGCTGGGACCACAGGTGTGTACCATCACACCCGGCTAATTTTAAAATTTTTTCTAGAGACAGGGTTTCACCATGTTACCCAGGCTGGTCTTGAACTCCTGACTTCAAGCAATCCACCTGCCTGGGCCTCCCAAAGTTCTGGGATTATAGGCATGAGCTACTATGCCCAGCCTAATATGGATCATTTTAAGCCCTCCTTAATGTGCATTAAATACTGTACTTGTGTTCGGGCATGGTGGTTCATACCTGTAATCCCAGCACTTTGGGAGGCTGAGGCAGGAGGATTGCTTGAGCCCAGGAGTTCGAGACCAGCCTAGGCAACATGGGGAAACCCTGTCTCTGCCAAAAATACAAAAAAAAAAAAAAATTAGCCAGGCATGGTGGCATGCGCCTGTAGTCCCACCTACTTGGGAGGATGGTTTGAACCTGGGAGGTGGAGGTTGTGGTCAACCGAGATGGCACCACTGCACTCCAGTCTGGGTGACAGAGCCAAACTCTGTCTCAAAAAAAAAAAAAAAACAACTATACTTGTTTACTGAATGATTGTTTATTTGCCTCCACTTACCCTTTGAAATTTACCAAAGATAAGTGACTAGGATTATCAACCATTCTTTATTTCCCTGTTCCATCTGTTTTGAGTTAGGAGAAAGACAAAGCAAAATGCAATCTCACCAACAGCAATATCAACAAAAGAAATCCCTTGAGCCATCTAGCCCCTAGCAGCTAGACAAGGAAGGCAAATTGGGATTAGGAAGAAGTGGGTAACCCGGAACGGCCACAGTAGGGATAAGCAGCTTCAGCAGCCAGAGATTTTCCCTTACTCTTAGGAGGTGACATAAGCAACTTTCCCAGAACCGTCTTGACACAAGCAGTAAATTAAGTAAACAAGGCAGAAGGTCGCCAGAACCTGGTCTCACCCAGTCCTGCTGCGACTCTCTGGCATCATGTGGACTAGGAAGCTGGAGGGGAAGTCTTCTCATCCACCAGTCCACCTAAAAACAAACCTAAAAACCTTTCTGCTTGTGTGGAGGAGCAATTGCAGAACTTGTAGTCAAAGCATGGTGTTGTAAGGGAAATCACTGTGGGGACTTGAAACACCCTAATGATTTTTTTCCTAGCTCTCCTTTTAAGGGCTTCTGGAGACAGAAGGGGATTAAAACTTCAAATGAGGGAAAAGTAAAAACTCAGTTAACTCATTAGCTGGGCTCACCTAATTAATCTTGGTAGCCTGGGGCACAATTCAACCCAACAGAATTTACTTATCTATGGAGACTTTAATAAGCTCTGAAGCCAGAGGCCCTGCCCCCATTGCTGTGGGATGGGAGAGTGGGTGAGGGGAGAAGGAGATAAGGCTTGGAGGTGACTAGTTCTGGGGACAAAAGAGCCCTAGGCAGGAGGACCTGGCCCATGGCTTTGCTCCCTTCACTGGATCTGAGTCTTCCATTCTAACCTACTTTCAGCTCCACTTACTCATTCAGCCATTCATTCATTCCACAAATGTTAAGTTCCTGCTATGCCCCAGGCTTGCTAGGGCTGTAAATTGACTACAGTGTTAAACAAGATATGCAAGATCCCCAACTTCTGGAAATTTACATTCTAGTAGAAGGGCAGACAATTGAAAAATAAACAAGAGCCAGACATGGTGGTTGGTGCCTGTAGTCACAGCTACTTGGGAGGCTGAGGTGGGAGGATCACTTGAGCCCAGGAGTTCAAGACCAGCTTGGGCAACACAGCAAGACCCAGTCTCTACAAAAAATAAATAAATAAATAATACAAAACAAACGAAGCACAGGTAAGCTGAGAAGTTCTGTGGAACAATTAAAGTGCGTACCCACTCAGTAAAGACCTCTTTCAGGAAGTGACATTAAATCCAGTATCTGGAAGGAAGGCTTCCTCATTGCTTCATTTCATGCTTTGGAGATTTTATGAGTGCATTTCTCCATTCATCAAACATCTAGTGGTAGTATATAGATGAAATACTTTTTAAAAAAATTTAGTGAGCACCTTTTACGGCCAAACCCTTTGCTTGCTGGGCACTGCCAAAGGAAAGATAGACAAGTTAGGGATCTCCCCTAGAAGAATTTATAATTGAGTGGCAAAGCCTGACAAGTCAACAAGAAAACACTTACAAAGGATGATTTGGCACAGCTGAGCCAGATGGTCTCTAAGGTCATTCCTTTGTCTAAACATTCTATTGTCTAATAAGTTCCTACTGCATGTCTAGTACTTTGGGGATGCCCATTCTCTCCAAGGCTCTCATAGCCTAACTGTAGAGAAAAGGCTTACATGTATGACATATTAAGATTGTAGAAACCAGCACCTGTGGTAAATGATTCCTATGTTCTCACTTTGGCACCTATCTACCCTAGAGACCACTGAGGCTTTTAAGATCAATTAGGCCTAGCTCTTCCTCCTTAACCATTTTTTGGATTTCATCTAGTTTATGGCAAAATATACGCACATTGCGTTTTTGTTTTTTTTTTCCAGGGACCTCTGAGAGGGTCTGGAATTAGGGTTCAGGTACCATCCATCTGTTACGTGCTTTGAAGATGCCACTCCATCTGTGGGATTCAATTTACATAAACTGAAGACTATTCTTCTGAGTTGAAGTGAGGAGAGGCATCAATCACACTGGAAAATTATTTGATCTCCTGGAAGCAAAAAGTCCACCATGAAGTTGTTCTTGCCATGGACTTCTAGAGGAGCTGACTGTCCTTTGGGAAGCTACAAATACAGCCTTAAAATCTGTTAGCAGGGAAGAGAGGCTTTTTCTGAGTGATCAGGTAGGTGAATCCTCCTTTTCCTCCTTTTTTCTCTTTTCCATAGCCATCTGCAATCCCAACCACCCCAATCCCCTGATATTTTGCTGAAATCGCTTCCACTAAATTCCTGATGACCTCCAAATCCACTTGTAACTATGGAGCATCCGCATCTCTTGAAATTCTGTTTTTCTTTGGCTTTTGGGGACACCTCTCTTCCTTGGTTCTTGTTCTGTATTTCTGGCTGATTATCTTTTAATCTTCACCTCCTTTGGCTGCCCTTTGAAATGGGTATTCCTGGAAGTCCTTAGTTTCCTCCTTTACTCACTCTATTCACAGTTTTGGGGCATTGATAACCAAAATCATGACTTCAGTTTCCATGTAGACATGGATTTGAAAACGGTGGGATTAGCTCTCCAAAGTGCATATGAGGTCCTTATCTGTCATCTGATTTTCAGACACACGTATTAAACTGCCTGCTAGACTTTCATTGGGTGAATTTAATTCCTAAACCAGCTGTCCTTTGTTCCAGTCTTAGAGACTGGTACTATCAAAAACCTAGGGGCTATTTAGACTTCTGCTCTCTGTTATATCATTTGTTCAGTGGAAATATATTGATCTTTTACTATATTCTAGGCACTGGGCCATGTGCTATAGGTACAGCCTCTGCCCCAAAGAGACTCATAATCCAGAAGACAGGTAAACAATCAGAGAAACACACTGTATGATGTAGTCAGAGGGATAAGTACATGAATAGAAGCACGTACTAGATGCAAGACATAGAGAAAGCACAGCAGAAGGACTGACCAGGAGATAGAATAGGAAGAAAGTCTTCCTTCAGAAGCTGATGCCTAGGATGGGTTGTGAAACACAGATGGGACCAGGTGCAGAGGTGCATGCCTATAGTCCCAGCTATTTGGGAGGCTGAGGTAGGAGGATTGCTTGAGCCCAAGAGTTAGAGCATGTAATGTGCAATGATGGTGCCTGCGAATGGCCATTGTACTCCAGGGTGGGCAACATAGCCAGACACCATCTCATAAAAAACAAACCAACAAACAAAACAAAGGGAATGGAATTCCCATGACAAGCAGGGGAGGTGTGGTGTTTTAGGCATTTCAGACTTCATGTAAAAGGTATGGGTGCGTGAAACCAAATAACATTTAACTAAAAAATATGGTCGGGCGCGGTGGCTCACACCTGTAATCCCAGCACTTTGGGAGGCCAAGGTGGGCGTATCACGAGGTCAGGAGATCGAGACCATCCTGGCTAACACGGTGAAACCCCGTCTCTACTAAAAACACAAAAAATTAGCCCGGCGTGGTGGCGGGTGCCTGTGGTCCCAGCTACTTGGGAGGCTGAGGCAGGAGAATGGTGCGAACCCGGGAGGCAGAGTTTGCAGTGAGCGGAGATCGTGCCACTGCACTCCAGCCTGGGCGACAGAGCGAGACTCCGTCTCAAAAAAAAAAAAAAAAAAAAAAAAAAACACAAACAAACAAAAAAAATGAGCAGTTTGATATTGATGGAGTATAAAGTTTAAGGCAAGGGGAGATTTGACAGGAGGTGAGCCCAAAGTAGTAGGTAGAGGCCAAATCATAAAGGGTCTGTATAATAATAAGAGCAATAATAGCTACAATTGGCTGGGCTCTGGCTCATATCTGTAATCCCAGCACTTTGGGGGGCTGAGGTGGGCAGATCACTTGAGGCCAGGAGTTCGAGACCAGCCTGGCCAACATGGTAAAACCCCGTCTCTACTGAAAATACAAAAATTAGCCAGGCATGGTGGTGCATGCCTGTAATCCCAACTACTTGGGAGACTGAGGCAGGAAAATTGCTTGAGCCCAGGAGACAGAGGTTACAGTGAGCTGAGATCGCGCCACTGCACTCTAGCCTGGGCAACACAGTGAGTGAGACTCCATCTCAAAAAAAAAAAAAATAGTAATATTAATAATAATAGGTACAATTTACAAAGTACACTTTACCTACAGAACCACTAGTGCTCAATCACCCTGTATTATTATTCACACTTTACAGCAAGGGACCTAAGAAGCTGCATATCCGATAGTTGTTTAGCTGAAATCCACATCCAGGATTCTTTGATTCCAAATTGTAGGTGCTGGCCAAGAGCTTTGGCTTATGCTTATAATCCTAGCACTTTGGGAGACCAAGGAAGGAGGATCACTTGAGCTCAGGACTTTGAGACCAGCCTGGGCGACATAGTGAGACCTCATCTCTGCAAAACAATAAAAACAAATTAGCTGAGCATAGTGGCACACACATGTAGTCCCAGCTACTCAGGAGGCTGAGGTGGAAGGTTCCCTTGAACTCAGGAGTTCAAGGCTGCAGTGAGCTATGATGGTGCCATTGCACTCCAGCCTGGGTGGCAGAGTGAGCTTTTCTCCCTCTTTCTGTCTCTCTCTATATATACATATACATATATATATGTGTGTGTGTATGTATGTGTGTATATATGTATATATATGTTTGTGTGTGTATAGAGATATATATATAACCAAAGCTTAAGCTCTTTGCTGTCTACCATGCCTCACTTGCACGATGCCCAAATGTCCTTCCCTCATGGGGTTTATAATCTAGTGTAGGAAACATTAGCATCCACATGTCTGTCCTTTTGTGTGAGTCACTACTTCAGTTGGAGGAACTGGCACTGAAGCTATAAGGATGGAGGAGGATTACAAAAGCCAACCATGGCAAACCCATCCTTTTTGACAGTGGTTGGTTTAAAAACCAAGGCTTAGTCTATCAACTGATTAAAAGATATATAAAATGTGGTATATTCATACAGTAGAATATTATTCAACAAGAAAAAGGAATAAAATACTGATACATGCAATAACATGGATGAACCTTGGAAACATTATGCAAAGTGACAGAAGCCAGTCACTAAGGACCTCATATTGTATAGTTACATTTATATAAAATGTCCGCAATAGACAAATCTGTAGAGGCAGAAAGTAGAGTAGTGGCTGCCTAGGGCTGAGGGGAATGGGGGAGTTGGAGGATGGTGGCTAAAGGGTAGGAAGTTTATTTTGGAGATAATGAAAATATTCTAAAAGTGATCGTGGTGATGGATACACAACTCTGTGAATATACTAAAAGCTATTGAATTGAATACTTCAAATGTTGAGTTGTATGGCATGCGAATCGTATTTCAATAAAGCTGTTTTAAAAAAGGCTAAAGTTAACAGTCCCGTAGAGGAAAAAGTATTTAGTGCAGGGTGAAGAAGGCTGGATGCCATGAATTGGGAGGGGAAGGGAGATGACCTCTGCTGTTTGTGAGGTCAGAAACTAGGGTGAGGCTGCCTTGGCCACAGATGGTGGTGGCGTATGGTTCTGAGGTAAGTAGACACGTTTTTAGTTCCCTAATAGTTCTTTCCCCTGGCTTCCCAGGCTTCCTACCCTGCTTCTTCACCACCTCCCACTTTGCAGATCATCTCTAGCATCATCCAAATCTGACTTAGGCAGTTCCCTACTTAAAATCCTCCTGGGGACTCTTGCTGCTTTCGGGATAAGGCCCAAATCTTCACACTCCTTTGCCGGCCTATGAAGCGCCTTGTGGTGTTGCCCTCCCACGCCTCTGCTTTTGTCTCCCACATGTATCCACAGCCACACTGGTTTGTTGTCTCACACCTCTGCTTCTCCCAGGGTGCTGAAATTCCTGCCTGGAATGCCCTCCCCCTTGCCTGACTTCCTAATCCACCCACCATTCAGTGTGGCTCAAATATCACCTCCTCCAGGAAGATTTGGACTTGTCCAGGCTGGGCTAAAGGTCGTCCCTCTTTTGTGTTCCTAGCACGCTTTTATGTACATTCTGGCTGTCTAATCTATGCACTTGTTATTACCCGCTTCTAATTGTGTTAGTTTCAACTCTTAGTCTGAATTCTTACTACTTGACCTTGGCCAAGTTACTTAACCTCTCAATATACTGATCAAAAAGGGGATTAAAAACAATATCTTCTTCCTAAATGTGCTGTGAAGATTAAAGTTATTAAAAATATGAAAAAATGTGTTAAAGCCATATATAATATACTGTATATATTATATATTAAAAATATATGTTCAAATGCTTTGCACAATGTCTTGCACAGTGTAAGCACTACATAAATGAAGATTTTATTCTGGCTGTTATTATTGATCATTCATACTAAACTATAAGCCCCTTGAGAGTAGTGACATACTTATCTAGTCTACTGCCTGACATCTGGTATACTAGTATACTGCCTGACATCTGGTAAGCATTCAGTATCTACCTGGGTCTATGTCTCTCCCATGTTTTCCAGGCTGGCTTTGCCACTTTAAGTATTCTGTATTCACAAAGACTTGGTAAAACTATAACTCAACTCAATTTTTTTTTTTTTTTTTTTGCTTTTTCTTAAGTAATCCTCCCTCCTCAGCCTCCACATAGCTGGGATTACAAGTGTGTGCCACCCATGCCTAACTCTACTCTTGGACTTTTTGATTTTCAAAGAATGTGGTAGTGTGGGGGAGGAGGAATTTGCATGGGGAAAAAATCCAGCTTTCTGAGACAGTCCCAGAAGAGATGAAGAAAGATGAGTTTTTTTACTTTGCCTAGGTGCCTGGAGGCTGGGAGGCTTTATCTGAACAAGAATATCTGCCTCATCCTTGAAGACAGAGAGGGAATCATTCCTTTCCATGTTTTTATTGGAACATTTGGAAATCCTGAGAACCGGGAGTTCATTTGTCAGATAAAGGCTCAGGCGAATGGGGAGCTAGACTAGATGGAGTAATTATTGTGGGTATATTTTCCAAACTCCAAAGAGGACAAACTACGGCTCAAAAGAATTGTTTTTATCCTGATTTGTGATTTTATTTATATAGAAAGTTGTGCAAAGATATAAAACATTGAAACTGCATGAATGAATTATCTTTATTAAAGATAGACAAAAGAAACAAGTGTAGTCAAAAATACTTCAGTGTTTGTAATGCTTTATGATAAAGAAGGTTTAATTCACCAGGCACATTGGCTCGCATCTGTCACAAATAAATAAATAAATAAATATATAAAGGCCTGTTGTGGTGGCTCACGCCTGTAATCCTAGCACTTTTGAGAGGCTGAGGCGGGAGGATGACTTGAGCTCAGGAGCTCGAGACCAGCCTGGACAACATAGTGAGACTTCCATCTCTAAAATAATAAAAATAGGCCAGGAGTGATGGCTCATACCTGTAATTGCAGCACTTTGGGAGGCCGAGGCAGGTGGATCACTTGAGGTCAGGAGTTCAAGACCAGCCTGGCCAACAGGGTGAAACCCCATCTCTACTGAAAACACAAAAAATTAGCCGGATGTGGTGGTGCGTGCCTGTAATCCGTTACTCGGGAGGCTGAGGCAGGAGAATTGCTTGAACCCAGGAGGTGGAGGTTGCAGTGAGCCAAGATTGTGCCACTGCACTCCGGCCTGGGCGACAGAGTGAGACTCCATCTCAGAATAAATAAATACAGAAAGGAAGGTTTAATTCAAGTTTTATTGCCCACTTTCACACTGAGCTATCTTTTTTTTTTCTTACTAATTTCCAAGAGTTCTTTAAGAATATTGGTTATGATTCCAAATACATTATCTCACTTAGTGGCTTGCTTATTTATTTATTTATTGAGACAGTGTCTCACTCTCATCCAGGCTGGAGTGCAGTGGCGCGATCTCAGTTCACTGCAACCTCCGCCTCCCGGGCTTAAGCAATCCTCCCGCCTCAGCCTCCCAAGTAGCTGGGACTACAGGAACATGCCACCAGGCCTGGCTAATTTTTTATTTTATTTTTTGTAGAGATGGGGTCTCACTATATTGCCCAGTCTGGTCTCGCACTCCTAGGCTCAAGCGATCCATCTACCTTGGCTTTCCAAAGCTAGGATTACAGGTGTGAGCCACCGCACCCAGCCTTTTTTATTCTTTTAATGGTGTCCTTTGATTAACAGAATATTTACTTATTTTTTGTTTGTTTGTTTGAGACAGGGTTTTACTCTGTCACCCAGGCTGGAGTGCAATGGTATGATCTTGGCTCACTGCAGCCTTACCTCCTGGGTTCAAGTGTTCCTTCCACCTCAGCCTCCGAATTAGCTGGGACTACAGGTGCACTCTGCTACACCAGGCTAATTTTTAATTTTTTTGTAGAGACGGGGTTTTGCCATGCTGCCCAGGCTGGTCTCAAACCCCTGGACTCAGGCAATTCTCCTGTGTCAACCTCCCAAAGTGCTGGGATTACAGGTGTGAGCCACTGTGCCTGGCTCAGAATGTTTACATTTTAATGGAAGTCTACATTATCACTCTTTTCTTTATGGATAGGTATATGTGTGTGTGTGTGTGTGTGTGTGTGTGTTCTATTTAAGAAGTGTTTTCCAGGTGCAGTGGCATCTGCCTGTAGTCCCAGCAACTCTGGAGGTTGAGACAGGAGGATTGATAGAGCCTAGAGGTTTAAGGCTGTAGTGTGCTATGATTACACCTGTGTATAGCCACTGCACTCCAGCCTAGGGAACATAGTGAGATCTCATTGCTTAAAAGAAAAAAAAGAAATCTTTGCCTGTCCCAAGGTAATGATGATAGTCTATGTTTTCTTCTCAAAGCTTTATTAATAAAGAGAATGTCTAGATGGCTAATAAACATATGAAAAAATGCTCAACATCATTATTTATTAGGAAAATACAAAATACAAATGAAAACTATAAGAAGGTACTTCTACACCAGAACAGTTAAAAAGTAAATAATACAGGCCGGGCACGTGGATCACGCCTGTAATCATAGCACTTTGGGAGGCCGAGGCAGGAGGATCACGAGGTCAGGAGTTCGAGACCAGCCTGGCCAATATAGTGAAACCCCGTCTCTACTAAAAATACAAAAATTAGCTGGGTGTGGTGGCATGTGCCTGTAGTTCCAGCTACTTGGGTGGCTGAGGTGGGAGAACTGCTTGAACCCAGGAGGCAGAGGTTGCAGTGAGCTGAGACCATGCCATTGCGCTCTAGCCTAGGTGACAGAGCGAGACTCCATCTCAAAAAAAAAAAAAGAAAGAAAGAAAAAGTAAATAATACAACAAAAACTTAGAATATCAAGAGTTGAAAAGGTTGTAGAGCAATGGAACTCTCATATTCTGCTGGTAGGTGGGTAAATTGGCACAGTAGATTACTGCAATCACTTTGAAAACTTTTTGGGCCATTGCACTCCAGCCCGGGCAACAGTGCAGGAGTCTGTCTCAAAAAAAAAAAATTAAAAAAAAAGAAAACCTTTTGGGCAATATCTACCAAAGCTGAACATAAGCCTACCCTATGACTTAGCAATTTCATAGATAGGCTTATAACCAACAGAAATGTGTAAATGTATGCACCACAACACAAAACTTTTCACAGAAGTTGTACTCCCAGTAGCCCCAAATTGGAAACAATCCACAAGTCCATCAATAGTAGCATGGTGTGGCAGATATAGTCAATGGAATACTATACAGTAATGAAAAAGACCAAATTATTATTAAATGCAAAAGTATATATGAATCTAACCCATATAATTTTGAACAAAAATAGCTAGACACAAAAAAGGACATATTTTATGATTGTATTTATATGAAGTTCAAAAAAGAAAAGCCCAAGTATGGTGAAAGAATTTAGAATGCTGACTACCTTTGGTGGGAGTGGGGCCAGAGGTTCATCGCAATGGGGCAGAAGGCAGTGTATGAGGTGTAGATAATGTATATATTGATCTGAATGGCAGCTTTATGGTTGTATATATTTGTAAAAGTATATGAAGTATCATTCAAAGATTTGGGCAATTCAATGAAAAAGTTCAGGGAAAAAATGTTAGTTAATAAAATATTTGAATTGTAATTCTCACCATTTGTTTACAGTAGAAGTTGGTAGAGTATTGTTTTACTCATATTTGCGTGTTTGATGAACTCAGCTTACTAAGTCATTGTGATGTTTGCTAACTTAACTCTTTCAGATATTGTTTGTAGGAATATTAGAATTTCTGTGAAATGTCAATGATTTATGGGATCTAGAATATTTAAATTTGATATAGTCCCCAAAAATACAAGGAGTTAGGAGCTCTCTAAGATCCCTTCTGGTACTAAGATATAATGACCTGTCTGAGATCAAATATATATTATTAGTGACATATATTAATGTAATAATTTGATTATAAAAGTAATGAGATATAAAAACCAGTTTGAAGTCATGTATAGTAATCATAATAGTATCATCCTTTATTATAAATGCACATTTTGAGTTTTGGCTTCAGGACTGTTGACTAGATTTATATTGACTGCATTTTTCTTCAGAAAATGTTCCAAGTATTTGGATCTTATATTTTTGGAAGAGATTTTTCATATATTGTATGATCAGCTACTTACAACATATTGAATGAATGAATGAACAAAAGAACATGTTATTCATTTTTTGATGCTTGGTGCTAGGGTCGTAGTAGTAAAAAGGCAGACCAGCTCCCTGCCCTGATGGATGCTTAATATTCTAGTAGGAGAGACTGACCTTAAACAACTGACACAAGGCATTTGAGTGCTAGGAAATAAACATATAATCTGATCTAGGGGTCTAACCAAGCCTAGGGAATTGAAAAGAGTTCCCTGAAGAAGCTGGCATCAAAACTGAGAGGAGTTCAAGGTTGCCAGATAAAGTGTGAAAACTGAGGCCTCTAGGGAGAGGATTAGTACATTTCAAAGCCACAAGGAGAGAGAACAGCATGTTGCTTTGGAAGAAAAAAATTCCACTTGTTTGGACAAGAGAATTGGAGGAGAGATCTAGCAGCTATTAGATGTGGAAGGTGCTGTTTGTTCCTACTAAGGATACTGAACTTAATTCTAGGGCAAGGTGAAACCACACTGAAGGTTTTAAGCAAATGTATTAATCATATTTGTATTTTAAGAAATCAAACTAGAGTAGGAAAACTCTCTCTTTGGTAGAACCTGGGGATAAGAAGTAGAGCTGGAACTAGAACCCAGCTCACCAGGGACCTGGTCCCACACTACCCTAAGTTCTCCACTTTTTGTTGGTCTCAAGCTAAAGTAGGAAAGAAAGCTTGGTGTTAGAAGAGAAGCTTGAGAGTGCAGCCGCCCCCTTTTCCTTCTTCACTGGCACCGTGCCATTCACTGGAGAGAGAGGAGGACTGACTCCCTACGCAGACCCATGGCAGACCCCTTTACAGAGGTACCCATCCTGTGGGGTGTACCCTCACTCCCCCAGGGACTTTTCAATCTTTTTGTTGATTTTCTCTAGAAACACTTTTTTGGCAAGAGCAAAAACCCTGCAAATCATGGGTTCCTGTAAGACCCTCTTGGAATTCTGTGAAAGGGTAAATGTGATCTTGGAGAGTTATGAGAATGGATTGGTCTATTTTCGGAAAACAGCACCCAGTGAATTGAAAGCAGAAGTGTTTTCCAGGACAGACAATTGGTGTTTAAGAGAGAGAGAAAAAGAAACGAGGAAAGCATAAAACAGTTGTAGAAATGCCACTTTTGAAAGTGCATGCTTTACTTCTTGTTTCTATTTCTTCAAATCCACTGACTTCTGAAACCATGTAAATTTGTCTCTGCTCCTATTACTCTACTGAAATGTTTCCTGGCTAAGTCACCAATGACTCCTTTTTGCAAACCCAACAGCTGCTTTTTGGTGCCCATCAAAACCAATTGTCTGTCTTGGAAAACACCTCTGCTTTCCAGTTTATTAACCCTAGGCACTGAGTTCTGGAAGCAGGCCAATTGATTTTTATAACTCTCCAAGGTGACACCCTTTCACAGAATTCCAAGTGGGCTTTATGGGAATCCATTATTTGAGAGAGTTTGTGCTTTGTGGGGTTTTGTTTGTTTGTTTTTTTTTTTTTAATTCTCTTGACCCTCTCCAGTGGCAGAGAAACTTCTGAAACATCCTTCTTCGAGGCTTTGGCAATACTTTTCATTCTGGGTTCTCCTTTTTTCCCATCTTAGTTGGCTTCTCTTGCCTTGCATCCAATTAGATGCTGGTATTCCCTAGGATTCTAATTGTAGATTATTTTTTCCACACTTGCTGAGCCCATGCATGAATGATGCACGGGTCCTCTGCTGTCATGCATCATATACTGAAAGTTATTAAATGTCTATTTCTAGCTCCTGCATCTTCTGGGCTCTAGACCTAGAGTATCAGTAATTGCCTGCTGGATTTCTTAACCTGGATGACCTAAAACCATGTCATATGCTACAAGTCGAATACCACATTATAAGCCCAAATATCTTTTTCATCCCCAGTCAAACTGCTACTCCTCCACCATTTCCTGTCTCAATTAATGGCACCAATATTTGTCCAGGTACCCACTCCAGAAACCTGGGATTTATCCTCATACTCTTCCCTCTCTTTCAACTGTGAGTTCAATATATTGTGAAGTTCGATGAACTCTACATCCAAGATCTTTCTTCCCACCACACTTTGCTATCATCCATCACCCATGACTTTTTTGTTGTTTTGTTTCGTTGTTTTTTTTTTTTTTTTTTTTTTGAGATAGAGTTTTGCTCTTGTTGCACAGGCTGGAGTGCAATGGTGTGATCTCAGCTCACTGCAACCTCCGCATCCCGGGTTCAAGCGATTCTCTTGCATCAGCCTCCCAAGTAGCTGGGATTACAGGCATGTGCCACCACACCTGACTAATTTCATATTTTTAGTAGAGATGGGAGTTCACCATGCTGGTTAGGCTGGTTTCGAACTCCTGACCTCAAGTGATCCCCCCATTCTGGCTCCCAAAGTGCTGGTATTACAGGCATGAGCCACCGTGCCCAGCCCTTTTTTAAATCCAGGTTTTCTTTGTGTCAGCACATCCCTCCACGTTGCTTCCCATAATGATCATCTTCAAAGCACACATGTGATTTTCTCTCTCCCCTTTTAAAAATCTGCAAAGACTCTCCATCACCTCCAGGATAAAGTGCCATCCCCTGAGGGTGGTACAGAGGCTCCTCTGCAGTGCAGCCCCAGCTTGTCTCCTGGAGTCTCCTCCTGCACTCCCTGCTGATTGAACATGCCATACATGTCCTCCTCCCTCTTTGCTTTTGCCACTGTTATTTTCCTGTTCTACCAAGGATAAACCCTCTCTTCTCACCTAACCAACTTTCCCCACTCTTCAAAGCCTCCTAGGCCAAAGCTGTCACCCCCTGTGACTTTTCTTGATGCTCCTCTTCAAAACCTAGTAGAATAAATTATTTTTTGTTCCCTCAGCGCTTTGTTTATGTCTCTGTATAGGAATTATTGGATTATTTTATAACTACTTGCCTTTTTGTTTGTCTCTCCCTCTCTCAGGGACCTTTCCTTATTAATACATTACTGTAATTCCAGAGTGCCTGGCATATAGCAAACACTCAATAATGTATGCATTTTAATGCTTCCTCACTCTCTTCTTTCTAACCCCTTTCTAGTCAGCTGATTAAGGTATAAACAAAACCCAACTCATATTTTTTCCAGCTGAACCAGTTCAAATGAACACAGCAGGCCCTGAGAAGTTGTAATAAGAACGAAAGATCAAGGACTTGGAGAACAAAGAGCACATTGAGTTGTTTCAGTAGTGTTGACTGGGATTGCACCACCCCCAAGTGCTTGCTCAGAAAATAACAGTAATGCTTTATAGCCTAATCTGGTCTTACACTTTCCAAAGTGGAGGCCAGCTGGTGTTAACAGCATCACGGTGAATAAGCCAAGTGGTGTGTGTGGTGTGTGTGTGTGTGCGCGCGCGTGCATGCTGGTGAGGGTTTTTCAGTGACAGAGAAGGTGTTATCTCTATTTGGAAGGTGGGAAGCAGGGCTGGAATTGGACTGCTGATCCTCTAATGCAAGGCTGATGAAACTTTTTTTGTAAAAGGCCGGATAGTAGATATTCTAGGCTTTGTGGGTCATACATCTGTGTTGTACCTGCTCAGCTCTGTCATTGCAGCGGAAAAGCAGTCTTAGAGAAGATACATAAACAAATGAGTGTGGTTGTGCTTCAGAAAACTCATTTATGAACACTGAAGTCTGAATTTCATATGTTTTTCATGTGGCATGAAATGCTATTCTTGTTTTTGACTTTTCGTACCCCAGTGATTAAAAAATTTAGAAAAATGTTAACTCTTGGGCTAAGTGGGCAGCAGGCAGGATTTGGCCTGCAGCCATGCCATCGTTAGGCCCCATGCTCTAATGCTTAGTTCATCACGACATACCCGGAGTGGCTGGATTTGGGGTGGGGTCATACGGAGGGTGCTGACCTTATGCAGTACTGACTACGTGCCAGTCTCTGTGTTTCAGCACGGTGCATATGCCCACTCATTTCTTTCTTTCTTTCTTTCTTTTTTATTCTACTGCGTGTTCTCTGAACCTGTCATTCATTTCTTACAACAACTGTGTGAGCGAGGAACTAGTGTCACCCAACTTGGCAAGTGATCAGACTGCTCACCCAGCTTGTAACTGTCAGTGTCAGACTTTTACCCAGGTGTCTGGTTCTGAGGTGCATGTTCTTACCACCACATCCTACTACTGCCTCCTATAGCAAAATATCATTGCCATGGAGATCATATGTGATGGGTTATGTTTTTCAAAAACACAGACATTCTTATCAAAATGGGGTCAATTTTCCAAAAAAAAAAAATTGAGGACAAGGAGGACCGAAGGACAGATGTTGACATATCCAGCTGTGGGAAGATTGGCTCAGAATCCCCCAGGACTTAATATACTTTTCTGAATTTGTTATTGAGTTCTTTCTCCAGAAATTTGGAGGAATGCAGATAGTCCTCTTACCCTCTCAAAAGATCTTCCCTCTTGCTCCCTTTCCACCCACCCACCCTCCACCAACACACACACACACACACACACACACACACACACACAGAGTTCCTAGTTGTGCATATTAAACTACTGTCAAGTAATCTATTTGGCATTAGTAGCTAAAGAACAGATGTCAACTTATTGCTGCTTCCAGAGGGCCCTGCCAGATGAATGCAAAAGTTATCAATTCTCCCAGAAGGAATTACCCACAACACTTTTGTGCCTGCCCTTTCCTCCCTGCTGTTTCCAGTTTCTTCTCCTTGGACACCCACCCACTCTGAATCCAACACTTGACAGTGGCTCAAGGCTCTGACCACAGTGACAATGTAAGAAGAGTGGGTGGTCTCAGCCACCCTCTGCAGTTCTGGGAAGTTTACTCCAAGCTTTGCTTCTCCCCAGCCCCCAATTCCCCCTTCCTCCCTGACCTCATAAGCTCATTCCCTTCAAAAATCGGGGTGTGTCTGTCACCCCAGGCAGCAACAGCTGCAGGCCCTGGGAGCTCAGTGGATGGTGATGCAATTCAGTTGGGGGTGGGGGTAGAAGCTGGTGGCTGGGTGAGGGAGATAAGAGGAAACAAAAGGCAGTTAAAAAGATCTGTCAATGAGAAGGATGGTTAGAGCCAGAGGAGGACGTGGGTGTCCCTGAGCTGATGTGAACCTTGCCTCAACTCCTTGGCTTTCTCCCAGTCCTTCTCTTCTGACCCTCAGGGGTCCCTGGAAATCTGCTACCTCCTGAGCAGGGCACTCTCCTCTCCTCTCCCCTCCCCTCCCCTCCCCTCCCTTCCTCTCCCCTCTCCTCTCCTTTCTCTTTCTCTCTTTCTCTCTCCCTTCCTTCCTACCTTCCTTTCTTCCTTCCTTGCTCTCTCTCTCCTTCCTTCCTTCCTTCTTTCTTTCTCTCTCTCCTTCCTTCCTTCCTTCCTTTCTTTCTCTCTTTCTCTCTTTCTTTTTCTTTTTTGAGATGGAGTCTTCCTCTGTTGTCCTGGCTGGAGTGCAGTGGCACGATCTTGGCTAACTGCAACCTTCACCTCCTGAGTTCAAGTGATTCTCCCGCTGCAGCCTCCTGAGTAGCTGGGACTACAGGTGCCCGGCACCAGGCCAGGCTAATTTTTGTATTTTTTTTGGTAGAGACGGGGTTTTGCCATGTTGGCCAGGCTGGTCTCAAGCTTCTGGCCTTAAGTGATCTGCCCACCTTGGCCTTCCAAAGTGTTGGGATTACAGGCGTGAGCCACCGTGCCCGGTCCAGGGTAGTTCTAATACTTTCCCAGTAATCCCCTTTTTATCTCCTTTGCCTTGTTCCCCTCCTACTCCTCGAATCTTTTTGGAGCAAGCTCTGGGGGCACATTTAGGTTGGGGCATAGCTGTGGAGCCACTGGCCACAGGTCTGTCTCTGAGCTTGGTCCTACAGGCCTGTATATGCCTGAGCCACCTTTTCCATAGGGCTTTAGCTCACCTTCTGCCCTCATATAAGGGTGATGGCCTTCGCCAGACACTGTGCTAGACAACAGGAGGGAGCGCCTGTGCCATGGGGTTGGAGGATCTGAGGGCCTTAGTACTGAGGTCACTCCTCAACTTTCAGGATTTTTTTTTTTTTTTTTTTTTGAGACAGAGTCTTACTCTGTCGCCAGGCTGGAGTGCAGTGGCACGATCTCAGCTCACTGCAACCTCCGCCTCCCCGGTTCAAGCGATTCTCCTGCCTTAGCCTGCTGAGTAGCTGGGACTACAGGCATGCACCACCACGCCCAACTAATTTTTTGTATTTTTTGTAGACACAGGGTTTTGCCATGTTGGCCAGGATGGTCTTGATCTCTTGACCTCATGATCCGCCCGCCTCGGCTTCCCAAAGTGCCTGGATTACAGGTGTGAGCCACTGCGCCCGGCCAGGTCACTCAGCTTTCTTCTGGGCTTCTTGATGACACTGGGAGACAGGGAAAAGTGTTCTACATTTGAAAAACAAATTAAAAAATTATTAATCCCCACCATTACTAGAGTCACATTTGCTCACAGTAAAAGACTTGGGCAGCACAGAAATATACAGGAAAGAAGAAAGCAAAGATCACCTGTAACTCCAAACCTGGAGAAAACCTCTCTGGGCATTTTGGTGTATTTCCTTCTCTCTTTGTTCAATGCCTATCTTTATCTCTATCTCTGCTTATAATGCATGGTGTCTATTGGACGTCGTGCTTGTCTCCCCATCCACATTGGCATTGTTTTCTGAGTATTTCCCATTAAAAGTTCTTCCAAAGCAATGATCATTTAATGAACAGGTATTCACCTTCCAAGATGAAGACAATGTTTTTATCTAGGTATTAGCATTGAATTAGTCTTGACTAAGACAATGTTCTTATCTAGGAATTAGTATTGACTATATTAACATCCCCATTTAACACCACACACACACACACACTCATACATACACACACACACACTCACACATACATACTTCTGTCTGAAAGTTTATTAGGAAGGCAGGTAGATGAAACAGCCCTCACTGCAAGGCACAGGCCCTTTACGTGAGATCTATGGGGAGGATGTGGGGCAGGAGGCTGGGGTAAAACATGGGCCTGGGAACATGGCTTCCAGCTACTCGTTGCCCCTCTTGAAATTCCCACCCCTTGACCTAAGAGCTTCCTCTGGGATGGAGTGTGGACCAGCTACCTGACAGGTGGGACCAGGGCTCAAAACTATGTGGGTGACAGGGTGAGGTGGCTCATGCCTGTAATCCCTGTACTTTGGAAGGCCGAGGCGGGCGGATCACATGAGGTCAGGAGTTTGAGACCAGCCTGGGCAACATGGTGAAACTTTGCTTCTACTAAAAATACAAAAATTAGCTGGGAGTGGTGGCATGTGCCTGTAGTCCCAGCTACTCAGGAGGCTGAGGCAAGAGAATTGCTTCAGCCTGGCAGTAGGGGGAAGGGGGGCAGCAGTTTGCAGTAAGCCGAGATCTCGCCAGAGTTTGCAGTAAGCCGAGATCTCGCCACTGCACTCTAGCCTGGGCGACAGAGCGAGACTCTGTCTCAAAACAAAAACAAAAACAAACAAACAAAAAAACCCTATGTGTGTGTATGTTTTGATGCTCAAGAAAGTAAAATGGTCTCTGCAAAAAATAAAACTGGATTGGACAAGGGAGTTTTATCTGTTTTCCTGAGAGTGCCAACATTATGCTCCCACATCATTGTTTATATTCCACATTGCCTGGATTGCCCTTAATCTGGCACATACTCCAGAACAGAATGCACTGTTTTCCTCAGTGATGGTGGCCAGCATACCCTGAAGGCCACCAGCACAGCCTATGTGTCCAGTCTCCAGAGGCAGGACAGAGGTAGTCTTTTGGATTCTTTGGGACTAGCACAGGACAGGATAGTGGAGTGTAGGTGGGGAGGGCAGCCAACAGCAGCTGTGAACCCATCTCAAAGAAATCCCACACGAGGCTGGGCATGGTGGCTCACGCCTGTAATCCCAGCCCTTTGGGAGTCCGAGGCAGCCGGATCATGAGGTCAAGAGATCAAAACCATCCTGGCCAGCATGGTGAAACCCTGTCTCTACTAAAAATATAAAAATTAGCTGGGCATGGTAGTGCACGCCTATAATCCCAGCTACTGGGGAGGCTGAGGCAGGAGAATCACTTGAACCTGGGAGGTGGAGGTTGCAGTGAGTCGAGATCGTGCCAATGCACTCCAGCCTGGTGACGGAGTGAGACTCCATCTGGGGAAAAAAAAAAAAAGAAAAGGAATCCCACACGAGCTTCAAGGGGGTGTCCCAAGGAACGGCTCTAAGACTCTAAGGGTCATGTTTCTCAGCTTTGAGGGTTAGCAGCCAGACGACCCAGGGACTGAGACCACTGGAAGTGGGAAAGAAGTGAGTAGAAAAATGAGGGTGAAGATGAAGAAATAGGAGAAGGGCTGGATTACTCAAGAGGGATACGATCATTCTGAGCCATCCAGAAAATGAGGGAATCATCAGGGTTTTGGTGGGGTTTTTTTTTTGTTTTTTGTTTGTTTGTTTTTTGAGATGGGGTCTTGCACTATCTCTCAGGCTGGAGTGCAGCTCACTGCAGGCTTAAACTCCTGGGCTCGAGAGATCCTCCTGCTTCAGCCATCCAAGTTCCTAGGACTACAGGTATGCACTACCACACCCAGCTAATTTTTATTTTTTGGAGATGGGAATCTTATTTTTTTGCCCAGGCTGGTCTTGAACTCCTGGCATTAAGCCATCCTCCTACCCCAGCTTCCCACAGGCATGAGCCACTGTGCACAGTTTGGGAACCATCAGTTTTTTAAAAAATAGGATTTAATATTTAATATTTCACAAAGAGCATCTATGTATTGCCTGAGAGGATGGGGGAGGGTAGGGCAAAGGTAGAGAAGGGGAAGGTAATCCCTCACTTTTAGTAATTAGGGCCTCAGTTATTTTTAGTAATGCAGGCTCAACAGGTCCTGAATGGGCAGGAAGGAGATGTTAAAGGAGGAAAAAGAGAAAGATGGAAGATAAAAAAAGATAAGAAGATCAGTGTGGTGGCTAACGCCTGTCATCCTAGCACTTTGGGAGGCCAAGGCAGGAGAATTGCTTGAGCCCAGGAGTTCAAGACCAGCCTGGGCAATAAACAGTGAGACCCTGTCTCAGAAAAACAAAAACAAAAACAAAAACAAAACAAAAAATTAAAAAAGGAGAGAAAGCAAGTATGAGTATCCATTGGCAAATATATACTAAGTGTCTACTATGTCTTAGGCTGTGTGCTAAGAACTGGGAATGTAGAATTAAAACTTTCTGATCTGCTGAGAGAGAGAAGAAGGAGGAGGAGAAAGAAGAAGCAAAAGCAAGCAAGAGAGACAGAGGAAGGAAGGAAGGAAGGAAGGAAGAAGGAGGAGGAAGAGAAAGAAGGAAGGAAGAAGGAGGAAGAGGAAGAAGGAAGAAGAAGAAGAATGAAAGCTTTCAAGCCCTGCCTTCAAGGAGCAGTATGCCACAGAAACTTGGTGTACAGATTGTCACTGGTTGTGTTACTGGGCTGCTGCCGAGCTGCCATCCCTTTATGGTTGCTTGTTCTTCAGGAGGAAGTCCAGTCTCCACTGTTAGATGTAATTTGTCTTAGAATCTTTGGAGGGGCCGGACTCTATAAGGCAAACCAAACAAATATCCTTTTTCTTCATTTAAATAGGGTCTGGCATGTTTAACATTCATTCCTTTTTTTTTTCTTTTCTTTTCTTTTCTCTTTTCTTGTCCTTTCTCCTTTCTTCTTTCTTCTCTCTTTTCTTTTTTCGTTCTTTCAGATGGCATTTTGCTCTGCTGCATAGGCTGGAGTGCAGTGGTACAATCTCGGCCCACTGCAGCCATTGACTCTTGGGTTTAAGCAATTCTCCTGCCTCAGCCTCGGGAGTAGCTGGGATTACAGGTACACACCACCGCACTCAGCTAATTTTTGTATTTTTGTAGAGACGGGGTTTCGCCGTGTTGGCCTGGCTGGTCTCAAACTCCTGTCCTCAAGTGATCCGCCCGCCTCAGCCTCCCAAAGTGCTGGGATTACAGGCATGAGCCACCATGCCCGGCCTCATTCATTCATTTTTCAAACCTCGAGGTTACACCTTACTACTAAAGGCATGCTACAAAGGATCTATCTAACCATTTTTTTTTTCTTGGCACTTTAAAGAACAGGGACCCTTATGACAGCCTCTCTCTGAGGCATTGACTATCTTGGAAACCATAGATTAGATTAAGAAGGGAGGTCAAAACATTCTTGAATCACTTAAAACTGGAGACTACATGGTTTCAAGATGAAACCCCTGGGTTGCACATTGGGAGCTGACATGGGAAGTCTACTTGGAGCTTCCTTTTTTTGGCTTTCGTTGGTATCCCAGTGGCTTATTGCCTGAGCAGAATCACTGAAGGTGTGTGATATGACTGAATCAATGCTCTGCACTGGCAACCAGCAGCCACCTGCAGCCACCTGAACCACCAAAGACTTTTGGGACACTCTGCTGCTGTCGTGCAAGGCCCAGCTTACAGAGATGAAGAGAGTGTGTTCCCTTCCCTTGGGTTGCTTACAGCCTAAGAGAGGAAGCAGAGAGGTAAGCAACTGATTGCAGCTTGAAACAAAATCAAATGAGTTCTAAACTGTGGAAGAGGCACTGGGACCATGAGGACTCAGATGTGAGGGCACTTAATTTTGTTAACAGAAAACCTGATGGAGGGAATATTCATTTCAGCTGAGCCTTCAAGGATACATAAGATAGCACAGGTAGAAAAGATGGAAGGTGATTTTCCAGCTGAAGGAATTATAAGGGATTTGCACAGAAACATGAAAGCATGCAGTGGTTCCAGGAAAAGTAGCTCTTTGGAGGTGGCTTGAAGGGAGGGAGAGTGCATGGGGTGATTAAGTAAAAGTCATGGGCCGGGCATGGTGGCTCACGCTTGTAACCCCAGCACTTTGGGAGGCCGAGGCGGGTGGATCACCTGAGGTCAGGAGTTGGAGACTAGCCTGGCCAACACAGTGAAACTGCGTCTCTATTAAAAACACAAAAACTTAGCTAGGCGTGGTGGCAGGTGCCTGTAATCCCAGCTTCTCGGGAGGCTGAGGCAGGAGAATCGCTTGAACCTGGGAGGCGGAGGTTGCAGTGAACCAAGATTGTACCATTGCACTCCAGCCTGGGTAATAAGAGTGAAACGCTCAAAAATAAATAAACAAATAAATAAATAAAAAGTAAAAGTCATCTGAGAGACTCACAGGAAGAAACTACAGCAACCTGCCCACAGACGGATGCTTAGGTGGGAGGTAGTGCACGTAGCCTGGCATTCCAAGTCAGGCACACCAGAGTTTGTCTCTCAGCTGTCTTATTATTGCTGACTGATGTTGAACAACTTATTGAACCTCATTTTCATATTATATAAGTGGAAGATAATATATCTGCATTTTAGATGGGTGTTAAAGTGCTGAACAAGTGAAAATGACAGACCCTCAATAAATGTAGCCCTTTCTTTTTACCTCTTCAGGCGGAAACATAATTGAGCATCAGATGATTTTCTATATTGTCATTCATTTCACAAACAGTTATTGACCAACTTCTCTGCATTGGGCCCTGTGCTAGAAGCTTGAAGGGTATTCAAAAATGCAAGCCATCAAAGAAAGGATAATATGGTTGTGAGATGATATGAGGAGAGATCAAAGGAGAAGTCAATGTCCAAGATAGCAACCCATCAGAGCCCTCACAAGGCTGCGCCCCATTCATGAACAAAGGAGCATCCAGGCAGTGAGTGCTGTGCGTGATGTACAAAGAGTGGTGTGCATGGTGGACAAAGAGTGCTGTGAGTTCAGAGTACGGTGAGGTCACTGGGATGGGCTGGAAAGGTTTCAAGGAACAGGAGAAATGTGAGCCAGACCTGGAACCTAGTTAGCATTTGGAGAGCAGAATCACTGGACGTGTGTGAAGTGACTGAAGGAAGAAGAGAGGAAAGGAATGATTGTGTTAAGTGGCAAAAACCCAGCCATGGAGCGAGGTGAGCTTAGGGGAAGTCTGGTTTGACTGTATAGGAGGAGTCCTGGGAGATAGGGCTGAGAAGGAGATTGGTGTCAGATTATGGAAAGCTTTGGAGGTCAGGCTAAGGACTTCAATTTCCATGATAGGCAATGTGTTTTTCATTGTGTGCTCTAGGGCACACAGGTCCACCTGTCACCTACACCCTGCATTTTTTTAATGCCACTTATTCTGTAGTATTCATATATTGTACTATTTTCTCTATTAGAAATATGTGTCATACTGTGCCCTAAGCAAAACTATAAATTCCACAGGATAGGTCCCATGAAGATTTCCTAAGTTGACATGATTTAATGAGGTAGCAGATTTTAGAAGCTGGGAGGTAAAGAAGGTTTAGGGATGTCCATGGAGAAGCTGGGAGCATACTGCTCTGACGGTTTGTAGAAAGTGCCAGCCACTGCACTGTCTCCACACTTGATGCCTCTCCAAATGTTGATTTTAATGCTCTTGGAGTTGCCTTGATGGTTTGGACCTCTAGTTTGAACAATATCACTGTAGACCATATTTGATGTTACTTCCCATACACTAATATCAGAATCCTGAAATATAGGTGTGATGTGGTTTGGCTGTGTCCACACCCAAATCTCATCTTGAATTGTAACTCCCATAATTCCCACGTGTCATGGGAGGCACCCGGTGGGAGGTAATTAAATCTTGGGGGCGGGTCTTTCCCATGGTGTTCTTCTCGTGATAGTGAGTAAGTCTCACAAGATCTGATGGTTTTAAAAATGGGCGTTTCCTTGCACAAGCTCTCTCTCTTTGCCTGCCATCATCTGTGAAAGACATGACTTGCTCCTCCTTGCCCTCTGCCATGATTATGAGGGCTCCCCAGTCATGTGGAACTGTGTAAGTCCATTAAACCTCTTTTTCTTCCCAGTCTCAGGTATGTCTTTATCAGCAGCGTGAAAACGGACTAATACAAGGTAGAAGGCGCATTTCTGCTGAAGGGTCTTAGATCTTCCAGATTCTTTCAGATTTTGCCTGATCAGACTCCTTCACTCTCCTAAAACAAACCAACCAAAGTAACAATAGAGCAATAGTAACAAACTCTTCAAGTAACAATACAACTGCTGTGTGTTTATAACTCCCTTGCTCTCTAGAGACCCCTGTGCTTTGATATTACCAGTTGCTCTTTCTCAGCTTAACTCCGAGGAAGAAATCAACCAAGAACCTTGGGAATCAAGTGACCAAGGGCAGAAAGCAAGAACGGTGCAGTGCAAACATGGCCTGCCTGGATGTTTGCTTTGGTTTAAAGAGTTACTAGGGATAGTATACTAACCTTTTATTTTGCAGGGGCCTTTACTTTCCTGGTAAATAGCTGTTTTTAAAGTAGCAGTTTCTCCATGTGACTGGGCAAACAGATCCTTAAAATAGATCTGACCCTTCTTTCTGTGGATCAGCCAGGGTGGCAGCAGTGACACCTGGGCCACTGGTCCCAGTTGCATGCCAGGAAAATAATCAAGCAGTAGTGTCTGGGTACTTTTCTATCCAGGGCACAGCTGTTTATCTCACTGCCTCTTGAAGCCATAGCCTGTGGTGGCCCCGACTACCAACAAGTAGTGGACTCCACACACAAGTGTCTGCAGCCCCAGGCACTGAGAGAGACCCTCCCAGTGGGGCATGTGCAGAGACTGCCTCACTGGCCTGGAGTAGATCACTTTGGTTTCACGACTCTTTTTAATGTGGTTTTCCATAGCAAGGGCAGCTAACTGGGGTGGAGGTGAATATGGGGACTGGGAAGAGGCCATTCATAGTGGTTCCTACAAGGAACAAGGTCAGTGTCTCCCCTTCCCAACAGGAGCCTGCTCCTGCAGTTGGGGGTCTGTTGCTAGTAAGTTGACTGGGTCATGCCTAGCCCTCAAGGCCCTGGATGCTGACCATCCTCAGCCTGTTTTTCTGCCCCCCTCCATATGTATTTCCTGCTGGAGTAAGACCAGCTTTTTACAGGCACTCCCCAAAACATACACATATGTGAAACTTGTGCCAGTCTTCTCTTCTGGCCTTTGTTCATGCTGTTCTTTCATCCTGGTAAGTTCTTTCCTTTCTGTATCCATTCAAATCCTTCCCACCTTTCAAGGTCTCGTATAAACCTACTGCCTCCGTAAAGCCTCCTCAGAATGTTCCTGTTTGGCCCTGGTTCTTGTCTCATTTCATGTGGGTCAGTTCAATCTCCCCATGTAGTTTGCAAGCCCCAGGAAAGCAGAGTCCATGTCAGGTCCTTTAAAGGTGTCACCCACATCCCCTAAAATAGCTCTCATTTCCTGTATCACTTATCTCTCCTTTGTAATTCACTGTTTAAAAAAATACCTTTTTTCCCCCCATAAGTGACTGGGAATGATGCTGTTCACTTCTGAAATGCCCATAGCTACTAGCACAAAGCTGGTGATCAATAAATGCTTGCTGATTGGATAATTTATCAATGGCCTATATTGAAGAGAGAAAATAGTAACTAAAATGATAAAAGCTTGAGCATGATCCATGATTCTTACTTTGGATCCTTGAAGATGATCATGTCTAAACACATAATGGCCTTTTCATGCAGTTCTCTTTCATTTAATTGCTTAAAGAGGGAGTTTGACTCCAGCCTCTCTTATATTCAGCTACAACCATTCAAACTAGTAAACTTTAAATGAACATCCTCACTGTACTGGATCCTGCTCATGGGATCTGAGGCCCTGCTCCTGGAGAAGAGAGTGGAAGAGGCTTTATTAGTCACCAACCAATCATTTCCCGCTTAGCCCTAATGGGGAGTAAGCATGACAGCTATGAGCAGTAGCCACAGGCTGTTTAGGGCAAGGGAAAACACAGGGAAGGAGATCCAAGGGATGCGAAGCTGGAATGAAGGATTTCAGCTTCCAAGAGCACAAACTGATTGATTCTCAAAGTACATACCGTAACCTGAAGTGATTCATGACCAATTATGCAAGTGGCATAGCAGACACCAGAACCAAATGAGACCTCCAAGGGAGGGAAGCCAGGCCAAAGCTCTCTCTGGGGAGCAGCCAAACCTTCAACAGTCATGGAACAAAGTCAGGAAAAGGCCCTGAGAAGAGCTAAATTTATCCAGGTTGCCTGCGGTGCCTGAGGGCATGAACTTCAGGGAAAAAAGAGCAAATGAGGAATTACTCATATGCCAGAGAGAGAGAGAGAGAGACCAGAAAAGACAGGACAATAGCTATGGCTGGTGGTTTACAACAGCACAAGAGGGAAATCTCACTAATGTTGACCAGCAGCAGCTGCCTAGCCATATCACTCTGTGTGTGTGTGTGTGTGTGTGTGTGTGTGTGTGTGTGTGTGTGTGTGTGTTGGTATGGGTGTATGTCTTTAAACTGAGGACCTTTATACTAGGGATTTAGGGTGGACAGAAGATCAGGAACCACATCAAGCTTGCACTACCTCTGATGGCTCCTAGAAAGGTAGTATTTTCCCAGAGAACTACGTAAACAGCTGAGAGTTACAAAGGCAGGCCAGCTTATACCCAATGATTGGAGCATGCAATACCCAGGGTACAATAGCTTGGTGACATAATGGTAGAATCCTACCTACTGATGGATCACAGAGAAAATGCTGAGATCATTGTCAGTCTGGACAATGTTTCTAATTTGGAAGGAGTTGGAGGAAGCCATGATAATGGGTTATCTTGCCTACTCAAGGGTGGCTCTCAAAAGTAAGGTGGGCAGGAGGAAGCAGGAGGTGACGGAGCACTTGCTGAGTAGCTATTGGTAGTTTTTTGTAAATACGCTTTCATTCAATCCTTTGAGGTAAGTATCATCTCCAATTTATAGATGACAACACTGAGACTCATGGAGTTTACGTAATCTTAACAAGGTCACCCTGATGATAAGGATTGAAGTCATGGTTCCAACTTAGGCTGCTTGCTCCAAAGCCTGGGCTTTTTCTACCCTACTGCCATGGTTCCTAGCTCTCTCTACACCTCTCAAGTCTAAAATCCCAGCCAGAGAGAACCTCCAGGGAGAGCCTAGTGTAATCAGGACATGGGGGTTGAGATTGTGAGCTCTTTGCTCATAAAACCTCCTGGATCTTGGACCAATCAAAAGCTAACAATCAACCAACACCTTCCCTGGGCCGACCAACTACTTTCCTACTTGGAATTTCTTCCAAAGTGACATTTTTTTAGAAAATACACTTAATGAGATGAAAGGTGACTGTTGTTGCCTTTTCTCTTTGCTTTTAGCATGTGATAACCTTTCTTTCTGGTCATGTCCCAGTCTTCTTGGTCTTTGCCCTCAGCACTGTGAAAGTGCATATTTGCCCAACCTTTATACCACATAGCTCTGAGCAGTACATGTTCTGATCTGGACTAAGTTCACTTAGCAGAAGAGTGGGTGGCCTCCTACTGACCCTTTCTGGAAACACCTGTCTTCAACAGGTTCTCCTGAGGCCCATCCTGGTGGCAACTGTGCTAGGATGGGGGCAGAGTGGGTGGGAGCCCATTTCTCCACAGGAAATCCAGAAACAGTCCCACCAACTTCTCCAGGATTGACCTTAAATGCCTTCACCCTCCCTTAAATCCTCCCACTTCATTCCTTTTATCACTTCAAGCATTAGCTACATATCATTGTAACCCATGTTCAATACTCAAGAGGAAAAGAAACAATCAGAAACTCACACCTTGGCTTGCTTATTCAGAGACTAGGGTCCATTCTAGGAGTTCCCTGTATTTTCCCTTACTCTTCCCATCCTAAGGCTGGTGCTCCTTGGGATTTGGGCATCTTCTGTTCTCAGTGTATTCATTCTCCCCGGGCAATCTCATCCTTTATTATGACAATGATCACCATCTCAGATCTCTCTCTTCTTAGACCTCAGCACCCACCTCTCTACTAGACACCTCCATTTGGAAGTTCCTCAGGACAAAATACATGCTCAATAACTCATTGCTGAATGCATGGATTGTTTAAACCCCAAAAAATGGGCAGCTCAGGCAGAAGTAAGCCTCTGATTTGTTGGATTTTATAGTTCCCCCTTTATTTTATTTTAATTTATTGTTATGGATTTGTGAGGCAATTTGGAGTGGTGGAAGGATCAGAATCCTCAGAATTACAACTCTGTTTAGATCCTGACCTTGCTTTAACATCTATTTCTTTTTTTTTTCCCTTGAGACAGAGTCTTGCTCTGTCACCCAGGCTGGAGTGCAATGGCATGATCTCGGCTCACTGCAACCTCTGCCTCCTGGGTTCAAGTGGCTCTCCTGCCTCAGCCTCCCAAGTAGCTCAGATTACAGGCACACACCACCATGCCCGGCTAATTTTTTTGTATTTTTAGTAGAGACAGAGTTTCACCATGTTGGCCAGGCTGGTCTCAAACTCCTGATCCACCTGCCTCGGCCTCCCAGAGTGCTGGGATTATAGGCGTAAGCCGCTGCATCCGGCCTTTGACATCTATTTCTATCTGGCTATCTGAAGGTTACAGGCTAAGCTCTGAGCTAGGCAGTATGGAGCCCCATCCAGGATTCTAGATCTGGTTCTGTTGCAAAACGGCTCTGTAGCTTTGGGCAAGTCACTTTGCCTCTCTGGATCTCCTAGTCTCTGAATAAGCGAGCCAAGGTGTGAGTTTCTGATTGATTCTTTTCCTCCTGAGTATTGAACATGGGTTACAGTGATATGCTTGAAGTGACAAAAGGAAGGAGATGGGAGGATTTAAGGGAGGGTGAAGGCATTTAAGGTTAATCCTGGGGAAGTTGGTGGGACTGTTTCTGGATTTCCTGTGGAGAAATGGGCTCCCACCCACTCTGCCCCCATCGTAGCACAGTTGCCACCAGGATGGGCCTCAGGGGAACCTGGTGGTTGGATCTCCTGGTTGAATTGCTAAGTTGAATTATCTAAGACCCATCTAACACTTACCTTTCAGGGTGAAGTATTCTAGCACCTGTAGGTAGGAAGTGTTTTTCAGACTAACTAACTGATAGTTTTTTTCTGGAAGGAGATACTATGAATCTCAGCAACTTGGAAGAGTTCATTCTGTTTTTCTAAAGCTTTTTTCAGACTCTCTGAATGAGGGTGAGGACTAGAACTAGTTGTTGTTTTCAACACTATCCAAAATTCAGACTTCTGTCATGGTAGGTGTCCACATAGCAGGCTTAAAGATGAATGTGAAAATATCTGTCTCCACAGATGCCTATGTTTGTCTAGCTTGTCCACTTTCTTTCCTTCTGATACACAGACTTGCAGAGGCAGCTGTTGCCTGAATACACAGGCAAGAGTTTCTCTGCATGAGGCTTGGGCAGCCCCATTCCCCCACAGGATCCACCGCCACCCCTTCGGGTGTGACCACTCAATAAAAACAACACACTATAAAAAGTGTTTTTAAATCCAAAAAAAAAAAAAGAGTTTCTCTGCATGGATGATTGGCTGTAAGGGAGCTGCCACTGCAGGTTGATAACTGCTTGACAAACATGCCAGACCCAAGAACCATGGCTCTAAGTTAACTTTCCATGTATTCACCTCAGTAGGTATGTATAGGGATGCTAGGTGTTTGAGGGATACTATTTAATTCTGATAGTAAATTTATTTAAATTTTATTTTGTTATATATATATATTTTAATAGAGATGGGGGTCTCGCTACATTGCTCAGGCTACTCTCGAACTCCTGGCTTCAAGTGATCCTCCCACCTCGGCCTCCCAAAGTGGCACCTAGATCTCATTTAAATTTTAATCAAAGTGACACAGACCCTGAATTTAAACAAGTTAAATGTGCTAAAAACACTTAACTCAGCAGTCCTGTAGCCTCCTGACCACCTTCTCCATGTCCTGTTCCCCAGAGGTACTTGCATTCAAATCTTTCACTCTTTCTAATGATATGTACTTTCATATTTTATTTTATTTTTTATTTTTATTTATTTATTTTTTGAGATGGAGTCTTGCTCTTGTCGCCCAGGCTGGAGTGCAATGGCGCAATCTCAGCTCACTGCAACCTCCACCTCCTGGGTTCAAGCGATTCTCCTGCCTCAGCCTCCTGAGTAACTGGGATTACAGGCACCTGCCACCATGCCCAGCCAATTTTTTTTTTTTGTATTTTTAGTAGAGACAGGGTTTCACCATGTTAGCCAGGCTGGTCTCAAACTCCTGACCTCAGGTGATCTACCTGCTTTGGCCTCCCAAAGTGCTGGGATTACAGGCCTGAGCCACTGTACCCAGCCATACTTCCATATTTCAAAGAATATGCTCATACTGATGTTGTTTAATTAATAATTTGATACTACTATTATTAGACAGGGTCTCATTATGTTGCCCAGGCTGGAGTGTAGAGGCTATTCACAGGCATCACAGTGCACTACAACCTCAAACTCCTGGGCTCAAGCAACCTCCTGCTTCAGCCTCCTGAGTAGGTGGTACTACAGGTGAGCACTACTGTGCCTGGCTAACTTGAAATAATTTAAACATTTTATTGTAGATGGCGTTTTAGATCTCTATTGCTCCCTTTTTCTTTTCATACGATTCCAGTTCCTCCAGCAGAGAAGTCAAATAATATTCAGCATTTAGATTATTATGACTATTGAAAGATTGTTCATGCTAAGCCAAGTATTGGATTATAATTTCAATTTTTGATTTTTTAGGTAATTAATGATTGCCTGCTTACATCTTTTGTTTTCTTATTACTTTTTTTTTCCTTTTTCTTTTCTTTTCTCTTTTTTTGAAACAGGGTCTCACTCTGTTGCCCAGGCTGGAGTGCAGTGGCATAATCACGGCTCACTTCAGCCTTGACCTCCTAGACTTAGGTGATCCCCCTACTTCAGCCTCTCAAGTAGCTGGGACTACAGGCATGCATCATCACACCTGGCTAATTTTTTGTAGAGATGGGGTTTTGCCATGTTGCCCCGACTGGTCTTGAACTTCTGGGCTCAAGTGATCTGCCTGCCTTGGTCTCCCAAAGTGCTGGTGTGAGCCACTATGCCTGGCCCTTAATTTTTTTTAACCTATGGCTAAATCCCTCTACCCCATTAAACATCCTCTCTGTATAAAGTTCCATGTGGTCAGAGCAGGTGTCTGTGGAGGATGGAGATACTTTTACATTCATCTTGAAGCCTTCTGTGTGTACAGCTCTATTTTTTCTTTTTTTTTTCCCTGTAGACCTTCCTCCAGGGGCTTCTGTCTTCTTGCTCCACTTTGGGTGATCCTCCAGGCCTGTAGCAAAGCTGTCCTTGTGGGACTTCCCTTCACGGTCATCCCAGGAATTTCCTTCATCTTTCTCTTATATTGCATTCCCTATTTCCTGCATCCCATGTTTTCCCCTTTCTTGGTTTACATTTTCATTTTGGTTTCATTTTATTTTCATTTTGTCACAGTCTCTAGAAATCTCTAGTAAAGGATACATAGGAGGCAAATTTTTAAAAAGTTTTGTTTGTATGAAAATGTATTTTATGTTCACATTTAATTGGGACCTTCAGTTGGTAATAGTTGAAAATAATTTTTCTTCAGAAAAACATTTTTTCATCTACTAACTTTTAGTGCTGATATTGAGAAGTCTATTGCTATTATTATCATGTGTTTCTATGGAAACTATTTTCTTCCTGGAAGCTTCTGATTATCCCTAGTATGTTATAATTCATTGTTTTTATTTAACAGTAGGGTTTGTCAGAGCTGGGTGCAGTGGTGGGTGCCTGTAATCCCAGCTATACGGGAGGCTAACAGAGGATTGCCTGGGCCCAGGAGTGAGTTCAAGACTAGCTTGGATAACATAGACTCCATCTCAAAAAAAAAAAAGTAAGATTTGTCAATGGATGGGCTACATCTTAGGGTCCTCAGGTGGCAAGTGGGCTTTTCCATACACACAATTGGTCTTATTTGGAAGACAGGAAATGCAGTGCAAAGGCCAGGACTTTGAAACGGGGTCAATGAACTAGTGTGGTAAAAGTTTAATGCTTTTCCTTCTGTCATTTAGGTGGTTTCCGCTCCCCTCCTCAACTATTCTTTCACTTTAGAAATTATCAAAGGGATTAGGTAAGTGATTACCCCCTTGGGGTAATTTCAGATTCTGTCAGAAGCCTGGAAACTTGGACAGGATGTGAGGTTGGAATTTCAGTTCATTGAGCCTAAAGAGCACCCTCTTTGAGGATGGATACCAACAGCCACCTGGAAAAGACTGGAAGAATCCAATTCCACTATCAGTGGAATTGGAATCAATGTGATTATGCCAAGCAAAAGAGTGAAACTGTTGTATAGATATGAACTCCTGATGCTATAAGTTTTTACATTTTGTTTTCAAGACAGCAGCTTCTTGCAATATCACTCCATGATTATTGCTGTCAATCAGGAAGTAGCCTGTAACAGGATACTCATATAGAGAAATAATAGATAGCATTGCCTGCAGATAAGTTGAAATGCCTTCTCCCTGCTCTGAAAACTAGACATTTTTAGATTTCATTTATTTATTTTTGAGATGGAGTCTTGCTTTGTCCCCCAGGCTGGAGTGCAGTGGCATGATCTCTGCTCACTGCAACCTCTGCCTTCGGGTTCAAATGATTCTCCTGCCTCAGCCTCCTGAGTAGCTGGGTTTACAGGCTCCTGCCACCACCCCTGGCTAATTTTTATATTTTTAGTAGAGACGGGGTTTCTCCATGTTGGCCAGGCTTGTCTCAAACTCCTGATCACAGGTGATCTGCCCACCTTGGCCTCCTGAAGTGCTGGGATTACAGGTGCCAGCCACGGTGCCCGGCCTGAGTTTTCAGATTTTAAATGAAAGATACCTGATCTATGCTCCTTCTTCTAGCCACAGTCTGCCATGTAAACGTATTTGGTCTGTTCCTGAACCCAAGGGGAATTCTTTTCTCTTTCATCTATCCATCCATTTATGCATCCAATCATCCACCTTTATCCTACCTGCCTGTCAGACCAAGTCTAAGAAGCTTTGCTCAACTATTTAATTCTACTGATTTCTCCTTTTTTTGAATACCTGCCACATAGTTATTGCCATCCCTCATTTTAGCATGTAGCAGTTCATGACTTAGATTGACTTCAGCTGTAGTCACAAACACAAATGCCTACCAAGGGCCAGGTGGATGACGTATCTGAAGTCCGCTCCGTGAATCAGATAGTAGACCTCTGGGGACTGTGTGAACTGGAGAATGGGTGCTCTCAGTAAGGGACAGCTGCCCTTTACTCCAGCCAGTTGCTGCCCACCAAAAATCCAGGTAGATGTAGATCTTCCAGTTTTTCAAGAGAGAACAGATGTCCAAATTTTTATGACTTTTTAAAGTGGTGGTTTAATTTTACAAAATCACGGTGTAGGACAAACACAATGTGTGTTTCACACTGTACATTTGCAGCCTCTGAGGTGATGAGCTTCTTGAGCTTATTGTTTCTGAATTCCATATGGCAGCTCATACATTAACTAACATATACAGTAGGTGCCTGATAAATGCTTGCCACCCTTTCCAGAGCACCACATCCAAGCCAAGTAAAATTATTGCCTCAGCTGATTCTCTGTAGCCTGTAGGTGGTGTAAAAAGAAATTTTCCCCTAAAACTTATTTATGTATTAAAGATACCCTCCTTGCCCCCAAACCTAGTGGGGCTTGATGTATTTGCTTAGCAGGTTAAATGAACTATTAGTGTATTTAAATGTTCTTTTTTTCTTTTCTTTTTTCTTTTTCTTTTTTTTTTGAGAGACAGGATCTCACTCTGTCACCCAGACTGGGGTGCAGTGGTGTGATCACGGCTCACTGTAGCCTCAAACTACAGGATTCAAAGGATCATCTCACTTCAGTCTTATAAGTAGCTGAGACTGCAGGCACATGCTGCCACACTCAGCTATTTTAAATTTAATTTTATTTGTTGTAGAAATAGGGTATCACTATGTTGTCCTGGCTGCTCTCGAACTCTTGGCTTTAAGTGATCCTCCTACCTTAGCCTCCCAAAGTGTTGGGATTACAGGCATGAGCCACGCACCAGGCCAGTGTGTTCTTTACCATCTTTAAATGAAACCTTCCCTCAACCTTCCATTCCTCTACGGCTACCACTAATGGTATAAACTTGCCTTTTATTTATCACATCATTTGCTTTTCTGTTATCCTTCCACATATACTGCTCTGCAGAAATCACGCTCAGTAGGACCACCAGTGACCTCTTCATTGTTAAACACAGTGGTGCCAATCAGCCCTGGCCATCCTCTCAACTGACTTGAATCAGCTGATAGCATTTGATACTGTTGATCATTTCCTTCTCCTTAAAATTCCCACTTTTCCTGGTCTTTGCAGCTTTACTCCCTCCCACATTTTCTTCAGTCTTTCTGGATGCTTCTCATCAGGCTCCTTTTCCTGCCCAGTCCCTAAAATGCTGATTTTCTGCTGGTGTGATTTCAGGCTGTCTCCCCTCTCCCTCCACACATTCACCCTGGGTGACCTCATCCTCTCCCATGACTCTCCCCCTGCATGAGCGCTGATGATGCCCAGTTCCACCATCTCGCTCCAGACTCATCTAATCAGCTGCTTTCTGGCAGTGTCTGTCTCCATTGATACTTCTCACTCAGCATGTCCAAGGCTGAGCTCATCACTCTCGCTCCACCTCCCTTCTCCTCTTCCTGCATCCCTGTCCTCTGTGAGCAGCATCGCCATCTACCTTGTGGCCTGGACGTGAATCCTGAAACTTCCTCCCTGTGTTGGATTCTCCAGCGAGCACAAAAAAAGCATAGGCTTGGAACACCAAGGAAACAAACACAGAGTGCCAAAAAATTATTTCAAAAGTGTGTAGTGACTTACACGCATGTTTATAGCAGCACAATTTGCAATTGCAAAAATGTGGAACCAACCCAAATGCCCATCAACCAACGAGTGGATAAAGAAACTGTGGTGTGTGTGTGTGTGTGTGTGTGTATACATACATACATATATATATATATATATGATGGAATACTGCTCAGCCATAAAAAATTATTAATTAATGGCACAGCAACCTGGATGGGATTGGAGACTGTTATTCTAAGTGAAGTAACTCAGGAATGGAAAACCAAACATTGTATATGTTCTCACTCATAAGTGGGAGCTAAGCTATGAGGATGCCAAGGCATAAGAATGACACAGTGGATTTTGGGGACTCAGGGGGTAAGGGTTGGAAGTGGGTGAGGGATAAAAGACTACAAATTGGGTTCAGTATGTACTGCTTGGGTGATGGGTGCACCAAAATCTCAGAAATCACTAAATAATGTACTCATGTAACCAAACACCACCTGTTCCCCAAAAACCTATGGAAATAAAAAAAAAAAAGCTTAAACAAACAAGATTGTAGTGCTTTAAAAAAGCATCAAAATGCCACCCTAGAAAAAACAAAGCTTATTGGCTTTCTTCTACTTATTTTACGATTAGACAGTACTTTTATTGTGGATGTTGTATACAGGGTGGACATAAACTTTCCAGGCTTAGAGCCACTAATGTTCTTTCTACAGCCTGATCATCCTCAGCCACCCCTTCTCCATGCCCAATTGGTTCCTAAGCCCTATTGATTTTGCCTCATTGACAGCAGCTGAACTATCGCTAATACTGTCTTAGGGCTTCTGGTTGTCTGTGACCTGGATTGCTATAGCGGCCTCTTGACTAGCTTTCCCTTCCCACCCATCTATCACAGAGATGTCATCTGTTTCTTGTATGTCACTCTTCTTCCTAAAATCTTTTCCTTGCCATCTAGTAACTTCAAGGGAAGTTTCAATCCCTTAGCCTAGCTGACAGGCTGTGTGCTCCTTTACCTCCATGCTACTATTTCACATGCAGCCTTCACTCTAGATTTCCTACATTTACCCTACTCCATGCACCCCTCCCCTCTACCCCTCCCCAGCTTGGAAGGGTCTGCGTGACAAGTGAGAGAAAAGGTGGGAGACTCTTACCCTGTGTTCTCTAGGGAAAAAAAGGAATTCTCCCCATTTCGAAAAAGCCTCCAGAGGAGAAATGATCAGACATACAGAGATAGAGTTCAGCCAAGAAACATTTTCCTTCTGCCCTGGGCTTGTCTTTTGGTCATAGCTTTTGCCCTTAAAATGCAGGTAGATTTGTCACTGGGGCCACATGCAGAAGAGGGCCATTGTCTTCTTTCAATGTTCTGCTCAGTGAGAACATCTTCACGTCACCAGCCATGAGCAAGCCCGCTCAGCTGACACAGCTTATGTCCTCTATAAACAGGGCCCAGGAGAATGCTCTGTGTGCCTCTGGTCAGGAGCTCCGTGGCTCGGCCTTGGCAGGGAGAAGGGCATTACTCACTGGACCCCCGTCCTCTCCCCAACATTGTTTTCCCATTTTCACCAGGGGACTGAAAGGGGGATGGGGGAGGAGGGCGGGAGAACACAGGAGAGTGGAGCTGTTTGTTTTCTCCTTCCTGTTAACAATGCAACATCTGTTCCCCAGCCTGGCAGCTGGACCAAAGTGAATTGATGAGAGCATTCGTGCCTCTGGATCAGGGGGTGGAGAGTGGGAGAGGGAAGGAGGGAGGGCTGCCCCAAGGGCTGAAGCCTCTCTGAACAATAACAATAGCAACAATCATGAGAATATCTTCAACACCATTTGGCAGGCTGACTGTGGAGCCCACGGAGCCCGTGGAGCTGGGTAATTTGATGTTCCAGCAGATCCACATATTGTAACGAACACACCGAACAGAGATCTGAGTGCCTTCTTTTTTTTTTTTTTTTTTTTTTAAGAATCGCCCAATTAAAGGAATAGTGTTTACCTAGTAAATATCTATTTTGGCTCATGCACAGTGATAGAAAACATCTTTATTTACCTAAGAATGAATCTGAGAGAGGTGAAGCTGACAGAGGTGGAGTGACAGCAAAAAGGCAAAATGAGGGTTAACGAGGCAGCAGTGAGGAGAAGGAAGGGCCCACCTTCTCCTGGCTTCCTCCTGCCTCCCTCCTGTTCCTTCTAGTTCATCTTTGGCTACTTCCTTCTCAGCTCTGGTGTCTACTGGTGGCCTGTCCCGGGCTCAGTCTCTCCTCTACCTGTACTTACTCTCAATGTTTTTGTCTAGCCTTATGGCAGTGGGATCCACCTAAATACTGACCATTCCCAATTTATACCCTTGACTCAGACCTGTCCCCTGAAGGTCAGCCTCATGTATTCAACAGCCCACTTACCATCTTCAACTGAGTATCTAAAGTCATCTCAAAGCTAAGCATCACCAAATGAGCTTCTTGGGTCATCCATCCACCAAACTTGATCTTCCATAGTTTTCCTCATCTCAGTGAATGGCAATTACATTCTTCCTGGACTCTTCTCTTACTCTTATATCCCACAACACACTGTAGGCAAAGCCTGTGGGCTCTGTCTTAAAAATGCATCCCAGAACCTGGTCACTTCTCCCTGCCTCTACTACTTTGTTCCCTGTTCTAAGCCATCATCAGTTCTTTCCTAGATTATTACAACAGCTTCCTGACTGGTCTGCTTCCGCCTTTGTGCTGCCTTCCTCTTGCCCAGCCTGTTCTCAACACAGCAGGCCGAGAGACCCTGTAAAACCATGATTTTGATCAGATTCCTCCCCTGCTCAAAACCCCCATATGCTCCCCATCGCAGAGAAGTCTGCGAGGTTCTCTCCAGTCTGGCCTCCTGCTAACCCTCTGACTTGTCTCACTGCTAACTACTTCAGCATTGCTGGCCTCTTGTGTTTCTAGAACATGCCAGGCACTCCCAGCTCCAGGCCTCTTCCTGGATGGCTCTTCTCTCAGATGTTTGCTTATCTTGCTTTTTATCTTTATGTCTTTACCCCAGAATTCCCTACCCTCATTTTTTGGTCTATTTTTCTCCATAACACTTGTCACGCCTGAAAAGTTCCATCTTCCACTGATTTATTTTGTTTATTTCCACTTCCCAGTGATGACTGCACTCTGTGCGAGCAGGAATGCTTATTGTTTTGGACTCTGCTGTTCCCCTGGCACTGGAACTGTGCTTGGCACACAGAAGGCACTCAACAAACATTTGATGAATGCATGAACTGATGAATAAACAAACAAATAAATAAATGGATGCATGAATTCTGCTTTTGTTTCTGGCAGAATGGCTATGATATGGTTTGGCTCTCTGTCCCCACCAAATCTCATCTTGAACTGTACTCCCATAATTCCCATGTGTTGCGGGAGGGACCCAGAGGGAGATAATTGAAACATGGGGGTGGTTTCCCCCATACTGTTCTCATGGTAGTGAATAAGTCTCACGAGATCTGATAGTTTTATCACGGGTTTCCGCTTTTGCGTCTTCCTCATTCTTTATTTGCCTGCTGCCATCCGTGTAAGATGGGACTTGCTCCTCTTTGCCTTCCGCCATGACTGTGAGGCTTCCCCATCCACGTGGAACTGTAAGTCCAATTAAACCTCTTTCTTTTGTAAATTGCCCAGTCTCAGGTATGTTTTTATCAGCAGTGTGAAAATGGACTAATACAGGCTAGATTGCTAGAGGCGCATCCTACACCCTCTGAACCAAAGAGAAAGTGTTGAGTGTTTATTTTGGGTGTAGCATCTCTCTTCCCCTGAAAGAATGGTGGGTCAGAAAGGCAAGGTGGACTCTTTGGTCCTGGGGACCCATTATGGCTCTTGGGGAAAGGAATGTGGGGCTGCCCTCAGTAAAAATCATGAACAAAGACTTTTGTTCCAGTTTACTGAGCTACCTCCGGTGACTTTTTCAGATTGACTGCTATTAAGTAGTCTTGGGAAAAGGCAGTAGATTACAGATGAGGGTGATATGAGGACAACTGTCACCAGACACAGGAGAGAGATGAAGAATGGAAGCTGTCAGGTTAGGGCCTGAATCCTATTCCTCAGCAGGCGGTCGTGACCCTTTGCTCTGTAATCTCTCTTGAAGCTACCTGGGTCCTTGGACGGTGGTGACCTTTCATATGATTTTGATTCTTGACTCATCTCTTTCCATCCTTTAGAGACCAGGGCTGAAAGAAAGAAAATGCGACAGCGTGGCTTTTCCTTGGGTTAATCAAAGGCTTACATTTGTACAATTTGCTAAGAACTTCCATATGGACTCTTTCAACATTGTTTGAGGGCCAATTATATGCAAGGAAACTGTGCTAAGTATTAATGATACTAAAGACAGCTTTAATACAGCATGATGAATGCCGTGAAATGTTAATGTAATTAAAGCAACACCAAAAGGTTGGTGAAATGTTAATGTAATTAAAGCAACACCAAAAGTTAGGCAGCTTATTCCTTTTATGTAGGTTAAAAAACAGATTTAGAGATTAAGTTGCTCAAGAATACATTAGAAGAGGCCAGGAGTGGTGGCTCATGCCTGTAATCCCAGCACGTTGGGAGGCCGAGGCAGGTGGATCACCTGAGGTCAGAAGTTTGAGACTAGCCTGACCAACATGGCAAAACCCCATCTCTACTAAAAATACAAAAATTAGCTGGGCATGGTGGTGGGAGCCTGTAATCCCAGCTACCTGGGAGGCTAAGGCAGGAGAATCACTTGAACCAGGGAGGTGGAGGTTGCAGTGAGCCCCACCCAAACCTGGGCAACAAAGCAAGACTCCATCTCAAAAAACAGAAAGAGTACATGAGATTAGAGGATCCCTAGGAAATGGATTTGACCCCATATGTTCTGGTGCCCAGTCCAGTGCTCTGACCTTTATGTTATATGCTATTCAAGGGTGCCTTCCTTAATCATTTTCTAAGCCTACACATAGTCACACTAGTGCGTGGCCTTAGCTACCTGTTCTAGAAACACCAAGCAAAGAGGTGTATGAGATTGTTTGTCTTGAAGTCTGCTTGCTGAGGTGGGAGATAGGACCCAGACATCCTTCAATTAGGATTCTTAGGTTTCTGTCATTCACAATTATCTCAACTCTGCCACTTGTGATTGACACTGATGAAATTTTTTTAACCTTTATAAGCCTCAGGTTCTTCATTTGTAATATGGAGATTACAGTTCCTATATCAAAAGGTTGTTACAAGGATTAATGAGCGTATAGTTATAAAGCACTGTATTAGTTTGCAAGGGCTGCCTTAACAAAATACAACAGATGGTGTGGCTTAAGCAACAGAAAATTACGCAAAAAATAAAAAAAATAAACCAACAGAAATTTATTTCTTACAGTTCTGGAGTGTAGAAGTCCAAGATCAAGATGTTGGAAGGGTTATTTTCCTCTTTTATTTTTTATTTTTTTTTGGGACAGAGTCTCATTCTGTGGCCTAGGCTGGAGTGCAGTGGTGCAATCTTGGCTCACTGCAACCTCTGCCTCCCAGATTCAAGCAATTCTCCTGCCTCAGCCTCCCAAGTAGCTGGGATTACAGGTGTGCGCCACCATACCTGGCTAATTTTTTGTGATCCACCTGCCTTGGCCTCCCAAAGTGCTGAGATTACAGGTGTGAGCTGCTGTGCCCATCCTGGGTTAGTTTCTTCTGAGGCCTGTTTCCTTGAGTTTTGGATGGCCATCTTCTCACTGCCTTCATATGGTCTTTCCTCTGTGCACCCTTAGTGTACCTTTGTGTGCCCTTATCTCTTCTTTTAAGAACACTGGCCAAACTGGATTAGGCCCACCCTGATGGCCACATTTTAACTTAATGCCCTGTCTCCAAATACAGTTACATTGAGAGAATATGGGTATTAGAGCTTCAACATAGGAATGTTTGACGGACACAATTCAGGCTGTAACAACCACCTAACACAGAGCTTGGTATATAGTGTGTTAAATAAATAAATAAAAGTAAAACCTAACACTTTAATTGAATCTCTGTTCTCAGCCTGTGCAGCTTCTTAGGGATGGTGAGTCCTGTATGCTCGTTACC